>NC_000003.12:111584361-111887392 GCF_000001405.40 Homo sapiens
TCTGAGCCCTCCAAACTGTTTCATCCTCTGCCTGTTACCCAGTTCCAAAGTTGCATCCACATTTTTGGGTATATTTTCAGCAACACTCGACTGTACTGGTACTAATTTATTGTATTAGTCTGTTTTCACACTGCTGATAAAGACATACCCAAGACTGGGAAGAAAAAGAAGTTTAATTGGACTTACAGTTCCACATGGCTGGGGAGGCCTCAGAATCATGGTGCGTGGTGAAAGGTACTTCTTACACAGCAATGGGAAGAGAAAAATGGGGAGAAGCAAAGGCGGGAATCCCTGATAGACCCACCAGATCTCATGAAACTTATTCACTATCATGAGAATAGCATGGGAAAGACCAGCCCCCGTGATTCAATTACCTCTCGCTGGGTCTCTTCCACAACACATGGGAATTCTGGGAGATACAATTCAAGTTGAGATTTGAGTGAGGACAGAGCCAAACCATATCATAAGCCTTTGGACATGTAGAACATTGCTCTTTTCTCTCCCTCCCCACCACCCATCCTCCGCTTGCACTACCAGTCTTCCACATTCCCAATTTTACTTGACTCATCACTGATAACCACATCACATCTTCCAAAAGCCTCCTCCTATCCTCCAAGGTTAGGTTAGAAAATTTATTTAAAAGCTGTCTTCAAATCCTACATGTCCTTAATCATTGCACTTATCTCAGTGTATTGTAACTTCCAGTTTGTTTATCTGTATTCCCATGAAACTGTAGATTTCTTAAGAACAGTGAATATTATTTGTCCACATTTGTTTCCTAAGCATCTAGCATACTGCCAGGTACACAGTGGGCCTGGCAGTATTATATTAATAAATATTAATTTATAAATATTAATATTTAATGAATGAAGATGCTTATAGACACACACACACATACACACACTAGTGGCCAGGTAGGATGACATTTGGTGCCACTAACTATGTTTTATTTGCCTTTAAGCTAAACCAGAAATCCCTGTGATTGTGGAAAATAACTCCACGGATGTCTTGGTAGAGGTGAGTCACATAAAAGCCTTTGAAAATCTACAGTATTACATGTAAGGTGTGTCAGGTTGCATAGTTGCCAGGAATGTTCTCTCAAAGAACTTTACTCCTTGGCCCTTGACCAATTAACTGCTAATAGGGATGAAGGGAAGCTGGGTTGTTTCTAGAAAGTGAATGGGAATTTTTACTTTTAGACTTAGGGCTCTCAGAATGTTTGATGTGCACTTTTAGTCCTTAAATTTCTCAGAAAAAAAAATAGTCACAATTTGTTTAAACTTCTCTTTTATAAAAATTCAGGTGGATAGTGAGGACAAAGTAGGGCAGAAAGCAGTGTGAGCCCTGGTGTAAGAAGGAGGCTTTTGCTCAGCTGACGTTTAATTTGTTCTAATCCATTTCCTTTACCCACTTTCCCATTGTTTTTATTTCAAAGTGACAGGAGGAGATATGCCCTCCTGTACTCCTGCAGAACCCTGGGTATGTCTTTGGTAGTAATGAAGAAGGGCAGGAGAAAAAAGAAAATTGAATAGGGACCTCTGACTTAACTTCTTCTGGGTGGTAGTTACCAGCCTGTAGTCACTAGGATCTGGACTCAATTTCTCGCTCTTTCTCTTGCGAGCTGTGACCTTGGGCAAATTACTTCATGTCTTTGCAGTCAGTTTCCCCATCTATATGAAGTGAATAATAATAGTATCTTCACATTGTTGCTGTTTTTAAAAATTAAATAACATATGAAAAAATCTAAGTACAGTGTGTGACATATATTAAGTGTTTAATAAACATTATTGTTCTTGTTTTTGTTATTATTATTATCTGTGTTAATCAACTGTCTTGTGGCCTTATGACTTTAGCCAAGCTTTTAAAAACCCTAAGTAAAAAATATACTCATTAATTCTCTAACATTTTCTATTACATGGGGCGAGAGAAAATTATATTCATTCTAGTTTCTTCTCGCACCAATAACATTAAATAACTTACAATCTCTGGTCTTACTGAATATTAGTCATTTAATTTGATAATTGCATACAAATCATAGCTTAGATTGTTTGAGATGGTTTTGCATAACTTGGAAAAATATCTTCCAAGTAGTTGTGTCTTTTGCCAGTTTCATATATTAGTCTCTTAGGTAACTGCTTGTATTAGTCCATTTTCATGCTGCCAGTAAAGACACACCCAAGACTGGGTAATTTATACAGGGAAAAGAGTTTAATTGGACTTACAGTTGCACATAGCTGGGGAAGCCTGACAATCATGGCGGAAGGCAAGAAGGAGCACATCATGTCTTACATGGATGGCAGAGGGCAAAAAGACAATGTGCAGGAAAACTCCCCCTTATAATAACCATCAGATCTCATGAGACTTACTCACTATCATGATAACAGCACAGGAAAGTCCCCATGCTTCAATTACCTCCCACCAGGTCCCTCCCACAACACGTGGGAATTCGAGATTAGATTTGGGTGGTGACACAGCCAAACCATATCATTCCACCTCTGACCTCTCCCAAATCTCATGTCCTCACATTTCAAAACCAATCATTCCTTTCCAACAGTCCCCCAAAGTCTTAACTCATTGCAGCATTAACTCAAAAGTCCAGAGTCCAAAGTCTCATCTGAGATAAGGCAAGTCCCTTCTGCCTATGAACCTGTAAAATCAAAAGCATGTTAGTTACATCCTAGATACAATGGAGTACAGGTATTGGATAAATACAGCCATTCCAAATGGAAGACATTGGCCAAAACAAGTCTGAAATCCAGCAGGGCAGTCAAATCTTAAGGCTCCAAAATGATCTCCTTTGACTCCAAGACTCATATCCAGGTCATACAGATGCAAGAGGTGGGTTCCCATAGTCTTAGGCAGCTCCACCCCTGTGGCTTTGCAGGGTATAACTCCCCTCCTGGCTGTTTTCACAGGCTGGCATTGAGTGTCTGCAGCTTTTCCAGGCACACAGTGCAAGCTGTTGGTGGATCTACCATTCTGTGGTCTGAAGGATGGTAGTCCTCTTCTCACATCTCTGCTAGGTGGTGTCCCATTAGGGACACAAGCTCTGCCAGTGTGGCTTTGCAGGATACAGCCTCCCTCCTGGCTGCTTTCATGGTCTGATGATGAGTTTCTGCAGCTTTTCCAGGCACACAGTGCAAGCTGTCACGGATCTACCATTCTGGGATCTGAAGAATGGTGGTCCTCTTCTCACAGCTCCACTAGGCAGTAGCATAGTGGGGACTACTTGTGGGGCCTCCAACCCCACATCTTCCTTTTGCACTGCCCTAGGTGGGGTTCTCCATGAGGGCCCCGCCTGCAGCAAACTTTTGCCTGGGCATCCAGGCATTCCCATACATCTTCTGAAATGTAGGCAGAGGTTCCCAAACCTCAATTCTTGACTTCTGTGCACCTACAGGCTGAACACCACGTGGAAGCTTCCAAGGCTTGGGACTTCCACCCTCTGAAGCAGCAGCCCAAGCTGTACCCTTGGCCCCTTTCAGTTATGGCTGGAGTGGCTAGGACACAGGGCACCAAGTCCCAAGACTGCGCACAGCATGGAGACCTGGGGCATCACCCACAAATCCATTTTTTCCTCCTAAACCTCTGGGCCTCTGAAGGAGGGGCTGCTGCAAAAGTCTCCAACATGCCCTGGAAACATTTTCCCCATTGCCTTGATGATTAACATTCAGCTCCTTGTTACTTATGCAAATTTCTGCAGCCAGCTTGATTTTCTCTCCAGAAAATGGGATTTTCTTTTCTATCACATTGTCAGGCTACAAATTTTCCAAACTTTTATTCTCTGTTTATCTTTTGAAACTGAATGCCTTTAACAGCACCCAAGTTACCTCTTGCATGCTTTGCTGCTTAGAAATTTTTTCTGCCAGATATCCTAAATCATCTATCTTAAGTTCAAAGTTCCACAGATCTCTAGGGTAGGGGCAAAATGCCACCAGTCTCTTAACTAAAACATAACAAGAGTCATCTTTGCTCCAGTTCCCAACAAGTTCCTCATCTCCATCTGAGACAACCTCGGCCTGGACCTTATTGTTCATATTACTATTGGCATTTTTGTTAAAGCCATTCAGCAAGTCTCTAGGAAGTTCCAAACTTTCCCATATTTTCCTGTCTTCTTCTGAACCCACCAAACTGTTCCAACCTCTGCCTGTTACCCAGTTCCAAAGTTGCATCCACATTTTTGGTTATTTTTTCAGCAGTGCCCACTCTTCTGATACCAATTTACTGTATTAGTCCATTTTCATACTACTGATAAAGACATACCCAAGACTGGGTAATTTATACAGGAAAAAGGTTATAATAACCATCAGATCTCATGAGACTTACTCACTGTCACAAAAACAGCATGGGAAAGACCTGCCCCCATGATTCAGTTACCTCTCACTGGGAGTTCAAGATGAGATTTGGATGAGGACACAGCCAAACCATATCACTGCTATTATAATCCTGATTATACAGCAAAAGATTTAATCATTTTTGCTGTGTTGTAACTTAATTTCTAAGTGTATTAGTGAACTTCATTTCAATAGTTTACATTTCAAAAATAAGCTAATCATACAGCTTTTGGTAGGTGTTTTTGTTTCTTTTTTTTTCTTTTTTTTTTTTTTTGAGATGAGTCTCACTCTGTCACCCAGGCTGGAGTCCAGTGCCGCGATCTCTGCTCACTGCAAGCTCCGCCTCCTGGGTTCACGCTATTCTCCTGCCTCAGCCTCCTGAGTAGCTGGGATTACAGGCGCCTGCCACCATGCCTGGCTAATTTTTTGTATTTTTAGTAGAGATGGGGTTTCACCGTGTTAGCCAGGGTGGTCTCAATGCCCTGACCTCGTGATCCGCCCGCCTCGGCCTCCCAGAGTGCTGGGATTACAGGCATGAGCCACCATGCCCGGCCTGTTTTTGTTTTTTATAAGGATCTCTAATAGATTCTTGGTGCCAGTGTTTACAGGTAATATGGGCTCAATCCAGATATAGGACCATAAATTGGATCCAAGAATCCCAGTTTTAAAATAAAACAAAAAACTTTACCTAATGTGCCATAAAATTTCCTCTTCTCTACCCTTGCTTTAGTGCTAACTAAGAAAACCAGAGAATTTTCCTTCCTAGAGAATTAGTGAGTAATCTTTCTCCAATCACACATAACCAGCTACAGGACATGGCTTGTCTATGGATCTTTTCAGATCTTGCCAAACATTAGTAACTCCTCACTCTAATATTCTTACAATCCCTGCTGTATTTTTAATAATTTATTAACTCTTCAAAGTCCTTTCACATACTTTTATCTTGTGCTGCTCCCAGTGAGCCTCTGAAATAGATAGGGCATCTGTCATTTTACAGATGAAAAATTGGGGCCTGGAAAGTCTTAACAACTGGCTGAGTCACTAATAAGGGGCAGAGCTGGGATGCATATTTAGTGTGCCTGTATCCAGGCAGAATAGTATTATTATGATGGAAGGATATCATGCTTCAGGGTCAGATAGCACAAGTGTCAAATTCTAATTCAACTACTTAGCTGGTTACATACCCTCATCAATTAATTAACCTCCACGAGCCTCAGCTAACTCATATCTAAAACTGGAATAATAACAAATACTTCAGAGGGTTCTTAGGAAGGTTAAATTTATGCTCTAATGGAGTTCATGGCACATAGTATACATTTCAGGAATATTTCTTCCCTACCCACTATTTATCATTTACCCACTCTCTTACGTTCATAAATCAGCTATGTGACTGATTCTAGCAGATACTGTGGAATAATTTTTTTTAACCCAGAATACAGACTGTGGGATCTGATAGAACTAGGTTTGAATTCTCTTCCAGCACTTATTAACTCTGGCCCCTAAGAGCTCAGTTCCTTAACTTCCTCAAAAGTAAATGAGGGCAATGGCTCCAACTTCACAAGGGTGATGTTAAGGATCAAGTAAGAGAATGTATGCAAAATACCTACCATCCAGCAACCACAGGTTTTTGGTGTTGGCAATTTCCTGCCCCTCCTTCATTCCTTAGAAATTCTTGAAGTCAACATGCACACACTGTCTCTGCTACCTGTTCACTACACTAGCAGCCCGCAGTGTGGAAATACTCTGGGGACTTGGTCAGTTGTGAGCTGTGTCTTCCTGTGTTATTAGTTAAACTTACAAAGTTTATGGCTAATTTTAGTATTTCTGTAAAATACAAGACCCAAAAGCATGATGCCCCTCAGGCATGGACATGCCGTAGATGTCTAAAGAGAGTGTCACACCTGTGAATGTTGTATCTTATGCATTCCCAAAGTCAAGATTTTGCCAGGGCTCCAACTTGACACACAGCTTCACTCCTGCACTACAATGAGAAAAGAGTCTTTAACCTAAATTTCAGGGCCCCTCCATGTGGCAGGTTTTTGTATTAGAGCAAAAGATATCAAGCCAAAGAGCCCCTCAACTCACAGCTAATGATGTAGCATAAGAAGGCACAAGAGGGATGCATAAAAGCTCCAGAGTGTACTCAGCAGTTCAGACTTTCCACAAGCCTCATACGTCTCTCACTCTTATGCTTGTGCTTTATACTTTAGCCCCGTCATCTCCATGGGTCTTGTTCATATCACTCGCTACCTTTGTTATGTTTGAAATAAATTAGGAAAAAAAATCTAAAGAAAATTATCTGTCATGAAACATAGGAAACAAAAGCAGTTTGGGGTTAAGTTGCCTACAAAGGAAGAGAGGCTACAATATTAATAACCATGTAAAACAGATACCAGAGGCCAGAAGCAGTGGCTCACGCCTGTAATCCCAACACTTTGGGAGGCCGAGGTGCGCGGATCATGAGGTCAAGAGATCCAGACCATCCTGGCCAACGTGGTGAAACCTTGTCTGTGCTAAAAATACAAAAATTAGCTGGGCGTGGTGGCACGCACCTGTAGTCCCAGCTACTCAGGAGGCTTAGGCAGAAGAATTGCTTGAACCCAGGAGGCGGAGGTTGCAGTGAGCCAAGATCGCGCCACTGCACTCCTGCCTGGCAAGAGAGTGAGACTCCATCTTAAAAAAAAAAAAAAAAAAAAAAAAGACACCAGAACCTAAATACCACACTGGTTGGCATCAGCAGAGCTCCAGCATCTTTGTGCAGAATTTGATTATTTGTGTTTATTTGGTTTGGGTTTTGCAAAGCTTGAACCCTGTGGTTTCCTCAAGCTTCCTAAGCCCCACTCCAAAAATATGTGTTTTGGTTTTCATTTTTTAAATAATTAGGTATTACAGCCTCCTTTTTTTTCCTAGCATCTTTTGCAACATAATAAGGTTCTGAGTCCAAATGTCCAGCCGTCGTCACTTGCACTGGTGAGCACCTGAGCTTGCACCACAGGTAGAGAAGGTTCTAAAAGGGCATCATACCTCTGTGGGGAGACCACATGACAAATGAAATCTTTAATATCAGGCAGATCTCTAGATAAAAAAAGAACATGACGGGACTTCAGTGTGGCCTGGTTATTTCACAAGCCTGGTGCCTGGACTTTTGTTTGTTCTACAAACAGCTGTTAGGGAAGACAGGTCTAGAAGTGAGGGCTGCCTAGCAAGTCTAGGAAGAATATGAGTGAACTACATAGGTCAGGGCCAAAGGAGGCAAGACACCACTGTTACACAAGGACATCCTCTGCTTCCAGAGAGGTTGGTGCCCACAAAGTACTTGGGCTATCTCTGAGATAATGGGATGCTGTCTTTATCTATTCCTGTCTTCCCAAGCTCTTTCCCCACTCCATCCCCATTCCCAACCCACATTATGTTTTGTTTTTTAATGTGTGTGTTTGGTTGGAGGAGGGTGGTGTGGTTATAGAGGAATCTGTCTTCTATAACAAATATCAGGTCCAGTGCAGAGGCCAGAGTACTTTCCAGTTTGATTTTATTCTATTTCTAAATTAATATTTTAGGCATACTTTCAGCAGCCCAGGAAATTACTCTCTCCCTATAGACTGTTAGGATCTCTTTTTTCAAAGCATCTCTGAACATTTAAAGGTAAACAGTTTTTAAAAATCAGTGAACAGTGGATTGGCATGCAGTTAGCATTTCAGAGGTATGAGTAAAATCTAAAACCTACTGTTCAAATAAATAACTGGTCTGTAGGCACAAAGCAAAATCAAGTTAACTCATTAAAATTAACTTCAGGATCTAAGAAAATGTACTCCATCCTTCCCTCATTCAGACAGTCATGTTCTCTTCCATTTTCATGATAAATTTTCCCTAGAGCACTGTCTCTCTTCCCCATCTTTGCATTTCTTCTCTATCCCATTTATTTCTAACTTTCCTTCCTCTGTTCTTTATTTCTCCTTACTTCCTTTATATCTCTGCCTTCTTTTCATTCTGAATTTCTTTCAGTTCTTCCTCACTAACTCCTTTTCCTTTGACAAACCTTAATATGAAATCAGATTATATTTTAACTATTTATGAATAAGTTTTATATAATCTATACTGAATGTTTAAACTAAGTAAGTTGAGAGGTTTTTCATTTCTCTGTGCTAATTACACATTAATTAGTTTAAGCATTAGGTTGTTAAAAAGACACACCGGACTCAGATTATACTGATGAAACAACTTTAATATAAGCAAGAAAATACATTGCAGCAATAACAGGAGAAAGAGACGCATTGGAAAGGTCCAAAGATCTGAGGCTCACAGTTCTTTGTCCTTCCACTTGCTGGGTCACACAGAACAAGCTTTTATTCATACTGGTGGTCTGGAAACTCCACCAGTACATGTGCTAAGACCTCAGTCCTAGGAAGATTAAGCTCTGCTTCCGGCAGGGTGTCTGCAAGTGAGCTGGTCACATAGGCACATTCCAGCTACCTAACCAGCCTCAGCCCTCAAAATCGTCAGCTCCACCAAAACCGAGTGCTAGGCAAAAATCTGATTATTTTGTTAAACAACGCTGACTGGCTGGTACATTCTGCCCTGAAACAACTCACAGAGTTTTACTTTGGTAGAAGCATTTATCTTTAATAGGTACATTTTAGAGTTTCGGCCAAGGGTCAGCAGAGCTCTAGGAACCTCGTAGATAAGCATTTGGTCAATTCAGACCTGCTCAGATTAACTCATACTGTGCACTATTTCACATAAAAGCAAAATGTCACCAAACTACTTTGCTTTACATTTGAGTTGAAACTAAAATGGCTCTTTTCTACAAGTCTAGAGTCAATGTTTTCAGAATAGATTCTCCAAGCCCAATTTAAACAAAATGGAAGGGATGTACTGCTGCAGGCAGCTCTTTCTCCCGCTGGCATGCCTCCTTCTCAGCCCTCACCTTCCACTTCATCTCCAGGATGGCCCTTTCCACCTCCTCCAGGGCTCGCTCCCTTTTTTCCACAGCCCTCTCCCGCCATTCCACTGCCCTTTCCCTCCTAAGCACCTCCTTTTCCCTTTGGCTGGCCCACAAAGCCATGGTGCCCACCTGCTCCAGGAGCCTACCCCAGTTACCCTCAATGCCTGTGGGGAGCTGGGGCCCGTGGGGCCTTGGATCCTGGCGCTGCCCAGCCTGACCATGGCCACTCTTCTCCAGCTCCTCTCTGTGCATGCTTTTCAGATGCTTCCACAGTGCAGTGGTGCCCACGTTGACCCCAGGGCCACGGCTCACCTGCCTGCCACACAGGCGGCAGGTGGCATACTGGTTGGGATGGTGCCCAGCACGAGCAGGAGCTAGGTGGAAATATTCCCATGCCTCAGAGAACCGGGTGCCCTTGTTGTGGGGCATTGGAGTGGGCATAGCACTCACAAAAGGGCCAACCAGTTCTCCTGTCTCACTAATCTCTTCCTCCTCCTTCATCTCTAAGTCCCCTTTTGCCTTCATCATTGTTCCCTCCTCTTCCTCGTCTTCCCGCCTCATCATGTCACCTCTTCTACAGCGTTCTTTATGATGTGCTTAGATGTGAGCCAAAAGCTTATTTGAACCACAAGATTAAATATATATTTGGGAAGGGCCTGTGGTAACTCTTGGGGATTCACAATAATGGCCAAAGTCTGGCCACACCTGGGTGGTGTGAGGTTTCTTCCTTTCTGCTTCACTGGAGAGTCAGGGGTGAGTCAGATACAAGCAAAACAGCCCAAGAGTGCATTCCTTCCATGCCCCAGATACTTACTTATCCTCCCTTGACTAGGCCAGAAAGACAAAACATATCAGTTCCTGTAGCAAAGGGGTTCTCTGGTCCAACAATTACAAAGCTCTTTGATGAACTCAGTGTTTTCTGCATCAACCACCACGACAGGTATTTTTGAATATTGAAAATTTTAGGTTTTCTTGTTTCTCCTCCTGGTTGTTTCCACTGTTTCTGTGCTTCTTATTTCCTATAATTGCATTTTGGAGGCAGGAGAAACAGCCTCAGGGTTCAGGCTTTTCAGGACCAACAGAGCTAGGGCCTCACTGGGTCTTGCTCAAAGTAGGTAAAAGCAAACACAGGCAGATGCTGGTGCAGGAGACAATCTTGCTTCCTAAGAACTGTTGCAACAAGCAATCCAGAGTAGACAAAGCCTATGAGGATCTGGATAATAAAGTTCCCAATGCAAGGTCAGTTTGTCCTTAGAGGTGTCTCTCAGAGGCCAGGAGTCTAAGAAATCCAAAAAGCAAGCTCAGCTGTTTCAGCAGGAGGAGCTGGGATGCACAGAGGAGAAGGTGGAGCACATCTTCACAAACACAGCGTTGCCTGGCTGTCCTTAGCAAGCAGCTCACCATACTCCACCTTCTCCACCAGGATCACCTGCAAAGCCAACAGCCAATAAGACCTTCCTGAGGCAACTTACTCCAGATGTTTTGCTCTTTACCTCATTTTAAAGATAAATAAGTAAATGGAAAATCATATTACATTTAAAAACAGCCCGACTTCTCTCTCCTTTCTTGGGTCATTTCTTAAACTAATGAGAGCTTTATTTAATCAAGCTCTGCAACCGTGAACAGTTAGGAAATTCCCCCCAGCCACAAGTGGGTACTTACAAGCAGGCAAGGCTCTGGACTTCTCTCTGATCTTTCCTGCGCAGAGTGAAAGCACTCCTGCACACCTTGGATGTCTATTAGCTGACTCCTACCCCCAGAAGGAGGGCACCTCCAGTTCTGGTTTCCTCCCACTTCTAGGGAAGCATTGTTTCCAGGTAGGTGTGTCTGTGCCTGTTGGGTTTTTCTGCAACACTTAGACACAGATGCAAACCTTTTCTCCACCCCCTCCACCACCAAGAAAAGGATGTTCCTGGCATATGTCATGCAGCAAAACAGTAAGTCAAGCACCTACAAGTCTTAGTTCTCTTTTTTGATGACTAGATTACCTAACCTCTCAAGTAAAGCAAGCGATTTGAAGGAGGAAGAGTGGGAAAGGCTGAAATATTAAATGTATACACACATATATATTATATATATACATACATTATATATAATATGCATAATATATATATGTGTGTGTATACATATTTAGATTGAGAAGGAAAACCTACCAAGAGGAGATAGGAAGACTCTAAAGAAGGTATCAATAGAAGAAGAAAAAACTTTGTGTTATAAAAGGAAAGATAGAAATGGCATTGCAGGCCAGGAGCCATGGATCTTGCCTGTAGTCCCAGCACTTTGGGAGGCCGAGGCAGGTGGATCACTTGAGGTCAGGAGATCGTGGCCAGCTTGGCCAACATTGTGAAACCCTGTCTCTACTAAAAATGCAAAAATTAGCCAGGTGTGGTGGTGCACGCCTGTAATCCCAGCTACTTGGGAGGCTGAAGCAAGAGAATTGCTTGAACCCGGGAGGTGGAGGTTGCAGTAAGCCAAGATCATGCCACTGCACTCCAGCCTGGGCGACAGAGGGAGACTCTGTCTCAAAAAAATAAATAAATAAAATGAATAAATAAAAATAAAAAAAGAAAGAAAAGAAAAAGAAATGGCATAGCAGAAAATATGTAGAGGTTGACAGTTAAATTAAAATAGAAAAAAAAGATGGGGGAAAAAGATTCAAAATAGGAATGAGACTGGGAGGAGTTTTAGAACATGAACCACATTTCTAAACCAAATCTTGGAACGCAAAGTCTAGAGAGAGTCTAGAATGTTTGAAATTTGGATCATTTCAGAAAATCTGAACCTAGAGAATTCATGAAAGTCAAATCTTTTCAAAATTTTTAGACGTTAACCAGAGTTCTTCAGTGAGCCAGTTGCCTTCGTAAAATAATAACACCCCCACTTACTCCTGATATTACCATATCGTCATCTTTGGTGGGTTAACTAAAGAGAAAGGAAATGAATCATAAGAATGGTTAATGTCACTGGATTAATGCAAAACTTTGTATCTTTTTCTTTTTTTAAAAAAACATTTTACCTCCTTTACCTTTTTGTCTCTTCCTGGACCAACTGGAGATAAAAATCAATCTTTGGCATCTATTGAATTAAACTGAACACTCTCCTTTACTTAATAAGAATGTATTTTAGAGGATCTGGTTTTGCTTTTAATTTTTTAGTGGAGAGACTAGCATCCCTGGCCCATATATGTATCCCCATTATCTGGAAAGGCAAGTGTTGAACGGATGGGAATACTGGGAGCTACGGTGTTTGCCACCCAGCATCTTGGATATGCTAGACAACCCCCTCTGAAATTCTCTTGTTTCATTGGGATTTCTGTAGCAATGTACTGAGAAATAGTAAACTTCTGTAGGATTTCACCAGGAAAATGTTAGTTAGCATTCTCGAATTTGGTTTCTCAGCTCTATAGGCCCAGACTTCTTGGGAGTAACTAGTCTGAGGATTGGCACACAAATCATCACATACATTTAATTGTTCTTTACATGTTAACTAGTATATTCATTAATTGTGGAAAATATCTGAGAACTAAGAACTAGGGCTGGTCATATGTAAAATATATACATCTCTTGATGAGAAAACAAGTAATTATAAAAGGAATTATAATTTTGAAGAGTCTCAGATAAAACAATGGGAATCCAATAATTCTCACTGGATATTTTCACCAGACTGTAAAAGAAAGTATCATCCCCCAAAGAACAAACATAGCATTGAAAATAAAACATAACTAGCCCTGCATCTAAGTTCTCTGCTTTCATAATATAGTTACTTCTTTCATTTTTTTATTTCAATACAATTTTTATTAAAAAATATGTTGGACTGAGATTAAGGAGACATGGTTTCTAATTGTGCCATTAACTATTTTCCACTTCCTCGAACCACTGGGTGCCTTGATTTTTCCATTGGTCAAATGGCAAAAATAAGGCATGCTCTACCTATCCTTAAGATTAAGCCAATGAATTGTTTTTAAAAATTAGGAAAATGCTTCACAAGTAAAAAGTAGGATATTTATATAAATCGTTTTCTGTGATTGTTACAAATAGTGTCGTACATTATTTGGAGCACAGAAACAGCTTGTAGATCCCCTTGAGCTTTTAATCTAACAGACTATTCTTCTCTGGCCTCTGTTTGCTATAGCTTCTTCCTTCTATTCTTTGGTTTCCATTTAGTATTATTTTATTCTGCCTACACAGAGTTAAGATTTCTCCTTTACAGAACCCAGAATCCAGACTTGGAACATTAGTATAGTCCTAGATCCTTAAGTTGACCTAGGAGTATAGCCAGAAGTTTATAACATCTCTATAGGAGATAGCCCATTTATAGTGCACGTTCTAACACAACCTATATTAAAAGTAGACATTGCCTTCTATTTATTCAGTTAAAAATGGAGAAACTCTTTTTTGCCAACTTATATGAATGTTAGTAAGTTGTAAGGAGTACCAGTTTCTTAGGAATTTGCAAATAATCCTTTTTCTGTCTTTACCCCAGAGAAGATTTACCTGCTTACTAAAGAATGTATTTCCCAAAGCAAATATCACATGGTTTATAGATGGAAGTTTTCTTCATGATGAAAAAGAAGGTAAGGAAACTAATCAATGGAAATAAGTTCGGTACAAAAAGAAAGAAAACAAAGAACATTAGAAATTGTCATTGCCCAAGTTGATCTTGGCATTTAAGAATGATTCTCATTCCAAGAAAAACATCATTCTGCCTACCAAATGTCATTTTCTGATGCTTCATCTGTTTCTTCCAAGGGGGTGGAGTGTAACATTTTCCAGAATAAAAGAAATACAATTGATTTAGACAAACAACATCCAAATATTTTATTTAACTAGCAGTAAAAGGAATATCTTAAATGAGGACAAAAAGTTTAAGTCTACATATATTTATTAAAACTTTTTCTGCCTTTATAACATAGCTACCTGTTTTTCCATGTCTTTCTTATTTCAATACAATATGTTCAATTAACTTAGCACCGCTGCTTTAAATCAGCCAATAAATAATTTCTACCTTTTTATGTGAGAATCTGAGGCAGGTGTTGGTGGAGCACTAGAGAAAGCCTATGTAAAAGAGTTGGCTCCTTGACAAGGTACATGTTCCCCAGGAGGATTAAAAGTTCCTGGAGGAGGAACACACATCAAGACAAGCTCAGGTGAAAATTCACAAAGCCATGATTTTATAGATAGTAACCATGACAGCCTCTACCAGAATAATCTCAGCTGTCCCTGCCTGAACAACAGCTATTCTCCTTTCTCCTGAGTCGTTTTTCCTCCAAGTTCAATCTGTCTTCAATAATAACTGAGTCACACAACTCTTTCTGAATTATTTTTATTTTATTTTATTTTATTTTATTTTGAGACGGAGTCTGGCTCTGTTGCCCAAGCTGGAGTGCAGTGGGGCGATCTCGGCTCATTGCAAGCTCCGCCTCCCGGGTTCACGCCATTCTCCTGCCTCAGCCTCCCGAGTAGCTGGGACTACAGGCGCCCGCCACTACGCCCGGCTAATTTTTTGTATTTTTAGATGAGTCGGGGTTTCACCGTGTTAGCCAGGATGGTCTCGATCTCCTGACCTCGTGATCCGCCCGCCTCAGCCTCCCAAAGTACTGGGATTACAGGCTTGAGCCACCGCGCCCAGCCCTTTCTGAATTATTTTTAAATGATAAAATTGAAAGCTTATGTTAATGAGTGTATTGATCACTTGATGCATTTTGAGATTATTATTGGTTTTATTAGTTTATTTTTAAAAAAAATTCACCCACAACAATGACAGAATGCAATTCTAAAAATATAGGTTAAAAGTTATTATAGGCCAGGCGCAGTGGCACACACTTGTAATCTCAGCACTTTGGGAGGCCGAAGGGTGTGGATTACCTGAGGTTAGGAGTTCGAGACCAGCCTAACTAACATGGTAAAACCCCGTCTCTACTAAAAATACAAAAAAATAGCTGGGTGTGATGGTGGGCATGTGTAATACCAGCTACTTGGGAGGCTGAGGCAGGAGAATCGCTTGAACCTGGGAAGCAAAGGTTGCAGTGAACCAAGATTGCGCCATTGCACTCCAGCCTGGGCAACAAGAGTGAAACCCTATCTCAAAAAAAAAAAAAGTTATTATAAATTTATTCTCCTGTTAAATAAGCCCTGCATAGGCAAAGCACCCAGATTTCACCAAACTAGAGGCTAGATTTTGTGGTCAGAATTGCACTGGCACACAACTGCATTTAGCTATTACTTTGGTAAGTAATTACATCAGAATTGGTGTTAAGAATCTGTAATGTGAAAAAGCTGTAAGAATCCAGAAAATTCTGACATATAGTGATAGTTGGTTTTACATTAATTTTCTGCTGCCAAGTATGCTATTTGGAGGTTGTACTAACATAACAGTTTAAAACAGAGTTTGATTTCTAAAGAAGACTCACAGGACCCAAAATGCAATGCTTACAAATCTACAGCTTATTTCAAGAAGAGGAGACAACATAGCAAAAAGATTACAATATGCAGCATATCCTATCCTACACTTACAGCCAGGAGTCCAGAGAAGTCAGATATGAGCTCCTTCGTCCTTCCTCTCTAAGGGCCACAGCCAGACACACTTCCTCGCTCAGATCAGAGACTACTGATATATACACAGAAGAGCTCAGAAGTGGGTAGTCCAAAACGGAGTCCCAACTGAGATTGCTTTATATTTTACTGGTCACTTAGGTATATTCCTGCAACATAACCAGATTCCACAGCAGAGCTCTCCCAAGATCCGACCTAGACTAGGTATAAATTATCAGTCTCACAGTTGTCAACACACAATGCTGATGAGCTGGGATAATCTGCCCCAAAACATTTTGGACACATGGTCACAAACAAAGCAACACTATTAGTCAACATATTTTATACCCTGACCATGGATCAATGACATGCAGGAGCTTGAGCAAACAGCTCAAGTTAATTTCAGATCTGCTGAAATTGACTCTCACTGCAGAGAAGCTGCCATTTGACCACTTTAGACTCTACATTACCACAAATTGATCATGCCATGCCTTGGCATTATTGTATGGCTCATACATAAAATGTTAGTGTTGAACCATGTTCGTATCTGTCTGGCAGGAATATATATTACTAATGAAGAGAGAAAAGGCAAAGATGGATTTTTGGAACTGAAGTCTGTTTTAACAAGGGTACATAGTAATAAACCAGCCCAATCAGACAACTTGACCATTTGGTGTATGGCTCTGTCTCCAGTCCCAGGAAATAAAGTGTGGAACATCTCATCAGAAAAGATCACTTTTCTCTTAGGTGAGTTGTCTATTTAATAAGATCAACAAGAGTTTGCTAAGACTGCCATAAATTCAAAATATCTTTAATGGGAAGATTATCACTTCCATAACGTTTTAATCTCAGAAAACTTTTTATGTAACTCAAAACTATTTCAAGTTATCAAACATTTTTGACAAGTAGGACTCCAGTGAAAAGAATTCTTCAACTAAAAAGAAAATAGTTGATTCATGTTTTCACAAGAATTTCTGCTGCATACAGAAAATTTTTTGTTCCAATTTAATTCATCATAACTCTTAATTAGTTAGCATTTTTGTTAATCCATCACATATTGAAAATTAATACTAATACTGATGATCAAGAAAGATTTAAAAGACCTAAAATTCCTTCTGCATCATTAGAAACATTCCATTATGTACAACATATATACTTTTAATATTTAGGAATGGATAAAATGTGTACAATAAAAATACCATAAAAATAGGGATTGTATCTTAATAATTGTAGTATCCCTAGGTTCAAGCACTATAGTTAGCTAATAGAAGATTTTTATGATTGAAAATTGATATATAGGATTACTCTAGTTATTATATCATTTGACTAACCAGAGTATTTACTACCCTGAACCAGATGGAATAATGGAGATTTTACTACATAAAAGATGAACTAATACCTCAATAAATACAGTGACAACAGATATGCCTGAAGAAAAATAGAAGCAATGGCAACTGTCAGATATTCATATTTAACAGTAATCTTATAAAACGTAAATAGATTTGCAAATCATTATTACAACTCTATAGGAGCATTGACCTCTTAAACCACATCCTATTTTCAGAGATATCATAATCTATAACATACTCATAAAAACACAGAATAATTTAAGAAGGAAACAGTTTTTCTTTGTTACAAGGGCACAACCCGCATCTTGGGTTCTGTCCAGCTCCTTCACAGGTGCAGTGGTTGGTTATGAAGAAAAGTGTACCCAGCATAAATCTATCCCTACTACTCAGAAGCAGGTGTGATTCTGATGCCGGGGCACTGGCATCGCTCCCGTAGCCTTGCCTGTGTGTCTGTGTATATGTATATGTATGAACACATCATCCTGTGTACTTTGAGTTAATCATTCAGAAATTGTGATGTATTTACACTAAAATAGCCTTACTCAACTTCATCTAATTCCCTCAGGAATAAGTCAGCTCCTTCCTGGAAAGCTGGACATAATAGGGCTGCAGTCTTGGAACAATGTGGAGGTAGCTGATTCTCACATAGATTTGTCAGTAGCTTTGGCAGAATCTAAGGATGTGAGCTAAAGGACCCTAAAAGCTCAAATTCCTAAAAAGAACCCTATTCCCATTATAGGTAGAACCATGTCTGTAAAACTAATATTTTCTGATGTTAAAACAGTGCTTGATTTCAGTATCAGAAAATAATGAATACCTTTTTAGGTAATAGGAAGAACACTGATTCTGATACTGAAAACATACCATAATTCCAATTGTATAGGGCAGAGCTTGATCTAGTATAATTTGGGGCTCTGAACAGGTGGTTAATTTTAAATTGCCAAATGAGTCTTTATCCTTTATGATCAAATATTAAAGACAATTAATCTTTAGGAGTTCAGTTTCTCAAAATTATAGCTTACATTCTCATCCCATTCTGGCATATATCTATGTGACTGACTTAGAAGATGTAGTCAAGGCTCTATAAAGCAGTGTCATCACTGTATTATGTCTCCCTATTGTTGCAAGCTCTTAAACACTTACTTCCACACAGGCTGTCTGTCTGTGATGGTACTGCCGGATGCTTTATGAACTCCGGAGTAAACTTCTGATGTGTGGTGCAAGAGTCATTGCCTTACCAAGCTATTTATTGTTGACAAGATACTGAGATGAAGACACAGAAGAAAAATCTGCCATCCCTGAGTGCTAGATTAGAGAAACGCTAAGAATATTACACATCAGGAAAGAGTTTTAGTGAGACAAGGGGAGAAGTTTTGCTCTCTTTGATCCCTTTTGCTTCCAGAAAAGGGTATTAATGTTGGAGACTGTGAGGTAACAGCCCTTTGAGGTGATTCCTTCTCCACCTACGCCCAGTCTCCCAAGTGTTCAGTGATCCCTATTCTAGAAAACTCAGACAGGGCATGGGATTAGGGTTAGGGTGATCAGTGACTCTTCAGGCAGCTATTTGTGCACTAGGACCTGCAGAATTCCCATGATCCACAGTAACTACCACTAAGAAAAAAAAGCCTTTCAAAAATATCATGGACCAGGCACAGTGGCTCATGCCTGCAATCCCAGAACTTTGGGAGGCTGAAGCAGGAGGATTGCTTAAGTGCAGAAGTTCAAGATCAGCCTGGACAATATAGTGACACTTTGTCTCTACCAAAAAATTCAAAAAATCAGCCGGGCATGGTGGCGCACATCATTAGTCCCTGTTACCTCGGGAGGCTGAGGTGGGAGGATTGCATGAGCCCAGGAGGCTGAAGCTCCAGTGAGCCGTGATCATGCCACTACACTCCAGCCTGGGCAACAGAGCAAGGCTTTGTCTCAAAAAAAAAAAAAAATCCCGCCCTGCTAGCATGTCAAAATGTCTAAAATCATGGCACTGCTGAGTCTATTTCTGGCAGATTTGAAGAGCTGGGTTTTGTGGGTTTTGTTTTGGGGAGTGGATAGGAGACATTTTGTCTTGTTTTAATGCAAAAGTTGAGTGCAATACCCCCTGGGGTGGATAATATTTTGGTTGTCATCTCCCTTGACAGAGATTTGTTTATTAAATGGATTTCTGACTGTAGCTGTTGAGATCAAGACCTTTGGGATAGAAACAGAGTTAAGCATTGACAGTTGTGTAGGTGTATGTGTGTGTAAGTATGCATGTGTATCTTCGCATGTAGAAAGAGGAGTAATAAAAAGATATCTTAATAGTGGAACAGGAGGACCACTGCATATTGGTGTGGAAGATGCCAGACAAATACTTCCTGTTTCATGACTTCCCTCAGTGCAGCTGGCCTCATACCCTTGACTGATCCTTTCTGAGAGTATCAGTTGAGAACTTTAATATGCATATAAATCACCCAGGGATCTTGCTAAAATACAAAAATTCTGATTAAGTAAATCTAGGTGGGACCTGAGATTCTGCATTTGTAAAAAGACCCTCAAAGAAACATATTCTGCTTGTCTATGGACAACATTTTGAGAAGAAAGGACCTAGCAAGCCCTGGGATTTGGCTTACTTCTAGGTGGATGAGATAAGGGCTTATACAAGCTCTGAGGAAACCCCGGAATTAAGCCAGTTGCCCTATGGGACAGACCCATGGCTGCTGCTGCCCATGAGGGTGGTTCTGAGAGCCCTGCCAAGCCTACTCAAATGGACACACCCAGGAACAGATGAAGTGGCTTTAGGCGGCAGCTTACCCTCTTATGACATTATGGTAAATGCAATGATCTGGAAACTGGCAGAGGTGTTTCTGCTAAATTCTGCATTTGGGTTTTGGGAAACTGTCTCTCCTTTTTAGGTTTTAACCACTCTTTTCATACCCCTGAGTTTTGTTTTGACCAAGGCAGAGTTTCCACTTTACAGTCTAATCTAAAACTAGACAGACATGTTTAGGTCCCACATTTTATGTGGAAAGCTATGTTTCCCCTCTGTCACAAGGCAAAGTGTTCATCTCAAAATGCACATCTTACAATAATATCTTCTTAATACACTATGAGGCTGAACACCTCAGCTTACAAAATCACTTGGTGATGAAATATGGCAGAAAAGTATCCTCAAACTGAAATGTTCAATCAATGAAAAATAAATGTTTCCCATTGTGGAAACTGAGCATAACGCACCAATATCTTCTGTTCCAGGAACTGGCAACCTTCTTCTGTAAAGAGCTAGATAGTAAATATATTTTAGGCTTTGTAGACTTTTTAATCTCTATCACAATTACTCAACTCTGTCACCTTAGCACAAAAGCAACCATGGACAATAGGTTAAAAGAAAAAAAGGGAAAAACTGTGTTCCAATAAAATTTTTATAAACATGATTTCACTGTAGGCCATAGTTTGCCAACCTCTATTTTAATCAATATACAGAGAAAAACATCTAGGCATTTATTTTCCAAGCCAATGTCCTGTCTTATTAAGGTACCACTTTGGAAGATAATGCTTATGATCCACCAGCTGTCAGACACACACTTAATGCTGGTCTTCTTTCTTTCAGTGTTAAGAATAAATTTGCATGCATTGATTCATCTACTTCCATTTGCCAGAATCCATAAATATGGTGTGGAGCAAAACAGTGACTTCCCTTGAGGGGCATATATGATGACACAGTGATGAGGCATTTGCTAGGGTAAACACTGAGGGGTGATCACATCACAAAGATCCCCAGGCTTCCTCAGCTTGAGAAGGTACATTCAGGAAAGTTTGGGGTCAGGAAACCACATAAATTAAGATCAAGAAGTCCCAGAAGTCACAGAGAGAATATTGTGTTTCAGAAATTGGGTTGAAATATTGCTTATTGGATAGAGGGGATTATTTGAGAGAGATGGAAAAAATGATAAGCAACATCAGGAAATTGGGAGTGTAATGACAGCCCAAATCATAATTAGACTTGTGTGTCATGCTGAAGAGTTCAAACTTATTTTGGATGTATGAAGAAAAAGGATGGTCATTTTGTTAACCTATTCATATACTTCCCATATAACCGTCCTCCACCTCCTCAGAGATTATTTGCACAAAAGCATTCATATAGTAGTGGATCAGAGCTAGCTATGAGTGCCACCCACAGCCACTGGCAATAGCAGTGCTACTAGCAATAAGAATAGAACATACATGCATCTAGCTTAGAAAAACCAATTCCTCCCACGGGGCTATGTGCTATCAAGTGACATAATGTAAGTAAAATATACTTGTCCCTTAAAGTACATTACAGAATAGAACCAATAGTTTAATTAGTAATTAAACATCCAAATAATTGATATATATCAGCAGATGTGTAACACTGTAACCAGTAACATTATATCTACAAAAATCATAAAATCTTCTAACTTCAAAATCATCTAAGCACATTTAACCCACATGTTCCTAAAGTCAATAGAGCCTTCTGGCATTTGTAAATTGTCCTTCCAATAGGACTATTTTTAAATACAGTAATGGAGATTTAAGGAATTGACATAAATGTAAAATATAAGTAAAACCACATTCTAGCCTCTGTTTCAACTCCCCCCAACACAGACACACGCACGCACACACACAAAAGAAAAAGTTGTAGCCAAACAAAAATATTATGACAAAAGTTGTCATGTTAGAAAGCAGAAAAACATCACACATTTACTAATGTTACATCCAATTGGGTAGTTGTATCATTGTTTCTACTCTTGCTGATATAAAAATTTTTGTGAGTTTATGGATTTTGTAAACTGCATGATTACTTTTCAAACACTTGAAAATATTAAATGCTATAATAGTTTTACCAGGTCTTGGTAAAGTGTAACTTTTTCCAGGGAGCCTTCTCAGACCTCCCAATCTTTATCAGTGCCCCTTCGTTGTGTTCCTGTGGCCACCTATGCTTTCCACTGTCATGGTACTCAACACAATGCTTGGCTGCCTAGTTTCCAGGCCATAGGCCCTTTAAGGACGATCCCATGTCTTCCTCATTCATCATTATATCCCACTGCCTTGACCTTAATAGGGCCCCAATATTGATTTGTTACATGATGAATAAATAAAGGAAAGTGTATTTAAGAACTAAGTCAATACTTTATCTTTTGATTACAATATTTTGTTCATTATAAATCTCTTTCTAATCCTTTAAGGTTCTGAAATTTCCTCAACAGACCCTCCACTGAGTGTTACAGAATCTACCCTTGACACCCAACCTTCTCCAGCCAGCAGTGTATCTCCTGCAAGTAAGAATGTTTTCACACTGAGCTATTGATTTAACCAAGCAGATTGATAACGATAAAATTTCAGCAAACTTGCATCATTCATGCCTGTTTCTTAGCTATGACTTTTTTGGGGCTGAAATTGGGTTTTATTTTTTAACAGCTTTATTGAGATATAATTCACGTCACATTAACTTGCCCATTTAAAATGTATGATCTAATGGTTTTTAGTATGTTCACAGACTTGTACAACCATGACTACAGCCAATTTCAGAACATTTTCATCATCTAATAAAGAAACTCCTAAACATATTAAAGTATCATTCTCATGGCTTCAAAGAGTTAACATAGCTTCCAAAATCCTTTACTTAAAGCCCTGGGAAAATCAAGGTAAATAAATATTCAGTGAGGAATTTAAATTCTGTATTTATTATTAAATAGGTTAATAAATGACAGTCATTCTCCAAAACAATGTTCTCAGTGGGGAGTTTAAGAGATTGGTTGTAAATGGGGATAGGCCAAAAGAGGTTGAATCCTTTTAAATTTAAATTTGTTCTGGTTCAAATTAATGTTGACAAAGTTGACTGGTAAGGACTATGAATTCAGCCCTCCCATCTGAGGCATCATTAATAATGGAGGTCAGTCTGGGTCAGCAATGCTATGGCAAAGGAGTGGCAGTGACTCTCAAAACTTGTCATTGATGCAACAAATCATAAATTCCCACGTCTGTGGCTTTTGTGTCTAACAAAGAACCATGGTGACTCTCTAATACACAAAAGCTTATATTCTATGTAAAGTAGAAGTATGGCTCTCATTTCTCATTTAATTAAAACTATCAATTTTAGCTCAAAATGAGAACTGAAAATGGAATAAAACAAAAGCAGTCAGTAGGAATGAACAATTCCTTTGGCTGGTAACCTTTGGCATGTAGCCTGCAGTCGCTGTCACAGGTTGATACTTCTCAGAAAATGAAGCAAGTGGCAGAAAAGCTTGCAAACCACCCATCAAAAGTTTCATATCCATCTGATTTTCTCATGTTCTTAATGTTTTGTAATTTTTCTTTTCTTCTTTTTTTGAAGCCTCTTTTTCTTCTACTTTTAACTCACTGCCGGTTAATCATGGCATTTTTCATTTAACAAGTATTAGCATATTCAAAAATAATAAAACCTTAAATCTCTCTAGTATCCTGTGTATTAGTTATCCATTGCTGCATTAAAAATGCCCCAAATTTTAGCAAAACATATATTGTCGCATATGGTTTCTGGGGGTCAGAAATTCAGGAGCAGCCTAGCTGGAAGGTGCTAACCTGGGTTCTTTCATGAGGTGCAGTCACACCGTTGGCTGAGGCTTCAGTCATCTGAAGGCCTGACTGGAACTAAAGAATCTGCTTCTAAGCTCTAGCATATAGATGGTCTCAGTTCCTCAGCACATGGTCTTCTCTATAGCTCTGCATACAATATGGCAGTTGGCTTCCTCTGGACCAAGTAATTCAAGAAACAGTGTGACTAAGTCAAAAGCCATATTGCCTTTTTATGGCTTAGTCTCCAAAATTGCATGTCATTACTTCTGCTTTATTTTATCTACTAGAAGTAAGTCACTAGGTCCATCTTATACTCAAGGGGATGAGAATTAGGCTCCAAGTCTCAAAGAATCTGTGAACAAATTAAAGCCACCATACCCTGTCATTTAGAAGTGTCTGTAAATAAAAGGCAATGTGGTTTGATCTTTATTATGAGTGGTAGACAGAGCAAGCATTATTGTTCCCACTTGCCAGATGGGGACTTTAAGACACTGAGAGCTTAAGTGATCACATACCTAGTAAGTGACAGTGTTTTGCATTCACACCACAGTGTTATGACCAAATTTAGTTCTCACCACATTAGACACCATTTTTTCTCCAGTTGGTCTAAACATATCGTGAGAACAGGAACCGTATTTGTTTTTCCTCCTAGCACAGAGTAGAGAGTCAAAAACTATTAGTTGAATAACTAACTGAATGAATGAAATAATTAATAAGAATAATGTTCCTTCACTATGTAGATGTTATTTAATAGATTATTTAATGCTAAAGAAAAAAGATAAAAATAGATTTCTGCCTTCAGAAAGGTTGCAGTCTACTTGGAAGAGAAGGTATACACACATAAAAATAATAATTCAAAATACTAAGATGAAAGGTGGTGTACCTTACAGAATTAAAATGCCCAGGGAGAGGTACAAACCAGTAAGTATTAGACTTTGAAAGTTCTTTGTGAGTTCATGGGCTCAGAAAATGTTACCCGGGAGAGATGAAATAACTTGACCTTTGAAGTATGTATTGTATATATTTGACTCAGTGGAGAGCTCGAAAGAACGTTCTAAACAGAGAAAACAAAGTGAGCATTTGTGCAGTGACAAAGATGTTTATGGGCATTTGAGAAAGCATCAGTAGATAAGTTTGGATCAAAGAGGTGGTATTGTGTACCAAAAAAACAGGGATGAAAATTGGAAAATGCAAAGTAAACAAAGCCTTGAGCCCCAGTTTAAGGACTCCAAATGCTATCCTTTATGAAATGGGGGAAGGACCTCATTCCACTTTATTTTAGAAAGAAAGTGGTATTATTTATTCATCAAATATTTATTGAGCACTTACTATATATCAGGTACCTTTGTAGGTGCTGTGAATACAGCAATGAACAAAACTGAAAAAAAAAATGTCCTCATGGCATTTATATTCTGCTAGTTAAAAGCAGACATGAATTTCTTCTAGTTGCATTTTTATGGGGTTAGTCTACATACACTAAGTGCTTATATCAGTGCTTACAAACACAATTCTTCTGTGACAAAATTCAAAGCAAAAGAAAGCAGTTGTTACACTTCAGAAGCCTACAATTTAATATAGTTTTAGTATTAATGAAGGAAAGAAAGCACAGTCAAGTACCATATTTGTTTAAAAAGCAGGGGGGAAAAATGCCACCTGATCTACTATCACACTAAGACGATGTAGTTGGGAAGTCTGTGCAGACTCAAAAGACCTCCGTAAAACAAGGTTCCACCACATTGGACCTGAGGATTGTGTTAGATAAGTGGTTGTCAACCAGGGTAATTTTGCCACTCCAGAGGACCTTTGGCAGTGCCTGGAGACATTTTGGGTTGTCACAATGAGGGTAGGAGGGTGCTACTGGCATCTAGTGTATAGAGGCCTGGGATGCTGCTAAACATTGTACAACACAGCCCAGAACAGCCCTCACAACAAAGAATTATTTGGTTCAAAATGTCAATAGTGCCAAGGCCAAGAAGACTTGTTTTAGATCAAGGCTTAGGTGTAATTACAGTAGGTATCTCTTACTTTACAAAATCAAATCTGGATTTCTGTCAAGATGGCAACAATAGTTTATGTTTGGAATAATTTTCTGTTTGATTTTGTATGTCAATAAAACTCATGTTAAACCAGTGGCAGATTATGTCTAAATAAACTTATCTTTTTGGAATAATCACTGAATTACTATTGAAAAATCCAAATTTTGCCTTGGCAAACTGGAGGGTAATTGTGAAATCACACGATGACTTCCTGCCTCAGAAGCTGGTAGGATTCACCTTTGCATGTTCTTTGAAGAAAGGAAGTGAGATGAAGTATGTCACGGAAACCAACTTCAAAGGCTGTGGTTTCATTCCGAATTCTAAGATGTAATGAGCTTTATAATCCAGTCATCATTACGAAGCTGCATGTCTGGCTGCAAGCATCCAATTCTTATTTTTTCCTCGATGAAAGGATATTTTTTAAACAAATGTTGAAGGTCATGAAAGCAATATTCTTTAATGAGGGGAGGAGAACTTAATAACTCATAACAAACTGTAAGAGTTATCCAGGGAAGCCCAGCTCAATTCAACCTGAACCAATTCGTGTTTGCTGAGTCCCAGCTGCATTCTCAGCGCAGTTCAAGGAAGACAGGCTGACAAGCTAAGTGGCAAGATGAGACAAGTCCATGTGGAACAATCAGAGACAACTGATGAATCCAGGGTGGGGCTGTACAGACACAATTCAGGAGTTTCCGTCGCCTTGAGGAGAGAGCCCTGTGCCTTTCAATTCACTGGCTATGATTTGGCTAAGAGTTACGTAGCCTAAGAGATGCCAACCCGGTGTGGCAATCATCCAAGACACTTATTCATGAAACTCATAAGTATGGAGCGCCTACAATGTGTCAGGGACTTTTGAGGTACAGGATACAGTGATGAACAAGACAGACAGGGCTCCTGTTGCTTACAGAGCTTACGATCCTGTGTGACCCACTTGCCTTGCCTCCTGTTTTACTGCCCATCAGTCCCTTTGGCTCTGCCTCCTATTGTTATGTCTGCACATGACCCTTAGACCTGATGATGTTGATTTTAATATTAAGCCCTTTCTAAGGACTTAGCTGGTCCTCACTATCTGGGTCTTTCTATTCCTGGATACTTAGAGTAAAACACTAGGTCCAGTCTGCCTCTAACCCTCAGCCAGCACCCCAGGTAGACATAACTGATCTTCGGCAAGTGGATGATCAGACATTGAGGGGCACAGGGTAAAGGAAGCAACTGACCAGGGGATGCAACAAAACTACTGATTTATGAGTAAGCATGTCAGAAATGGTGGGGGATCAACCCAGAAGACATGTCATTAGATGAGATTAGAAGAAAGTAAATCAGAAATTCGGCAGTTGATAGGGGCATTGGATTCTAGTGTTAACAGGGGAACGCCAGAGAGAGTCTGCAAGACAGTGAGAAGGCTCCAGTGATTTGTTTGTGATAGCAACTTCTGACCCCTTTGCTAGTCATGCCATGCCTGTATTCAGGTGCCTCAATTGCTGTCCAATAGTTTCTGCCTTTATCAACATGTATCTGCTGCTGAAAAGTAAGAAAAGTCAGTGAGTGCTGGGGGAAAGGAAGGGGGATCAGGGAAGTCTTCATGCAGGGTCTGGAAGAAAATACTGACTCAGGTGGAAGAAAGATGAGAAATGGATCTTCACATTCGCATCATAAGCAAAGGCGTAAAACAAAATGAGTGCAGGACATGAGAAGACAAGCAGGAGTTCTGACATTGCTTGTTGGGAGAGGGCTAAGGGTTGATTAGGTGGGGTGGAACAAGGTAAAGATGAGCTTCAACTCATTTAGCCCCAATTCATAGCCCACAGCCCAGCATGTCTCCTTTATGCTGGACTGAAGGTCAGTGCCCATGTTATCCTGACCACGCAGATTGATGAGGCCGATTCAAATGTGTTTAGATGTAGTTGAAGGCCTGTATTGTCCAGTTAATGTCACTACTGTGTTTAAACGTCAACTAATGGGCTATGAATCGGGGCTGTGATCTGAACAACAAATAGCCACTATGGCTTTTTTTGTATGTGGGAAAATGTCAGGAAAACAGCAGTTATGTATATGGTAGGTGATAGTTGCAAGAGCAGGGAGAAAAAAGACTAAATGATATAGATTTAAAGTGGTTTAAGTTTGTTTTCCATGATCACGAAGGTGGTTAAAAAAATGATATGATCTGAACTAGAATGGGCATTTGTAGAAATGGAGAGTGCTGCAACAGAGGCTCACCAGGATTGTCTGCCTAAATACAGGGACTAAAAAGGTTTTCAGAGAACAATCATACAAGGACCTTTCCATTTTTTCCCTAGCAATTACATAAAAATGTTTACCAACTGCCATGATTGTATAATAATACTAAGCAATAATATTAATATTTGTTGGTTGCCTCCAATGTGTATGGACTGTTCTAAACTAGTAAATGTATTTTCTCATTGAATCCTCCCAACAACACAATTACTTAGGTACTATTATTATCCCACTTTACAGATGAAGATACTGAGGCACAAAGAGGTTAAATAACTCACCCAAAGTCATGCAGAAAGTAGATGAGCCAGTATTGAGCCCAGACAGACTTCAGACCTTGAGTCCTGCTGCCTCAAAGAGTACATGGTTGGTGCTGAATAAATGTCTTTAGACACTGAATAAATCCCTTCTAGTGTGAAGCTGTTATAGGTCTTAGGAAAAGGTCAAACATGACACCTATGCTTATATTAATCTCTCCCTTTTTCAGACCAGTGTTTTCCTGAGACATGCAGCATCTGAGAGTGAAGATAACATTTCCTCAGTTGGAAATAAATTAGAGAAACCCCTCCTGCATCTGTAGCCCACCCCCGCCATCAACACTATTATCATATAATTCTCACTGTAGATATGAATCTACAGAATCCATACAAAACTCCAATGCTTTTCCTTGAATCCTGGGAAATTCTGTTTATTGTATCTTTTTCATCACCTTCCACCTGGGGCACACAACATTCTGCAGACTGTTAAAAGGATTTTTCTTTTTTCTACATCTGTCACCTGTAAGTCAAGGTTAGCCTTCTTGATGACTAGTTTACTTTGGGTATTCATCTATTCAGTTACTCCCCTTGGGGTGAGATTCCTCAGGGTAAAAGCTATCAGTTGACCTATTTTTCAGTTTATTTCATAATTATTGAGTATCTACAAGCTCACCACATGATGCGTGATGAGCTCTGTCCTGCTTACTGTCATCTTCCCCAAGGGAGTCCTGAAACCCTTTCTGGACCAGTAATCCAGCAATACACATTATTATTCCCCATTTAGTCAGCACATGCCCCAAACAATCTGCCTCCCACATGAGAAAAATTTTATGCAGGGTTTAGATTTAGGTTTAGGTTTCACACCTCATGTCTCCTTTATGCTGGGCTGAAGGTCAGTGCCCACGTTATCCTGACCACACAGATTGATGAAGCTGATTCAAATGATGAAGCTGATTCAAATGATGAAGCTGATTCAAATGTGTTTAGATGTAGTTGAAGGCCTATATTGTCCAGTTAATGTCACTACTGTGTTTAAAGGCTCTTTGTGCTGCAGGTGAATTGATGGAGAGCAATTACACATTTGTCCAGAAACTAGATGGCTAAGTCTAAGTCTGTGCTATGCCGATAGGTGCTATAGTGATAGAATGAAAGGCCCAATGGAAATATTTCTATTTGAGACAATAAGTTAAATTTTTAGGTTCAGTTTTACATTGGAATAAGGCAAAACCTTAGATAGCAGAGTCTGACTAACCAGATAAGTTAACCAGCAGCTTGAAACTTACAAATAACTTTTACCTTTGTACTTGGTTGATTAAATAAGCTAAACCGGTAGGTTAGCAAAGAATAATTTTTACTTTTTCCATTCTTCTCTGTTCAAATGAGATATATTGAATAATTTTTTCTTGGCCTCTAAAAGAAATTTCAGACAGATTATTTGGCTTTTTTGGTGATTTCCATATAATAAATGTCATCTGGTCCTTTTCAGCCACAAGAACAGACCTGTGTCAATAATTAAAAACTCTTGTCAAATGTAATGTCAAAACTCAAAAAAGTTAATTTAGTCCAGAACTTCTTTCCTCTTCCTTCCCCCAAGTGTGGCTCTAACTCAACTTGGAAACGCTGGGATATGTGAGGTGGGGGTAGGGAAGAGACAGGGAATGTCTCTGATTCCCTGACTTGGCTTCATCCTCTCCTCCGCTCCTAGCTGCTGGCTTGGGTCCCTCTTTATGGGGAATGGCGTAAGAAGAAGAGGGAGAGGTAGGTAAGGAAGGAACTTCCTTAATAGGCTGGATGTAATCTGACTTAGGTGTCCTCTGGATGAGGAGAATAAAAATTGCCATATTGACTTCATGGGGCACTCTGGCAGATTTTTCAGAAATCCCTGACTGTCCTATGGCTGCTGTCCCTTGGTGCAGGCCATGCCTCTCTTCTGGTCTTCTGCTTCCTTCTCTCTGCAGCCTCTAAACTTCTGAAGGTCAGCTCCTCTTGGGGGCTTCTTTGTTCCTCTAGGTGTTCTTCCTGAGTGAGATTCTTTTCATGGCACCCTATTATGTCTGGAAAAATGTGCACCTTTGCCTACTCTATGGGGGAAGTGCTCCTCTTCACCAGTGTGGCCCTGTCTCTCTTCTCCATGCCCATTCAGAGCCACTAACCAACCATGGACTCCTAATGCAGCCTCTCCAGCCTGAGTAAGGCACCATGCCCCTTTGTCCTAAATTCCAGGACACACAGGTCAAGAGATATGAGTATTTCTCTCAGATCCACACTTCGCTTGGTCTAAAGTGAAGGAGCGGATTCTTCTTCATCTTCTCCATGAGGGAGGGCCTGATGCACAGGACCCTTCAAAGGAACTCTTAGCCAGTCTGCTCCCACCCCGTCACACAGCTTTGAGGTTGATGATGGACCACCACTGACAGGTCCCACTCCACACTGCCTCGCATGTCCTGCATAGGTGGGCTAGAACCCTGCTTTCAACGTGAGGTGGCTTGTGCCCTGTATTATGGTTCTTAACCTTTGGAACCTCATCTGAAATGAAGGTACAAGTATTCCATTTAAAAATTTTGTTCTGCATTAACCATTGAAGAGTTAAAGGAAATACAGTGAAAATGAAGCAAACATGATGAGGTGATGGTTAACCCACTGAGAGGATCCACAGAAAGCTGTAGTTCTTAGCAATAGTGTGATGGATGGAAGATAAACACTGAGTTCTAGAAGCATTGGCCAAAGGTGAGGATGCTTGAGGAACATGAAGGGAGACAGGAGAATGCAGAAAAGGGAAAGCTTTCACGTGGGTGGTTCCTTCTTCTAAGGGTGATTAAAAGCAACAGAAGAGACTAAGCAAACAAAATACCTTCTATAGCACTTGGTTCACAGTAAGTGTCAACATGTTGTATTCTATTATTAGAACCTCTAAATCCATTTGGAAATACAGTAAGAACCCAAGGTAGGAAATAGAGTGGCTGATTGACCAGTCTGTCTTTGTCTAAGGGGTGTGTGTGTATGTGTGTGTCTGCGTGCATGTGTGTTTTAATAAAAATAATCTAGGTTTAGAATGAAAGCAAATAATCTAGGTTTAGAATTATGTATCTACTTGAGATAGATACTGATGTAAACAAAACCAGGCTCACAAGGACCAACATCTAGTGAGGGGAGGAGGGAAGTGGGCAGTAAAGATGAGCAGAAATCTACAGTTAGCATGAAAAGCCACATTATACCCTACTTGATATATCCCCCACGACTGCCCTCTCCCTTTCTCTTGCTTTGCTCAGCCAAGCTAGCCTCCTAGCTGTTTCTTCAACATACCAGGATTTCTCTCATCTCAGGGCCTTTTAACCTCACTTCCTATGCCTGAAAAATTCTTCCCCCAAATATCTACATGGATCACACCCTCATCTTCTCGAAATTTTTGTTCAAATGTCACCTTCTCGATGAGGTACTCCATGACCATCATATTTTAAATTGCAGCTGCCTCCCACCCCATTTCCTGTTCCCCTTTTTTGGCTGTATTTTCTCCATAACACATTTTAACACCGTCTATAAGTTACCTGTTTGGCTCCTCTCCACACATAAAAAAAGTAAATCTGATGAGGGCAGTGTTTTTTATCTTATTTGTCTACTGATACAGCTGTATCACCTAGAACAATGATAACACATGGTTACCAATAAGTATTGATAATTCAGTAAATATTTTTTAAATGGAGAATTTTTTTAAGTATAAAAAAGAAGAGATTAACAAAGGAAGGCTTTAGGGAATGCAGAGGATATCTCCCTAAAGAAAAGCCATCTGGCTAGGGCTGATGTCTGGGTAGCCTTATGACAGGAAGCTGAAAGGTGGTGGTGGGACAGGAAGCTGAAAGGTGGTGGTGGGACAGGAAGAGAAGCTATCAAAGGCCTGCTATTCTGGGTGGTTGCGTGCTAGACATCATGAGTGAGCTCTTCCGTGGCTAGGCCCTGATGATGATGATGCATGCTGCAGCAAGGCTAACTACACTTATAAGGCTACCAGAATGGAATAAATATAGTCTTTAGTGTCAGACAGCCTTGGGTTCAGTTGTTGTCTCTGCCACCTACTGGCTCTGTAGCCTAGAGCAAGTCATTCTGATGGCAGCAGCTGCCCGACTGGACTAGCTGCTGTGGGGATGCCAGCTGTAGTGAGGGAGGCCTGGCTGGGACTGTTGAGCCCGTAGAGGCTGAGAACAGGAGGGAGCCTGCCCCCTACTGACTTGGCAAGGCAGGAGCCCTGGGCTTTCAGGGCAGCTGCAGCCACCCAGCTGTGGCTCCAGACCCTGACACCCCTGCTCTCTTGAGGGCCTGGGAACACCCCCGCTTCTGCAGGCTCAGAAGGGCCTGCTTCCACCCCCTGGACTCTTCCCACTCCCAGCACCTGCTCCAATTTCAGAGCAAAGATGAGGCTCAGCCCAGGCACTGTCACAACCTGGCCAGGTGTGTGCACACTTGGGGCAGCACTGACACACCAATCCCCCACCTTGGCCCCCTCCAGACTTTGGGCGCCAAGGAGCACAGGAAGGAGGCAGCAGGTGGAGATGGGCTGAGGGCAGCTGGGTGCAGGCCTGCAGGTGCCATTTGGTGCAAACAGCCTGGGCTATGGAAGGCATGATGACAGTGGGAGGCTGACTAGGTTCCTGGATGGAAAGGTGTAGGTCCCCAGTGAAACCCCACCTTCAGGCCAGGCATGGCCTGAAGCCTGGGAGCCAGGCTGCCAGTTCCAAGTGAAGTCCATGGATATGAGTAATAACTTCATCGATGACCACTGGGCCAATTGGATAGTGCTTTTTCCTGGCCTGCCTATGGCCATCTATGGACCAATCACCATGCACTTTCTCCCTTCTGAGCCCATGAAAAACCGGGGATTCAGCCAGACTCAGAAAGAAGTCAAGACTACCAGCTGTGGGAGGGAGCTACCCACTATGGGTCTCCTCATCCAGACAACTTGCCTGCAGAAAGGAGCTACCCACTACAGGTCTCCTCTCCACTGAGAGCTGGACACTCATTGGGACAGCCTGCATATGGAAAGGAACTACCCACTTCAGGTCTCCTGAGAGCTGTTCTGTGGCTCAGTGAAGCTCCTCTCCACCTTGCTCACCCTCCAGTTGTCAGCATACCTCGTTCTTCTTGGGGGCGAGACAAGAACTTGGGACCTACTGAATGGTGGGACTGAAAGAGTTGTAACACAAACCCAGCTGAAACACACCTCCCACCTGCTCACCACATTGCAAGCAATGAGAAGGAGAGAAGAGCTGTGGCCCTTCAGGGAGCCCAGACCTAAGGCCTCCCAGGCCAGGGCTGTAAAACCCTCTTTGGAGCTCTACAGTTCCTGGCATCTCCAAGCTTTCTGGTGCCACAGTGTTCCCCTTGTCCAGACACCAGTGCCTGCAGCAGAAACTGCTTGCCATACATCTGGTCCAGCAGCAGCATCACACAGAGTCGGCACCCATGCTGGAGCCTGGAGATTCCCACCCTGCCTCAGCAGCCAGTGTGCCTGGCTGTGTGCAGTGGCCAGACCCCACGCTCACTCGTTCACACACCCCTTGCTGCTCTGCACCTGGCTCACCCTTGGCAGGTGTGGGATCCAGGCTGGTAGCACAGACCAAGCACAGCCTGCCAAACCAAGTGGGTGGAATGAGCCCAGAAGTGTGAGCAATACTCAGGCAGAAGGTGCCACTGGCCACAGAATTTCTGGCTGGCAAAGCAAGACCTCAAGGATCCCGTGACAATTTCACCTCTGTAGTAGTTTCCTTGTCTTAAAAAAATGAGAGTAACATTATCTAGTTCATACAATTATTAGGAGAATCAAATGTGAAAGTGCATAAAAAACAACAATGAAGCTACGACTCATACTGTCCAGTTTGAGAAGAAATGTCATGATTAAGAGTCTAGTAAGCAAAAACCATCTCAAAATAAATCAAGACCTTTATATGTAATTTTTAATTCCTTGAAGGAGGAAACAATGACCAAATTTATTTCTCTCTTTTTTTTTTTTTTTTTTTTGAGACAGAGTCTCGCTCTGTTGCCCAGGCTGGAGTACAGTGGCACGATCTCAGCTCACTGCAAGCTCCGCCTCCCAGGTTCACGCCATTCTCCTGCCTCAGCCTCTCGAGTAGCTGGGACTACATGTCCAGCTAATTTTTTGTATTTTTAGTAGAGACGGGGGTTTCACCGTGTTAGCCAGGATGGTCTCAATCTCCTGACCTCATGATCCACCCGCCTCAACCTCCCAAAGTGCTGGGATTACAGGCATGAGCCACTGCGCCCGGCCTCGCTTTTTTTTTAAGTTACCAGCTTATTCTTTATGCTCCACTTATGCTACTTTGCAACTGCTCACTTGCTTCTTTTATTTGGCATATAGTAGGTCCATATTAAATTATTTTTAAAATCTATGTTGTTTGGAAAATATTTCAGTATTTCCCAAAAGTTAATCAACCATAGGTCTTCTAGCCTTCCTCTACCTTTCCTTTCTCTAGCAGTTAGGTCACTAGGAAGACTGGCAAGAGTATAGGTTAAGAGATTCAGTTCTGCTTAATGATGTCACATGGAGATGACCAGAATTAGCTCTTTTAGAACATGTTTCTGTCTGCCCACTCAATTCAGCACTGACTGGAGCTGTCTTCTAACTTAATTGAATTTCCAGTGATAGCATAAAAGGGTGGGTTTTTTTTTATTTTAGTGAGAAAATTTTTAAAGAGTTAAAATAGAAATGAGCCAGGAAGGCTTCAAACCTCCTCATGTAACCTCATGGCCATTTCTGAGCTAGTATAAACAAAACATTTTGTGTGAAGTAGTGTTTACCTCTAAATTTCATCTTATTTCCTGGAGACATGGGTCATTATAGTGTAACTCTGGATACTTGCAAGATTTGATAATAATAAACATTTACATTGAAGAAGGAATAAACAATCAGCAAACAAAGCCATCAACTCCCTATCACAGAGTTTGTCATCTTACTTGCCTACATAGTATCTCATGATTTAGAACACACTATTGAATATTGAAGAGATTTTGCTATGTTGTGAAATATAAACTTAGCCTTAAAACAAAAGGTACAAAGCAAGCTTTCTCACATCTGGAAATATATGATCAATATGAATCTTTCAAAAACATGGCTATGAGGAATGCAAATAAAATTTTTTAATTCTCTGCATGATATCAAGAGACAGTCAGACATGTTCTTATATAGTTACAGAATCTCCAGGTCAGGTTCTAAGAAGGGATTTTTTAAAACAAAACAAAACTCCTAAGAAATAAGCAGTGTTGCTGCACACTGTGCCACAGTTTGGTCACTGTTCTCCTGCTGCTTTTGTCTTGGATATGCACTTTGGCAGGTAACGCCCCACCTAGCTCTCACATCCAGTTCAACTCAGCACATGGAAAAAACACCCCTGAGGGCTTGTAAAAGCCCAGCCCTGGAATGGACAGGTGCCAGACATGGCTATTACTAATCCATGACATGTGAGACCACACACTGGGCTTTTGCATGGCTATGCCCTCTGCCTGAAAGCTCCCACCCTCCCTCCGCTGGCCACAATCTCCCACTAAATTCCTTGGGAAAGCTTTCCTGGGATTCTGACTGGGCTACCCCTGCTTTAATATGTTCTAGCATTTGAATTGGCTTATGTGATCGTCTGGTTGATGTCCATCTCCTTCATGAACTTAAACTCCAGGAGAGCAGTATTCCCAGTGCCAAGCACAGTGCCTGAAATTTAGAGACTCTCAAATGTTGGTTAAACAAACAAAAAAAATGTATGCAGGGAGTATCAAGAGAGGACTATGTGAAGGTTTTTAGAGATCAGGTCATGGAATGTGAAGGGGCCTTAACCTTGAACCACAGTGTAAAGTGGGAGAGAGAGGGGTAGATTTAATTTATCTAGGAACTACATAGTTCTCTAAAAGACTTTAACTCTGACTTCTACATAATGAGTGAGGTCCCATAGTAAAGGGGTCATTATCCCAATAACCTGTCAAGTTGGTTCAGACCCTCAAGTGAAAGTCTAAAGAAAATTCAGCTGGAGACCAATAGGAGCGAAATAACTTTGTGCTCCCTGGGGAAAGAGACTAGGAGACTAGGTATCATTGATCTTTTTGTTCCCCACACTTGGCATGTATTCAGCCCTCAATGTACTCCACAGCACTGTGTGTGAGAAGGGTAAAGCAACATAGATGTCTAAGTTGGGGCAGAGACATAGTCACACAAGGATTAAGGCAGCATGCATCCCTGAGGCATGTTTCTCCCCCAACAAGGTCCCTAAATAACATAATAGGTAGAATCAAATGAGTGAGTTCTCCTTCTCCTGCAGTAACCCTTGAGAAATGATTTATGTCACATTATTTTCTGACCTCCAGAAGAGAACATTTAATCAGTCATTTTAATATAAATGAAATTCCCAATCAAGTTATACTTCATCAGGATTCCTGTGATTCCTGCCAGAATTAAATCACATGTCCTGGTCAGTGCCAGCACCCAGTGTGGGCAACCAGGCTGGCATAGGAAAGTGTCTGTTGCTTGCAGGTAAGATATATTTTTAAAGGCTGCTGGCAGTTGCTTATTAGACTGAGATTTCTAGGTAGTGGTCATGTAGTTTACAAATAAATATTAAGTTCTTTGATGTTTATTTCCTAGATCTTTTTCATCATCCTCATTATGACAATTGTTATCATAGCACCACTGTTAAGAACAATTCCTTTGAATTTACTTACCAAGTCTCTCAGCAAATACTTTTGGAGGTTAATTCTCAGCATGAGAGAGAGAAGGTAGGGGAGGAAGGAGGAAAGAACCATCTTTATTCATTAGGAAGAGCCTATCATATCTCTCAGTATCTCACAGTGTTCAAATTACTTATACCTAATTTATTTATTTTCTTCTATATAATTTTTACCTTGTCTTGTCCCAAAAGGAATATGAAGTAACTTTAAAAATACATAACAATACAGAATTTTGAAAAGAGGTAACTGAAGGAATTGCTGCAGAGAGAACAAAAGCAAAGTCTTCTTAATGACAGAAATAAAATTATAAATCACTTGGTGATCCATAGGTTTGTAAAATGGTATAACAAGGCAGTTGTCCAGAAGCACAGCCGCTCTTAATGCAGAGACTGCCTGGGCCCTCCTCTAGAGGGCGTGGTGGAGCACAGTCCCAGGGACTTTCTCACTGCAAGTGAACAATGGCGACCCCTCCCCGCATCGTATTAGACTGTCATCTAGTGTCAGCCAATGGGAAAATCCTCAGTACTATATAAGAGCAATTCCACAGTGACTAGGAATGTAGTTCCAATACTCAGTTCAAAGCAATCTACAAAAGCATCATATATGCTTTAGGTAGTCAATCTTGTGCAATTTTTCTATTAATACAGCCTTTGATGAATGGTGGGAGGCAGTGAGCTAGAAGTTACAATTACCGCACAAGAATCTGGTACTGATGGCTCAGTGGGATGGCAGAGGAGAAGAATTGTAGGTGATTCTGCCAGTGAGAAGTTATTACCCTACCACAAAGCTAATGCCCCAGCCTACTATCACACTCTGTATTTCTGACTATTAGCCCTTTTCTAGTGCAACACTTTGGAATGTAGTTCTTGACTTGGGCCAGGCCTGGGGAAGAAAGAATTAGTTACCTTAGATCAACTTTCTTCCAGAAAGACCAAGGTAAATGGGGTAATTGTGGAACTCCTCAGGAGATTCAAGTGGCCTATAGTTAGAATATGCTTGTATTATCAACATCTGCTAAACTGCAAGTGACCTATTTTACAGATTCTAAGACATACTTTTTAGCATTTACTACATGTCAGGCACTCTTCTAAGTATTTTATATGTATGACTCTTTTAATCATGAAGCCACGGTGTGTAAGTATCTTTTTGTAGTTCATTGATAGGCTGCATTGCAAAAAAAGGTTATCATTGATGACCTCTGGATGTGAACTACTTATAAATGCATTAACCACAATGCCAACTTATTCATTTGATTTGATTGCCCATGTTCTCTATTTAAGGCATGTCCTTTCACATAACTGAGGTACCAGGAAAGCTGGCTGCCATTCACTACCAACTAAAGCTTGAGGATGAATGAACATACTGGCTATCATACTGTAATGATATTTTATAGGATACTTTACACAATTATACAGCATTCTTTTTATGAAGATCTGGGGAAAAGTTTCTTTTTAATCACAACAAAAAGAATAACTATTTCTCTAGCTATTCATAATAATACTGTTTTTATCTTATTATATTCATCAAGCACATAACCTATACTCTTTATTTCTTAGCACTTCCTACCAGAAAGGTCAGACCAAATGTGGGGCCCACATCTACTAAGAGCATAAGACATCAGGAAATGCACTTTGTCCACTATCCCTGTTTAGGTTTCAACAGGACTCAACATAATTTTTCTACTGTATTTTCCTTGTTCCTATTTTGCCTTTCTGCTTTTATCTTCTTGTATTGCACATTGATATAAACCACCTTAAATACATTTTGGACCAAAAGAGAAATGCACACAAAATGTATTTAAAATTTTTATTTCCAAGAGATATAAACCTGATTTCAATGGACTGTTGTTGGATATTCTTCTTTAATCTACCTTGCTTTATATAATAGTTCTAAAATATAGAGCTATTTTCAAATGAATATGAATCAGTCTTTCATTTTGGGGGAGTGAGGGGGAAGGAAGAGAATGTAACAATTATGGAGTATAAAGATGGAGAAATGACTTTGCAAACTAACAATTGAAGTAAATATGAAACCATATTTAGCATGTGAAGATACGGTTTTCACAGTAGTATTTGTGAAAATTCACTATAAGGTAAGTTTCATGAGAGCAGGGACCCTGTCTTCATTGTTTATTACTATATCCCCAGCGTGCAGAATAGAGTCTGGCATACAGTAGACACTGAAATAATATATTTTGAAAGTATGAATATAATACATTTAGAATTAGGAAACCGGGTTAATAGCAAAGAAATGATATTGGATATTGATTATTTAACCACAAGCATATTCCTTTTGGATTCGGTTTCATCATTTATAAAATGAGGCTGTTCACTAAGATTCTTTCCAACTCTAATATTCCAGGCTCTTGTTAAATGTAGTGGCACAGTTAAACATACGAATGTAAATACATATAATAATTTGGGAATTTTATTTTCAAAATAGGATATCCAGCTACATCTTCAGTGACCCTTGTAGATGTGAGTGCCTTGAGGCCAAACACCACTCCTCAACGTGAGTTCAGCAAAGTTTTCCTACATGATTGGAAAGAGACAACACACTCACAAGTTTTACTACTGCTTCTATAATGTTGACGTTTCAGCAAACAGCTGTATTTTTCATTTGATGTTTGTTAATATCTTGGTTTTGGGTTACTCTGCGGTGACTATATATTGATATGACAATTTCTATAATCTTAAAAAATAAGGGCTGGTGATTTATTATATTGTATCTTTTATTTGTCAAGGGATTTTAAGGTAATATTAAAGTAGTCTTCACAATACTCTCAGTGATCTGAGTTTGTGACAAGAACAGAAAAAGAACACAAATCAGTGACAAGCTGGCATTAAACATAAACTACAGAGCTTTTGCTTAATATGCCAGCTAGTGTTCCTGCATAGGGAAGCACATTTTCAATTTCAGATTTCCCCAAAGTCACATAGATTAAAAATTCTGTGCATCAAAGCAAAGTTAAATTACAGCTTTCGAAAAAAGCTGGATTCTGAAAATAATTTTGTCTTTCAGCCAGCAATTCCAGTATGACTACCCGAGGCTTCAACTATCCCTGGACCTCCAGTGGGACAGATACCAAAAAATGTTAAGTATAATCGTGGGTCCCTTGAGTCCTCTGGACTTCAGTCATTCATCCGACAGATATATTGAACGACATCTATGTGCTTTGTTTGTAATAATATTTGCAAATGTTCACAAAGCATCTATCATGTTTAAAGTATTGTTGTAGATTCTGAGACTACACCCATGGACAAAAGAGATCTAAGCTCCAAATTCTGATTAAGGGGAGACAGACAAGTGGTGATAAGTTATATGAAAAAAAGGCACAGGAGGGAGACAGTGGGAATCGAGAGTGAAGGGTTGCCATTTTAAATGGGCAGTCTTGAAAGGTCTTACTGAGGAAGGTGACATCTGAGCAATGCTATAACCAGTCAACCCGAAAGAGCAAGCTGTGAATATATTTGGGGAAAGAGCAAACTAGCTAGAAAATGCGTATCAGTAATAAAAATGAAAAGAGAGAGACCAACGTGAGTCCAGAAATTGTTTCATTCTTCCTTTTAATCTGGCCAACTAGCAGTAGAGTCTGTAAGTGCTGCTTTAGCAGATACAGACAGGATCTGAAGAAGAAATATATTGCCTCTTAGTGGTATTAGACAACGATCAGTGTGGTGGGGAAGTGGTAAGGAAGGAGGCTGGAGCAAAAGGAGAGAGGACGATGGATGCCACAGGGCCAGAACTCTGAATTTAAATGTTAGACTCTTTGCCACAAAGCGTAATGTGTATGTCCCTTTGGAAAGCATTTAAGTTTTACAGTTAAAACCTTTAAAAATATTTCATATACTCTTGCTCCCTCATTCCTGGGAACTTGTCCTTAGGCAAGAAAGAGAGAAAAAGAACATGAATAGGACTGCTCTTTGTAGCATTGTTTATTTATTTTATCTTTTTGATGGCCCTCAGGCTCACAGATTTGAATTAATCATAATATTTAATTCATGAGACACTTTCATCATTGGTCGATGCATGACCCTCTGTAATTTAACATATTTCTTTTAATAAATATGTTAATGTAATAGACACCCATGAACCCAGTACCCAAATATAAGAATTGAAAAGACAGTATTCAGAAGGGGGAGCATAGAAAGAAATCTAAAAATAAATGGAACTTAAGTGTCTATCAAAGATGGTGTGGCAGATTACTGTGAAAAGAGGAGACTGTTCAGCAAAAGGATCTAGAAATAGTGATTATTGATAAGAAAAAAAATTAAAATGTACCCCTGCCATGCACATTACACAAAAATAACTCTATATAGTTTAAGATCTTTATGTCAAAAGCAAAACATTAAAACATGGAATAAAATAAATGTGGATTTCCTCCTGCTTTGGAGTAGGGAAGGGCTTAACAAAGAGACATAACCATAAAAAATATGTAAAAATTAGAATAAAATTAAGAAACTTGGGTTCATCAAAAGACGTCTTTAAAAAGTAAAACAAAAAGCAAGCTATAATCTGGGGAACATATTTGCCACACATATAATTGAAAATGAATCAGGAATATATAATTGACTAAGGATCAAAATTTTACATCAAGAGATTACAAAGAATGCCTACAAATTAATAACAAATATGACAAAATAAACAAAAGTCACACCACAAAACATGAAACACACGTGGCTAGAAACATCTAAAGAAATGCTCAATCTCGGCCGGGTGCAGTGGCTCACGCCTGTAATCCCAGCACTTTGGGAGGCTGAGGCGGGTGGATCACGAGGTCAGGAGATCAAGACCATCCTGGCTAACAGTGAAGCCCCATCTCTACTGAAAATACAAAAAATTAGCCAGGCGTGGTGGTGGGCACCTGTAGTCCCAGCTACTCGGGAGGCTGAGGCAGGAGAATGGTGTGAACCCGGGAGGCGGAGCTCGCAGTGAGCCAAGATCGAGATTGCGCCACTGCACTCCAGCCTGGGTGACAGAGTAAGACTCCGTCTCAAAAAAAAAAAAAAAAAAAAAAGAAATGCTCAGTGTCTCTGGTAATCAGGAAATATAAATGAAGACTAGAATTAGAAAATCATTTTATATGTAATCAGTTTACAAAAATTAAGAAATCTGATATTGCCAACTATTGAATAGGATTTATCCAGCATCCTTTCAACATAATTTCTTATATGTTACTGGTGGTACCATCACTTTCCACCATCCTTTGGCATTGTATTTCAAAGCTGAATATGTGCATACCTACAATCCAACAATTCTATTCCTAGATATAAAAATCCCTCCAAAATTAGTACATCTATGCATGAGATATGCACACAAATGTTTGGAGGAAACACTGTTCATATAGCAAAAACTTTAAGTAATCTAAATGGCCATAGTCAGGAGGACAGATAAATAAATTGTAGTATACTAATAAAATATAATATTAAAGAGCAATGAAAAACAAGTGAATGGCAACCATATACAACAGCATGAATGAATCTTAATAACATTATGTTGAATTAAAAAGTAAATACCAAATAACAACATATGGCATATTTTCTAATGAAATTTTAAAGCAAGTATAAACACCATATGCCTTAGACGTAATATGTGATATAAAATTTTAAGCTTTATAAGTGAATAATAATTATAAACATTCAGGACAGCATTTGCTTTTGATGGAGATATAAGGGATGAGACAGGGAGAAAACATGTATAAATCTGTGTACATGAGTAGGAGTGAGAGGGTATTAAGAGGGTGAAAAATATGTTCAGTAATAAGAAATGGCAAATAGGATGAGATAACTCAATGAAATACTATGAAGCCAGCCAAAACAATAGCCATAACCCTGATCCGTTCTTCTTCACTGGGCAGGACCTCACAGCTGGGGCCTCCAGCCACCCCACCAGCTGTATTCTATGGACAGAACTCTGATGTCTCCTTGGGACAGAGTGCCTTGTGGGAGGGGTGGGCCATCACCTTGGTTGTTTGGATGACTCAGCCCTTCCAGCCTGTAGGCACTGGAAAGTCCAAACGGAACAGAGCAGAGGCAGTTCCACAACACAGTTCCCCAGCACAGCTGTTTTGTTAAGGAATGACCAGACTGCTTCTTTAAACAGACCCAGATCCATTCCTCCTCACTGGGAGGGTCCTCCCAGCCAGGGCCTCTGGCCAGCCCCACCCATGTTCTATGGCCAACAGAGTTCTAATTTCTTCCTGGGACAGAGTGCCCAGTGGGTGAGGCAGACATTTGCTGTTTGGGCATCTCATCCAGTTCAGGCTGTGGGCCTTGAAGAGCCCAAATCAATTGGGTGCTGAAGAGATCTCCAACATAGCACAGCTGCTCTACCAAAATGCAGCCAGACTGCATCTTTAAGCAGGTCCCTGATTCCATTCCTCTTGACTGGGTGAGATCTTCCAACTGGAATCTCCAACCACCTCCTACAGGCACGGTCAGGCCAGCAACAGGTCAGTACCCCCCTGGGACAGAGCTTTCAGAGGAATAGGCAGGTGGCCATATTTGCTGTTTCACAACCTTCACTGATGATACCTCCAGGTACTGGAAAAACCAATGTGACTAGGGTCTGGGGTAGACCCGTAGCAAACCACAGTAGCCCTACAGAAGAGTGCCCAGACTAGTCGTTCAAAGAAAACAAATAAAACACAACAGCAACAACAAAACAAAAAAACCATCCAAAGGTCAGCAAACTCAAAGATCAAAGGCAGATAAGCCCACAAAGATGAGAAAGAATTAGCACAAAAACACTGAAAACTTTAAAAAAAGAAAAAGAAAAAGAAAAAAAACAACAACCAGAATGCTCCCTTTCCTCCAAATAATCTCAACACCTGCCCAGCAATGGTTCAGATCTGGGCTAAGGCTGAGATCACTGAAATGACAGAAGTAGCCTTCAGAATATGGATAAAAATGAAGTTCACTGAGCTAAAGGAGCACATTGTAACCCAATGCAAAGAAGCTAAGAATCATGATAAAACAATGCAGGAGTTGACAGCCTAAATAGCCAGTACAGAGAGGAACATAACCAATCTGATAGAGCTGAAAAACACACTACAAAAACTTCACAATGCAATCACAAGCTTTAATAGCAGAATAGACCAAGTGGAGGCAAGAATCTCAGAGCTTGAAGATTGTCTTTCTGAAATAAGACAGGCCAACAAAAACAGAAAACAGAGTGAAAAAAATGAACAAAACATTTGAGAAACAGGGGATTATGCAATGAGACTGAATCTATGACTGATTGGGGTACCTGAAAGAGACAAGAATGGAACCAACTTGGAAAACATACCATCCAGGAGAACTTCACCAACCTAGCAATACAAGCCAACATTAATTTCAGGAAATACAGAGAACCCCAGTAAGATACTCCATGAGAAGATCATTCCCAAGACACATAATCGTCAGATTCTCCAAGGTCAAAATGAAAGAAAAAAATGGTAAGGGCAGGCAGAGAAAAAGGCCAGGTCACCTACAAAGGGGAAGCCCATCAGACTAACAGTGGACCTCTCAGCAGAAATCCCACAATCCAGAAGAGATTGGGAGCCTACATTCAACATACATAAAAAAGAATTTTCAACCCAGAATTTCATATCTGGCCAAACTAAGCTTCATACATAAGGAAGAAATAATATCCTTTTCAGACAAGCAAATGCTGAGAGAATGCATTACCACCAGATCTGCTTTAGAAGAGGTCCTGAAGGAAGCACTAAAAATGGAAAGGAAAGACCATTACCTGCCACTACAAAAAAACGCTGAAGTATACAGGCCATTGACATTATGAAGCAACCATATAAACAAGTCTGAAAAATAACCAGCTAGCATCATGATTACAGGATCAAATCCACACACAGCAATATTAATTTTAAATGTAAATGGGCTAAATGCCCCAATTAAAAGACACAGAATGGCAAGCTGGATAAAGAACCAAGACCTGTCAGTATGCTGTCTTCAAGAGACCCATCTCACATGCAAAGACACACAGAGGCTCAAAATAAAGGGATGGAGGGAAATTTGCCAAACAAATGGAAAACAGGAAAAAGCAGAGGTTGCAGTCTTAGTCTCTGACAAAGCATACTTTAAACCAACAAAGATAAAAAAAAAAGACAAAGAAGAGCATTACATAATGGTAAATGGTTCAATTCAACAAGAAGACCTAATTGTCCTAAACATATATGCACACATACAGGAGCACTCAGATTCATAAAGAAAGTTCTTAGAGACCCTCAAAGAGACTTAGACTCTCATGCAATAATAGTGGGAGACTTTAACACCCCAGTGAAAATATTAGACAGATCATCAAGGCAAAAATCAACAAAGACATTCAGGACTTGAACTCAGCTCTGGATCAAGTTGACCTGATAGATATCTACAGAACTCTTTACCCAAAAACAACAGAATATATACATTCTTCTCATCACCTCATGGCACTTCCTCTAAAATTTATCACATAATCAGAAACAAAACACTCCTCAGTAAATGCAAAAGAATGGAAATCATAACAAAGTCTCTCAGACCACAGCACAATCAAATGAGAACTCAAGATTAAGAAATTCACTCAAAACCATACAACTACATAAAAATTGAACAACCTGCTCCTGAATGACTTTCAGGTTAATAATGAAATTAAGGCAGAAATCAAGAAGTTCTTTGAAACCAAGAACAACAATACAATGTACCAGAATCTCTGGGACACAGCTAAAGCAGTGCTAAGAAGGAAATCGATAGCACTAAATGCTCACATCAAAAAGCTAGAAAAATCTCAAGTTAACAACTAACATCACAACTAAAAGAACTAGAGAACCAGGAGCAAACAAACCCCAAAGCTAGCAGAAGACAAGAAATAACCAAGATTGGAACTGAAATGAAGGAGATAGACACACAAAAAACCTTTCAATAAATCAGCCAATCTAGGAGCTGGTTTTTTAAAAAAGATTAATATGATAAATATACCACTAGCTAGACTAATAAGAAGAAAAGCGAGAAGAATCAAACACAATCAGAAATTATAAGAGGGATATTACCACTGACCCCACAGAAATACAAACAATCGTTAGAGAAAAGTATAAACACCTCTCTGCAAATAAACTAAAAAATCTAGAAGAAATAGATAAGTTCCTGGGCATATACACCCTCCAAAGACTGAACCAGGAAGAAACTGAATCCCTGAATAGACCAATAACAAGTTCTGAAATTGAGACAGTAATTAATAGCCTACTAACCAAAAAAATCCCAGGATTATATGGATTCACAACTGGATTCTACCAGAGGAACAAAGAAGAACTGGTACCATTCCTACTGAAACCATTCTAAAAAATTTAAAAGAAGGAAATGCTTCCTAACTCATTCCATGAGGCCAGCATCATCCTGATACCAAAACCTGGCAGAGATACAACAAAAAAAGAAAACTTCAGACCAATATCCTTGATGAACATCAATGCAAAAATCCTCAACAAAATACTAGCAAACCAAACTCAGCAGCACATCAAAAAGCTTATCCACCATGATCAAGTTGGCTTCATTCCCAGGATTCAAGGCTGGTTCTACATACACTAATTAATAAATGTGATTCATCACATAAACAGAACTAAAGACAGAAACCACATGATTATCTCAAAAGATGCAGAAAAGGCCTTCAGTAAAATTTAACATCTTAAAAACTCTCAATAAACTAAGGATTGAAAGAACATACCTCAAAATAATAAGAACCATATATGACAAACCCACAGCCAATATCATGCTGAATGGGCAAAATCTGGTAGCATTCCCCTTGAAAACCGGTACAGGGTTGCCCTCTCTCAGCGTTTCTATTCAACATAGTATTGGAAGTTCTGGCCAGGGCAGCCAGGCAAGAGAAAGAAATAAAGCACATTTAAATAGGAAATAAAGGAAGTTGAACTATCTTTGTTTGCAGATGACATGATTCTATATCTAGAAAATCACATTTTCTCAGCCCAAAACTTCTTAAGCTGATAAGCAACTTCAGCAAAATCTCAGGATACAAAATGAATGTGCAAAAATTGCTAGCAATCCTATACACCAACAACAGGCAAGCTGACAGCCAAATCATGAATGAATTCCCATTCACAATTACCACAAAAAAGAATAAAATACCTAGGAGTACAGCTAACAAAGGAAGTGAAGAGCCTCTTCAAGAACTACAAGCCACTGCTCAAAGAAATCAGAGATGACACAAATGCAAAAACATTCCATGCACATGGGTAGGAAGAATCAGTATCATGAAAATGCCCATACTGTCCAAAGCAATTTATAGATTCAATGCTATTTCCATTAAACTACCATTGACATTCTTCACAGAACTGGAAAAAAAAAAAACTATTTTAAAAGAGCCCAAATAGCCAAGGCAACCCAAAGCAAAAAGAACAAAGCTGGAGGCATCATGCTACCCAACTTCAAACTATACTGCAGGGCTATAGTAACCAAAACAGCATTGTACTGGTACAAGAACACACACATAGACGAATAGAACAGAATAGAGAACCCAGAAATAAGACTACACACCTACAACTATCTGATCTTTGACAAACCTGACAAAAACAAGCAATGAGAAAAGGATTCCCTATTTAATAAATTGTGCTGGGAGAAATGGCTAGCCATATGCAGAAAACTTAAACTGGACCCCTTCCTTACACCATATACAAAAATCAGTTCAAGATGGATTAAAGACTTAAACCCAAAACTATAAAAACCCTAGAAGAAAAGCTAGGCTATACCATTCAGGATATAGGACGGGCAAAGATTTCATGATGAAGATGCCAAAAGCAATTGCAACAAAAACAAAAATTGACAAATGGGACTTAATTAAACTAAGAAGCTTATGCACAGCAAAAGAAACTATCAACAGAGTAAACAGACAACCTACAGAATGGGATAAAATTTTTGCCATCTATCCATCTGAAAAAGGTATAATAGCCAGCATCTATAAATACCTTAAACTAATTTACAAGCAAAAAACAAACAACCCCATTAAAAAGTGGGCAAAGGACATGAACAGACAGTTCTCAAAAGAAGACATACATGTGGCCAGAAACATGAAAAAAAAGCTCAACATCACTGATCATTAGAGAAATGCAAATCGAAACCGCAATGAGATACCATCTCACACCAGTCAGAATGTCTATTACTAAATAGTCAAAAAACAACAGATGCTGATGAGGGTGTGGAGAAAAAGGAATGCTTTTATACTGCTGGTGGAAGTGTAAATTAGTTCAACATTGTGGAAGACATTGTGGCGATTCCTCAAAGACCTAGATGCAGAAATATCATTCGACCCAGCAATCCCATTACTGAGTGTATACCCAAAGGAATATAAATCATTCTATTATTCAAGACACATGCAAGGGTATGTTCATTGCAGCACTATTCACAATAGCAAAGACATGGAATCAACCTAAATGCCCATCAATAATAGACTGGATAAAGAAAATGTAATACATATACACCATGCAATACTATACAGTCATAAAAAGGAATGAGATCATGTCCTTTGCAGGGACATGGATGGAGTTGGAATCTGTTATTTTCAGCAAACTAATGCAGGAATAAAAAGCCAAACACCACATGTTCTCGAATTTTCTCCATGTCAGCAGTGTTATCATTTATGTGTTCACTGAGGTGGCACTTTTAGTTGCCTTCAATAACTTTTTCTTTGCATTCACAACTTGGCTAACAATTTGGCCCAAAAGGCCTAGCTTTGAGCCCATCTCAGCTTTTGACGTACCTTCCTCACTAAGCTTAATTATTTCTAGCATTTGATTTAAAGTGAGAAAAGTGCTTCTCTTCCTTTCCTTTGAATACTTAGAGGCTGTTTTAGGATTATTAATTGGCCTAATTTCAATATTGTTTTGTCTCAGATTAAAAAAAAAAGGCCCAAGGAGAGGAAGAGGGATGGGGGAACCACCAGCAAGTGAAGCAGTTAGAACACACACAACATTTATCAATTAAGTTCTCCATCTTCTACGGGTGCAGTTTGTGATGCCTCAAAATAATTTCAATGGTAACATTTAAGATCCCTGATCACAGATTACCATAGTAGATATAACAATAATATGAAAGTTTGGAATATTGCAAGAATTACCAAAATGTGGCACAAAGACATGAATTGAGCACATGCTGTTGGAAAAAAAATGGCACCTATAGACTTGCTTGACACAGGGTTGCCACAAAGCTACAATTTGTAAAAAAATAAAAATAAAAAAAACAAATGCAGTATCTGTGTCTGTGATACAGATACATGGTCAGGCACGCCTGCACCAATTTCTGGGGGCTTCATGGGTTTCCCCATGGTTAAGGCATAAGCCCCATACTTCCAAAGCTTGTGAATGTCATCTTTGTCAGCAAGAGTATGAGGGCCACATTTGTGGACCAGGTGGACATGGCAAAACTGGGCACAGAAGCTAGCATCAGTGTGTGCATCCTGGCGGCAGAGGTGGTGCTGGCCCAGTACATATTCACCTTGAAAAGGAAGATGAGATGAAAAATCAAGATCATCAAAATTCCTGTGTCCAGGCCTTGTATCTCCGGATATTGTTTGCCACCTATACTGTTGTTCAAGGACAAAATCGAAAACAGAAGAACTCAGAATGCCTTAAGGAGTATTGAATAGCTAAGAAGTTGCTCATCAAAAGTCTGCTGTGCATGTAAAAATGATGCAAGAATTCCAGAAAAGTTCAGTTTGCATCAAGAACCCTGCAAAAATAACAAATTATCTGTGGTTTTATTAAAGGAAGATGCCAAACTTTAGTAATAATGGACTTTGATATGACACTAAGTAGATTTTCCTACCAAGGGAAAAGATGCCTAATGTGTCATAATATGATTGACAACTATAAACTTGTCACAGGTGAATGTCAAAGAGGTTATTGCAACTAAAGGAAAAATATTTTATTATTGAAGTTGAACCTGTTAACTTCAAGAGAAGTACCCATTTATGGTAGAATAGTATGCTGCCCATCAATAGTGTCTTTGTTGAACAAACTTTACCAAAAAATGAAATTTAAAGAAATCGTGGAAGAATCTGATGTTATGCTCAAGGAAGGATATAATAATTTACTTGAGAAGCTCCAATAACACAGTATTCATGTTCATATTTTCAGCAGATACTGGTGCTGTAGAGAAGTTTATCAGTCAAGCTGGTGTTTATCATCCAAATGTCAAAGTAGTGTTTGTTTGTAGATTTGTGAAAATGTGTACTCAAAGGATTTAAAGGAGAATTACCTCATGCAGTTAACGAACATAATGTTGCCTTGAAGTACACAGAACATTTCAGTCAATTAAAAGACAATAGCGACAGGGCACGGTGGCTCACGCCTGTAATTCCAGCACTTTGGGAGGCTGAGTCAGGTGGATCACCTGAGGTCAGAAGTTTGAGACCAGCCTGACCAGAGTGGAGAAACCCCGTCTCTACTAAAAATACAAAATTAGCCAGGCATGGTGGCACATACCTGTAATCCCAGCTTCTTGAGAGGCTGAGATGGGAGAATCACTTGAACCCGGGAGGCAGAGGTTGCAGTGAGTGCGATTGCGCCATTGCACTCCAACCTGGGTAACAAGAGAAAAACTCTGTCTCAAAAAAAAAAAAATAGACAATAGTAACATAATTCTGCTGAGACTCCCAAGAAGACTTTAAAAGGGCATACAAATTAGCCAAATTTTCACATTCTGAAAATTAGATCCCTAAATGATAGAGTGGATAAGCATTCAGGAAAGTATTGTTTCATCAAAAGATGAATCACTAGAAGTAGCCAACTCCATCTTACAGACGATTCTATAAACAAGCATTCTTCAGGATGTTCTCTCCTGCAGGAGCAAGAGATACCAGAATTGTTCATCTCTTCATCTTGCTGAAAGGCTATTTTTTATAATATCTTTCTGGTCTTGAAAGTTTACCTTTATGTATTTAAGTGTTTTCAGACATGTGGAATCCATCAACGGGAAACTCCATTTTCTTCACCTCTCTCACCATACTTCCCACTACATGTTATTAACAGATTAAAAACAAAACAAAAAACCTCAAAGTCAAAATTAGAAAAATAACTCCCTACTTTTCCAAAGTGGCTTATGTTTTTTAATTTTTTAATTATTTTGAGGGGTCTTTTAAAATTGGGAAAGTTAGTAGAAGTCCAAAAAGAAGTTTCATGAAATTACAAAAAGAAAATGGCATAATTTTAAGTGTTGTAATGTTTGTAATTTGTAATTGTGCTGATGGTATCACCATCTCCTGAAATCGTGTTATGTTAGGCTATTTTGCTTGGGGAAAATCAATATTGACCAGAAAAGCCTGGCACTGTATACTTGCTGAAAACTATTAGTGTCCACACATCATTAACCATTACAAAATGTTCTATATTGACTCACTGATAATAAACATGAAATGGAAAATATTTTTAAATACCCATTTTCCTTAAATGGATTGTGCTTATTCAGCCATTTAGACTTTAGCGTAAATTAATTTATCCCATTCTTTCTTGCAAACATACTTTGATGAGATACAAAATAAAGACATCAAGGTCAGAAAGTAAGAAAGGAGTCACCATACCATATTGAGCAAAAAACTACAAGGTTATTCAGAACAAACTTCCTTCTTCATAATTTTACCTAAATCTAGGCCTAGTCCCAATTGTTTTTCAGTTAGTTATTGCTCTTTGGAAATCAAATTCCGGCGAATGGCATAATCATTAAAAAATTCTTAGTCCATCATCATCAATAGACCTTGATATTCTGTCTAGAACAAAAATTAATATGCAGTATCAGAGAGTTATATTGAAAATAAGAACAGCTCCCTGAACTCAGACTGAAAAAAAGCTGTGTATGAAACCACTCTTACTTCTCAGGTGACCCCAAATGGAAATAGCTATGACAAATTGTCCTGTAATCAAGCCCTAAAGAATGGACTCTTACCTCTTCTGGAGGGCCTGATCACACACCTTTGTCAGCAACTGCAGCTGCTGTTGACATCTAAGAAGAAACAAGGAAAGCGGAGGGCTGAGGGTATTGTTTGTTTTATTTTGATTTTGCTCACTTGATTTGGTCTTGGCACACAAGAAAGCTTTTAACTATGAACATCATTTATGCTAATATTTTAAATGAATGGATGTAATATATTTGTACTGATTACAACCGTGTATTACTATAGTTATTTTACTTTACATTGCACTGCAGGCCTTTTATCAAATACAGATATGTGGTGTCTGCCAAGGAGTGACTCTTTCTTGCCAGAGATGGGGCAATAAACAAAATGAGTTGTTAGATCTATTTCAAAAGCCATATGTGCTGTCTGAGTTTGCTGCCATCCACTCAAGGGGAAGGTTTGTCTCTAAATGCTTCAAAAGGACTCACTCAGCAGCTGACAAGGCCTGTGACCCCAGGGGTCTGATAATTCACTGCTGACATGTTTTGTTTTCACAGTTCAGCAAGACTGTCAGCTGACCCACAAGTACAAAGTGTTTTCGTCCCCTATGCATGTTCTAGCAAGGTCTTCAAAGTCCTATTGGCAGCTTTTCTTGACTAAACGCCGCCATAACACACCTGGACCTTCATTCTCTTCCATTTTTTTTTTGGCTCATCTATGGAATGAGCATGACACACTCTGGCTAGAGGAACCCCTTCTAGTGTTTTCTTTCCATATCTTTTCCTGCTTCTAAGTGGCCATAATTAAAACCTTCCCCATTATAGACATCTGAACCACAAGAATCCCTTCAACTCCCACTTTGTTTGAGGACATTCTTGTGTATGCTATGGAACAGTTTAATGATTTTGCTTTATGTACTCATTAATATCCTTTTTTATAATTATTAGATTAAATTAGCAGTCAAGAAGTGGTAATATAGTCTCATATAGGTTAACTCTTCTGATATCTTCTTCCTTTAGCAGTTTCACGGATACCTAGTGAAACATACAGTTCATCCCCGTCAGGTGCAGGCTCAACACTTCATGGTGAGTACTTGGGGAAGATTTAGGGACACTGAAGCTAGTGGTCAGCTTTATTTGGACACAGGTGTAAAAACAAGAACTGATAAGAAGCCAGCCTCAGATAGATATATAAAAGTACATCTTGATGATGAAAATTACAATGAATGGAAACAAAATTCTTCTCAGCCATTCAAAGAAGATAGAGACCAAGCCTTAGATTTTTATACATTTTATTTCCAAAAAAATCTACACAATAGCATTTTTTACTAGTTATATCTATGAAAAATAAATTTCAATTTTTTTATTGGAAAATAGAATAATTAGTCAACATGGATTTGTTTAGTCTAATGTTGCAAATGAATTTTTATTAACCTTATCAAACACATCGGTGTGGAGAGAAATTAGTATTTTGATCAGCTGAACCTCTCATACCAAGAGAACAGGAACAGAGCCTCACTTATCCACGACCCCCAACTCTGGCCTTTTTCTGTACCACTTACATTTCTCATGGAGATTCTTTAGCAGACATCATTTTGTTGTTTGGAAGTATGGAGCTTCTTTTTTTTTTTTTTCAACCAATAGGAAATTTTCCTATTTTCAACCAACAGGAATTTTTTTTTCAACCACTAGGAAATTTTATTCCTTTGGCAATTGTTAGACAAATCTCAGGATCCCAGCCTTGCTATAAATTGGTTCTTAATAAACTTTACACATAATATTTAAGGGATACTTAGACAATTTAAATTGAGTTCTTTCAAATAACATATGAAACCCAATCATGGTTTTATACCACTTGATCAAGTTGAGATGTCTTGTCCAGATATCCCCTTTATATCCCTAGACAATGTCTTTACCAGCACAGCCAGAGCATTTTCAGAAGTCCCCACAACTGCCAATGGATCTACGAAAACTAATCACGTCCATATCACTGGTAAGTCATTTATCCTATTTTGGGGGATTTTATGCTTTATTCACTCAATAAATATTTATCAAGTACCTGCCATTTGCCAGGCATTATGCCAGTTGTTGGATATACAGTGAACACACTGGCTTTTTGAAGATTATAATCTATTAGTGATCGATCATGTGTATAGTAAATAAATAATCACAACTAAATTTATTTTGACAAGTACTATGATAAGGTGTTGTCAGGGTCAAACAGGAAGTTCTGATTTTAATTGGAGGATAGGAGAGGACTCTGTGAGGATATACTTAAATTAATATCTGAGAAAAATAAATAAGAATTTATTCTTGTTGAATAAATTGAAAAGTAGCAAAAAGCATTTCAAGCCTATGAAAACATAGTCTGAGAAAGAAATCATTGGAACAAAGAGTACTCCTATAATTCAACTAATATAATATTGTCATGCAAAATGTAATCCCTCTTTTATATCATAAGAGAGCAAAAGATTCAATAAAGTTAGGACCCTCCTAATGAAGGTCATGATTGTAAGTTCACAGGCATAATCAACTTCAGGGGTGTTCACTTGACTAGTGAATGCCACACCTAGGTACTCAGCTCATTTTGTGTCAAAGGTCATACAGTCTTCTGATCATTGGAGCATCATCTTGCACACGTCGTGGCAATAAAGCTGCAAACTGAGGCACTACAAAGATTTTAATATATTGGTGCCTTAAAGAGCTGTCTAGTTTAGAGATGGGTCAAAAATGGAGTTCTGTTTTTCCACTTCCATTGTGAAGGCAGTGGTCTCATTTTCTACACTTGGTTGGAAAAAAAAATATAGGCATTGATGTAAGACCTCTTTAAAATATTTTGTTTGGCAAGAATGAGGGATCATGGCAGACAGGAAGCAGGACTAGATTGCAACTCTGCAGCATGCAGAGTCTTCATTGTGAATTTTAGCTCCAGATCAACTGCAAGAACAAACCAGCAATCCTGAGAAAACCCACAGACCCTCTGAAGGAAGCAGACAGCCTCTGTAGCACCCAGGAGACACCCCAAATACTCTGGGAGGTGGATAGCCTCACAAATTTTCAAGCCCATCTCGCCCTCCACCTGGAGACAGACTCGGGGCTGTTGGCGGGGTGGGGGGCATGGTGGGAGTGAGAATGGCCTGTCAGTTTGTGTAGGAGTTCGGTGAGGCCTGTGACTGCCGGCTTTCCCCCCTCTTTCCTGACAACCTGCATGATTCAGCAAAGGCAGTCATAATTCTCCTAGGTGCACAACTCCAGTGACCTGGGAATCTCACCCCCATCCCCAACAGCAGTGGCAGCAAGACCTGCCCAAGAAGAATCTGAGCTCAGACATGCCTAGCCCTGCCCCGACCTGATGGTCCTTCCCTATCCAACCTGGTAGTGAAAGACAAAGGGCATATAATCTTGGGAGTTCTAAGGCCCCGCCCACCACCAGTCCCTCTCCAGACTACTATAGCTGATGCTTTCTGGAGAGCTCTACCTCCTGGCAGGAGGCCAACCAGCACAAAAACAAAGCATTAAACCACCAAAGGTAAGGACCCTCACAGAGTCCATTGCACCCTCTGCCACCTCCACCAAAACAGGCACTGGTATCCATGGCTGAGAGACCCATAGATGGTTCATATCACAGGACTCTATGCAGACAACCTCCAGTACCAGCCTCCAGCCAGGCAGACTCACTGGGTGGCTAGACCCAGAGGAGAGACAACAATCACTGCCGTTCGGCTCACAGGAAGCCACATCCATAGGAAAAGGGGGAGCGTCTACATCAAGGGAACACCCAGTGGGACAAAATAATCTCAACAACAGCCTTCAGCCCTAGACCTTCCCTCTGACAGAGGCTGCCCAAATGAGAAGGAACCAGAAAACCAACCCTGGTAATATGACAAAACAAGGCTCTTCAACACCCCCCAAAACAATCATCCTAGTTCACCAGCAATGGATCCAAACCAAGAAGAAATCCCTGATTTACCTGAGAAAGAATTCAGGAGATTAGTTATTTAAGCTAATCAGAGAGGGACCAGAGAAAGGCGAAGCCCAATCCAAAGAAATCCAAAAAAAATGACACAAGAAGTGAAGGGAGAAATATTCATGGAAATAGATAGCTTAAAGAAAAAAAACAATCAAAAGTTCAGGAAACTTTAGACACACTTTTAGAAATGTGAAATGCTCTCAAAAGTCTCAGTGATAGAATTGAACAAATAGAAGAAAGAAATTCAGAGCTCAAAAGCAAGATCTTCAAATTAACTCTGTCCAACAAAGACAAAGAAAAAAGAATAAGAAAATATGAACAAAGCACCCAAAAGTCTGGGATTATGTTAAACAACCAAACTTATGAATAATTGGTGTACCAGAGGAAGAAAAGAATTCTAAAAGCCTGGAAAACATATTTGGGGGATAATCAAGGAAAACTTCCCCAGCCTCGTGACAGCCCTAGATGTGCAAATACAAGAAGCACAAAGAACACCTGGGAAATTCATTGCAAAAAGATCTTTGCCGAGGCACATTGTCATTAGGTTATCCAAAGTTAAGACAAAGGACAGAATCTTAAGAGCTGTGAGACAGAAGCACCAGGTAACCTATAGAGGAAAATCTATCAGATTAACAACAGATTTCTCAGCAGAAATCCTACAAGCTAGAAGAGACTGGGGACCTATCTTGAACCTCCTCAAACAAAAGAATTTTTAGCCAAGAATTTTGTGTCCAATGAAGCTAAGCATCATATATGAAGGAAAGATACAGTTGTTTTCACACAAACAAATCCTGGGAGAATTTTACCAAACCACCACTACAGGAACTGCTAAAAGGAGCTCTAAATCTTGAAACAAATCCTGGAAACACATCAAAATGAACCTGTTTATGCATAAATCACACAGGACCTATGAAACAAAAATACAAGTTAAAAAGCAAAAACAAAAATCCAAAGTACACAGATAACAAAGAGCAAGATGAAAGCAATGGTACCTCATATTTCAATACTAATACTGAATGTAAATGGCCTAAATGTTCCACTTAATAGATACAGAACAGCAGAATGGATAAGAACTTACCCATCAACTATTTGCTGCCTTCGGGAGACTCACCTAACACATAAGGACTCATATAAACTTAAAGTAAAGGGGTGGAAAAAGGCATTTCATGCCAATGGACACCAAAAGCGAGCAGGGGTAGCTATTCTCATATCAGACAAAACAAACTTTAAAGCAACAGTGGTTAAAAAAGACAAAGAGGACAGTATATAATGGTAAAAGGCCTTGTCTAACAGGAAAATATCACAATTCTAAACATACATCCACCTAATATTGGAGCTCCCAAATTTATAAAACAATTACTAATAGACCTAAGAAATGAGATAGACAGCAACAAAATAATAGTGGGGGACTTCAATACTCCACTGACAACACTAGACAGGTCATCAAAACCAAAAATCAACAAAGAAACAATGGATTTAAACTATACCTTGAAACAAATGGACTTAACAGATATATACAGAACATTTCATCCAACAACTGCCGAATACACACTCTATTCAACAGTGCATGGAACTTTCTCCAAGATAGACCATATGATAGGCCATAAAATGAGCTTCAATAAATTTAAGAAAACTGAAATTATATCAAGCACTCTCTCAGACCACAGTGAAATAAAACTGGAAATCAACTCCAGAAGGAACCTTCAAAACCACGCAAATACACGAAAATTAAATAACCTGCTCCTGAATGAGCATTGGGTCAAAAATGAAATCAAGATGGAAATTTAAAAATTCTTCGAACTGAATGACAGTAATGACACAACCTATCGAACCTCTGGGATACAGCAAAGGTGGTGCTAAGAGGAAAGTTCACAGCCCTAAACACCTACAACAAAAATCTGAAAGAGTGCAAACAGACAATCTAAGGTCACACCTCAAGGAACTAGAGAAACAAGAACAAACTGAACCGAAATCCATCAGTAGAAAGGAAATAGCCAAGATCAGAGCACAATACAATTGAAACAACAACAACAAAAATGCAAAAGATAAATGAAACAAAAACTAGTTCTTTGAAAAGGTAAATAAAATTGAAAGACCATTAGTGAGATTAACCAAGAAAAGAAGAGAGAAAATCCAAATAACCTAATTAAGAAATGAAATGGGAGATATTACAACTGACACCACAGAAATACAGAAGATCATTCAAGGCTATTGTGAACCCCTTTATGCACATAAACTAGAAAACCTAGAAGAGATGGATAAATTTCTGGAAAAATACAACCCACCCAGCTTAAATCAGGAAAAATTAGATACCCTAAACAGACCAATAAGAAGCAGCGAGATTGAAATGGCAATTTAAAAATTACCAACAAGGGCTGAGCGCAGTGGCTCAGTGGCTCATGCCTGTAATCCCAGCACTTTGGGAGGCTGAAGCCAGTGGATCATGAGGTCAAGAGTTCACGACCCGCCTGGCCAAGACAGTGAAAACCCGTCTCTACTAAAAATACAAAAATCAGCCAGGTATGGTGGCAGGCGCCTATAATCCCAGCTACTTGGGAGGCTGAGGTGGGAGATTTGCTTGAGTCTGGGTGGCAGAGGTTGCAGTGAGCAGAGATTGTGCCATTGCACTCCAGCCTGGGTGACAAACTGAGACTCCGCCTAAAAAAAAAATAAATAAATAAAAGAAAAATTACCGACAAAACAAAGTCCAGGCCCAGATGGATTAACAGCAGAATTCTACCAGACATTCAAAAAAGAATTGGTACCAATCCTATTGACACTATCCACAAGATAGAGAAAGAAGGAATCCTCCCTAATTCATTCTGTGAAGCCAGCATCACCCTAACACCAAAACCAGGAAAGGACATAACCAAAAAAGAAAACTACAGACCTATATCCTTGCTGAACATAGATGCCAAAATCCTTAAAAAAAAAAAAAAAAAAAACTAGCTAACCAAATTCAACAACATATCAAAAGGATAATCCACCTTGATCAAGTGAGTTTCATACCAGGGATGCAGGGATGGTTTAACATACACAAGCCGATAAATGTGATACACCACATAAACAGAATTAAAAACAAAAATCACATGATCATCTCAATTGATACAAAAAAAAATTCAACAAAATCCAACATCCCTTTATGATTAAAACTCAGCAAAATTGGCACACAAGGGACATACCTTAATGTAATAAAAACCATCTATGACAAACCCACAGCCAACACAATACTGAATGGGGAAAAGATGAAAGCATTCCCTCTTAGAACTAGGGCAAAACAAGAATGCCCACTCTCACCACTCCTCTTCAATGTAGTACTGGAAGTCCTAGCCAAAGCAATCAGACAAGAGAAAGAAATAAAGGGCATCTAAATCAGTAAAGAGGAAGTCAAACTGTCACTGTTTGCTGATGATGACTGTTTACCTTGAAAACCCTAAGGACTCCTCTAGAAAGCTCCTAGAACTGATAAAAGAATTCAGCAAAGTTTCCGAATACAAGATTAATGTACACAAATCAGTAGCTCATCTATACACCAACAGCAACCAAGCAGAGAATCAAATCAAGAACTCAACCCCTTTTACAATAGCTGCAAAAAAAAAAAAAAAAATGAAATACTTAGGAATATCCTAACAAAGGAGTCTAAATTCCTCTAAAAGAAAAACTACAAAACACTGCTGAGATAAATCATAGATGACACAAACAAATGGAAACACATCCCATGCTCATGGATGGGTATAATCAATATTGTGAAAATTACCATACTGCCAAAAGCAATTTAGAAATTCAATGCAATACCCATCAGAATACCACCATCATTCTTTGCAGAATTAGAAAAAACAATCCTAAAATTCATATGGAACCAAAAAAGAGCCCACATAACCAAAGCAAGACTAAGCAAAAAGAACAAATCTGGAGGCATCACATACCTGATTTCCAACTATACTATAAAGCCATAGTCATCAAAACAGCATGCTACTGGTATAAAATACGCACATAGACCAATGGAACAGAATAAGCCCAAATACTTACAGCCAACTGATCTTCAACAAAGCAAACAAAAACATAAAGTGGGGAAAGGACACCCTTTTCAATAAATGGTGCTGGGATAATTGTCTAGCCACATGTAGGAGAATTAAACTGGATCCTCATCTTATACAAAAATCAACTCAAGATGGATTAAGGATTTAAACCTAAGACCTGAAACTAAAAATTCTAAAAGATAACATTGGAAAAATTCTTCTAGACATGAGCTCAGGCAAGGATTTCATGACCAAGAACCCAAAAAGAAATGCAATAAAAACAAAGATAAATAGCAAGCACCCAAAAGCAAATGCAATAAAAACAAAGATAAAAAGCAAATGCAATAAAAACAAAGATAATTAAACTAAAGAGCTTTTCCACAGCAAAAGGAACAGTCAGCAGAGTAAACAGATGACCCAGAGAGTGAGAGAAAACCTTCACAATCTATACTTCTGACAAAGAACTACTATCCAGAATCTACAACTAACTCAAACAAATTAGTAAGAAAAAAACAAACAACCCTATCAAAAAGTGGGCTAAGGACATGAATAGACAATTCTCAAAAGAAGATATACAAATGGCTAACAAACATATGAAAAAATGCTCAACATCACTAATAATCAGGGAAATGCAAATCAAAATGACAATGCGATACCACCTTAGTCCTGTAAGAATGGCCATAATCAAAAAAAATGGTAGATGTTGGCATGGATGTGGTGAACAGAGAACGCTTCTACCCTGCTAGTGGGAATGTAAACTAGTACAGCCACTATAGAAAACAGTGTGAAGATTCCTTAAAGAACTAAAAGTAGAGCCATCATTTGATCCAGCAATCCCACTACTGGATATCTGCCCAGAGGAAAAGAAGTCATTATTCGAAAAAGATACTTGCACATGTATGTTTATAGCAGCACAATTCACAATTACAAAATCGTGGAACCAACCCAAATGCCCATCAATCAATGAGTGGATAAAGAAACCGTGGTGTATATATATATATATGCACTATGGAATACTACATAGCCATAAAAAGGAATGAATTAACACATTTGCAGTGACCTGGATGAGATTGGAGACTATTATTCTAAGTGACGTAACTCAGGAATGAAAAACCAAACATCATATGTTCTCACTGATATGTGGGAAGCTAAGCTATGAGGACGCAAAGACATAAGAATGACACAATGGACTTTGGGGACTTGGAGGGAAGAATGAGAGGGGGCGAGGGGTAAAAGACTACAAATATGATGCACTGTATACTGCTTGGGTGTTGGCTGCACCATAATCTCACAAATCACCACTAAAGAACTTACTCATATAATCAAACACTACCTGTACCCCAATAACTTATGGAAAAAAAAAATAAAATAAAACCTTTTGTTCTTTCCTTTATCTAAAACTTTGGACGTAAAATATTATATCCCACCATATTACCATGGTAGAGCTTAGTAAATTTTGACTTGTGTGAAACAGAACTTTGTCTAGTCCTGAGTTGACCAATTGTCTCTTTCATGATCATGCTACTCTAGTGGTTTGAACTATGTAAACTTTCTAGTCATCTGTATATACAATGTGTCACATAATTATGTATTATTGGACTACATGGGTCTCCAGGGAACCCTCAGTTTCTACTTTGACAGGGGTGAGAATCAGGAAGACCTCGAATCCCTGGATGTATGTTGTATGAAAGGGAACTGTCTTCAACACTTCTAACCAATGCTAACATGATAACATCACATGGTTTCAGTCCAGGCTATGTAAAAACACAGAAAAGATGTGATAACTAATATTACATCTAGTTCTTTGACCTGTATTTTTTGAGATTTTGCTATATGAAAAGCAGTGTAATAAAAACGGGGCAATGAAATAAATTTAAATCCTTGTCTTCACTCACAAGCAGTTACTACCTAGCCGAGACAAGGAAAGAAAACCAATCCAGATAGCTTTTTGCCCAAATGATCCATGTAATCGAAATACCTAAAGACCTATCTATCATGTATAAGAAATTTCACTGGAGTATCATTAGCAATAACAAAGTCTGGAAACAATTTAACCATCTAACATCGTGAGATAAATTAAATAAACTGGTATATCCATTGAACTATCCAGTCATCTAATAGAATGAGGTAAATCTCTGTGTGGTGATATGGAAAGTATTCCAAGAATGTTTTTTAAGAAAAAGAGGCCAGGTGTATGTCTTTTGGCCTCTTATTCTTAAAAAAACATGTAAAATGTAAAATGTTAAAAATGTAAAATGATTTTTACCTTCTTAGGATACTTTAAAAGCTCAAAATCACTAATCACTAGAGAAATGCAAATTAAAACCACGATAAGATACCATCTCACATAAGTTAGAATGGCTATTACTGAAAAGTAAAAAAAAAAAAAGAAGAAGAAACTGATGCAGGTGAGGATGTGGAGAAAAGGGAATGCTTATACACTGCCGGTGGGAATGTAAATTAGTTCAGCCATTGTGGAAAGCAGTTTGGCTATTGCTCAAAGAACTTAAAAAAAAAATTACTATTTGATCCAGCAATCTCATTATATTGGATATATACCCAAAGGAATATAAATTGTTCTACCATAAAGACACATGGACACGTATGTTTATCACAGCACTATTCACAAAAGCAAAGACATGGAACTAACCTAAACACCCATCCACAGTGACTGGATAAAGAAAACGTGGTACATATACACCATGGAATACTATGAAACCATAAAAAGGAATGAGATAATATTCTTTGCAGCAGCATGGATGGAACTGGAGACCATTATCCTAAGCAAACTCACACAGGAATAGAAAACCATCTACAGCATGTTCTCACTATTAAGTGGGAACTAAACATCGAGTACATATGGACACAAAGACAAGAACAACAAACACTGAGGCCTACTGAAGGTTGAGAGGAGGGTAAAGATTAAAAAAAAAAAAAAAAAAAAACCCTACCTGTCAGGCACTGTTGATTACCTGGGTGACAAAATAATCTGTACACCAAAATCCCCACAGCACATAATTTACCTATATAACAAATTTGCACATGTACCCCTGAACCTAAAATAGTGAAAAAAAAGAAAAAGAAATCATGGACAGAATAGTGTGTATAATATGCCCCCAACTGTAATAAAAAGGGTATATATTCATGGTACATATGTATGCTTATATATATCCACAGAAAATTTCTGGTAGGGTACGTAATTAACTCTTAAAAGTTATCACCTCATGTAGGTAACAAGGCTTAGACATGCCCACCTCCAGAGTATGATCACAGCCAATGTTGAAGAAAATATGTTTCACGTAGGAAAAATGGTTTAATCCTGTTTTCCAAATGCCAAAGTTTGGGATTAAAGTTCATCTTTCTTTATGCCCTTTTCAGGTATTGTGGTCAATAAGCCCAAAGATGGAATGTCCTGGCCAGTGATTGTAGCAGCTTTACTCTTTTGCTGCATGATATTGTTTGGTCTTGGAGTGAGAAAATGGTGTCAGTACCAAAAAGAAATGTGAGTATAATACTAACATATGTAGGAACAGATTAATTTTTCATTATAAAATATTCATCAGTACAATATATTATTACTCTATGAAGTTCCTCCCATATTTTAATGGGGAAATAATGCTCACAGAAGCTCAGAGAGATTATATAGCTTTCCCAGCATTACATAGTTGGGATTAAATACACAACTCCTGACTCAGTATCCCTCTCTGCATTGGCCTAGTCAGGCTGTAACATTCGTCAGATAGAGCAAGTCCGTGGACATGAAATGAGAACTGAGCCTCACCTCTCCTCAAAACTAAAACTGATTTTTCTTTTAATCTTCATTATTTTTTCATTTTCATGCATCTTTGAACTGCCTAGGCTCCACTGGTCATAGATGCTCAAGTGTGAAATTGAGTGAGAAAGGTAATTTTAAGAGATTTCCAGCTGCTTTTTTTACCAGAGTGGGCTTTTACTGCCCTTTTCTTTTTTTCCCAAGCAGAAAAGAAAGTAAGCATTGGGTTACCCCATTTTTGTCTTATTGAAATATTTTCCAAAAGCCTTCTCCAATCGGCAGTCTGAAATGGTACATAAGGTTAAGCCTCATTTTTCTGACTTGCTATTTTGAGTCAGTCTGGGTTGGGCCATAACTGGAAGGGACCCCAGTACCCAGAACTGATCTTCCACTTGTCTTACTACTACTCTAAGATAACATTAACCATTGTGCCATATACTTTCCTACCTTTTGCAGAGTATCCTTGAAGACTCTGTAACCACATACAGGGAGTGGTGAACAAAACACTAAACCAGTAGTTAGAAATTCTGGATTATTTTCCAAGGACTACAATTTGGCCACCACATGACCTTGAGAAACTCATAATTCCCCAAAAAACAAAAGTAAAACAAAAGTGCATGTTTCGTAGAATTACCTATTAATACATATGAAGTCTCCATTAAAGCATCTAAAAATTGGGTAATAGGGATTAGAGAGCTTTATATTAAATGAACAAATGAAATCTGAAAATCTGAACTGATTTTTTAAATTGTTCTGTATTCAAATGTTTGTTTTATATGGAGATGAGAATCAATCTCTCTATCCTCCTTCCCCCACTACCCACTCTTTATCTCTCCTAAGATGCTATGGATTGCCAGGGCATAGAGGTGTTTGAGTGATGAACATAAAGATGTTCACAGATATATTTCTGTTGCCTGATATCAAGATAGCTAGAGCATTTGTATAGCTAAATTCCATACTAACTTGGCTCTTTAATGCATTTCGGAAAAAGAGATTACTTGTACTAACATAAAATAGTTCTTTGTACAAAGATGACTTTAAGAATGTTCACTGATTCAAACAAAAGGGATTTAGGCATTATCTAGCCAGTACTCGGGGATTGAGAAGAGCTTTACTTCCCATCTCTACCCTATCCCCGCAGTACATAGTGAGTGTTTGGGCAAAGGCTGGGGCTAGGGTTAGCAAAGAGGCTGTATGAAAAGCTTCAGTCTTAAATCCTAGGATTTTAAGATTTAGTCTCTGGAGGAATATTTTAATCCACATAAAAGAAACATTTCTTCTATTAGGAGGCAGTTGTCATGGAGAGTATCAGTTCTGGTGAAAAGACTTGAATTGTTGGTCTGGTTCTCTTGAGCAAGTTGTTTAAAACCTCTGAGCCTCAGTTTTATCTGTAGAATGGTGATGCATTTCCTGCACACAAAGTAAATAATGTTATGATACATTTCCTGCACACAAAGTAAATAATGTTATGATAAAAATGCTCAGTTTTATCTGTAGATGGTGAGGCAATTTCTACATACAAAGTAAATAATGTTATGATAAAAATTCTTTGCAAACTACAAAATACCGTATAGATCATGAGGTTCAAATGTGACTAACAGGCACAGGGTTATGCCAGCAAAAATGCTGAAAGAACTGGGAGAGTATGTCTCTTTCTCATCAATCTGTGTTCTCCTTTAAAGAAACAACACATGTCTGTGTGTGTGTGTGCATAAGACTCCCTCAATTCTTAGCATTGAAAGACCAATATTTTGTTCCTAGAATGGAAAGACCTCCACCTTTCAAGCCACCACCACCTCCCATCAAGTACACTTGCATTCAAGAGCCCAACGAAAGTGATCTGCCTTATCATGAGATGGAGACCCTCTAGTCTCGTGAGACTTTGCCCCATGGCAGAACTCTGCTGGAATCCTATTGAGAAGGTAGACATTGTGCTTTATTAATATAGTCGCTCTTCAGCCATGCCTTTGCTGCAGCTGAAATGGAAGTCAGAAGTGAGTGACCTGTTTTCCCAGCAACTCACCCTCTTCCATCTCCAAACGCCTGAAGCTTAACCAAGAGTGAGAGGATATGTCATGTTCACACTCAATGCAATTCGTAGTGGTTTTCTTGCTTATGTAAGAAGTACATATTAGTCTGCCATCTTTAAAAAAAAATACAGTATTTTCATTTAAATTCTCTGATGGAGGGACAACAATGGTTTCAACTGTATGCCCATGCCTGATCCTCTTATTTGAACATCTATCAACATTGTAAACTCTTTGCCAAAATCCTGGGGCTTTGCTGCATTCCCTAAGATAATTACAGGAAAAAGAAAATGTAAAAGTGCTAACAAGGCTGCCAAGTAATGGAGAAGTATGGTTAGTCTTCATATTGAAATTCTGTTGCTTATTTTCATGGAAGGAAACAGAATACTTTGCACAGGAACCACATTTTCAATCCTCCTTCACTGTCTTCCTACCATGTTCAGCCCAGACTCCTGCCACATGGACCAGGATGAAGAGGGATCAAAGAGATAATTAGCCAAAAACCCAGTAGCCTAGAAGATACAAAACTCCACTGGCCTCTAAAATTATATTAGCCAAGAGTGGTTTCATTTGAGTGCCTTCGTGTGTATGTCCATCAAACTGGAACCAAACTGTTTTGTAAGTAAACAGGCAGCCTAAGCCCAACCCTACTTTCTAATTCCAGTTATTCTCTTTTTCATCTGGGGATTTACCTGTTCATTTAATCTGCCTGTTTTGATCTGTTTTGAAAAAGATAAAGAGCCTCAAATCAGACCAGCACTGATTAATTAACCCTGCTCCTACCAATCTTTTTTAAAGCAGTTGAAGCAGAATGTATAGGTGTCAGAGAAGAAACCTAGTCAGCCAGACGTGCTCTGTATTCAGCAATAGTTTGTGAATGAATAAATTACTAATCCTCCTTGTCGCTTGAAACCTTCCCACACTCCCTGCTCCAGGAGGGAAAAACAGATGTTGTTGACAGATAGAGTGATAGGCAAATTCTGTGTGGACTTTAGTCCCAAAAGGAAACTTTAGTTCACTTGCAGTATGCTTATCCTTGACTGCACATGAGAATGCCTTGTGCAGAGTTATTTGGAGATTATGTCTTTTTCTTAAACACCATGGCTGTCACACTTCAGTTCAATTAAATCAGAATGTCTGAGGAGTGAGACACAGGCATCAACACTCTCAAATGATTCACATGTTCAGCCAAAGTTGAGAACCATCGAGCCTGTGGAAGTTCTTTCTCATGGCTCAGAATCTTAGGTAGGTGCTTAACTCTTGTGGTGGCCAGCCTCCAAGATGAGCCCCAGTGTTCTTGCCTCCTACTATTCACATCTTTATGTGGTCCCCTCCAATGCTGAATACAGATGATTTGTGTAACCTGAGGCCAGGATTAAGGGGAGGCAATCAATGCACCTAGGGAAAAAATTTAAGGAGGTATTCACACTCAGGGTCATGCACTTGCACAATGTTGAGAATGAGTACCACTCTCACCATTGGTATAGCCAAAAAAGCTTGGAAGTGACCAAGGCTAGGTCACAAAATACACTGTGGCTTCTTCTTTGATCTCTCTTTGACCATACTGACACTGGGAAAAGCCCATTCCCATGCCATGAAGACACCAAGGCAGCCCTATTGAGAAATCTACCTGTCGTGGCCGGGCGCAGTGGCTCACGCCTGTAATCCCAGCACTTTGGGAGGCCGAGGTGGGTGGATCACGAGGTCAGGAGATCGAGACCATCCTGGCTAACACAGTGAAACCCCGTCTCTACTAAAAATACAAAAAATTAGCCGGGTGTGGTGTCGGGCACCTGTAGTCCCAGCTACTCAGGAGGCTGAGGCAGGAGAAGGGTGGGAACCCGGGAGGCAGAGCTTGCAGTGAGCCGAGATTGTGCCACTGCACACTCCAATCTGGGTGAAAGACCGAGACTCCGCCTCAAAAAAAAAAAAAAAAGAAAGAAAGAAAGAAAGAAAGAAATCTACCTGTCAAGGAACTAAGGTATTTTGCTAACAAGCACCAACTTGCCAGCCATGTAAGGGAGCCATCTTGGAAGCAGATCCTCCAGCCTCCAGTCAAGTCTTCAGATAATTGCAACTTCAGTTGATCTTTTGACCAAGACCTCAAGAGAGCCAGAACTACCCAGCTAAGCCTTTTACTAAATTTCTGAACTTCTAACACTATTAGATAATAAGTGCTTATTGTTTAACACCATTAATTTTGAGTATAATTTGTTACATAGCGACAGATAACTATACAGCTCAACAACTAGAAAAATAAACTGTTTACCTGCCTTAATTATTTATCTTTAGTTCCTTATTAGTTCTCAAGAAACAAATGCTAGCTTCATATGTATGGCTGTTGCTTTGCTTCATGTGTATGGCTATTTGTATTTAACAAGACTTAATCATCAGTAATTTGTATACAAAGCATTGTGGTTTTATTTTACTGTTTTACTATAATATATGAATACAAGCAGAAAGTGGGGGTAGGGAGTGGCAGAGTTAGGAGTAGAGAGTGGCAGAGTTGGAGGTATTTGGATTGTTTCACTAAAGGGAGAGACAGTTTTACAGTATAACATAAATTCATGTAATTTATCAATCTATCAGATGACAGGTGTCTCTCTGTGTTTTTATATTAGCTCTTCTTTGAAGTACACTCTTTTAGTATCGTAATTAAGTTCTGGTCAGCATTTGCACATTCATTACCACTTGAATAGAGTGAGCGGTTGCTTATCAATGGAGGGATCTTCAGTGAGTAGTTCAGAGGAACTTTTCACAAACCTGCAAATTAGAGGGGCTCCAGTTGCCTTTTAGTTAGTACTGTGAGCTTGACCACCCTTATTTGACTAAAATGACAGTTTCATTTGAGCCTTAAATTGTGTGCGAGTAAATTCATAGAGTCTGACTCAACCAGCAACTCCTGTCTCTGTTAGTGAATTTAGCTCTGTCTCATAGGAGAAATAGCAATACTAGATCCTAATCCCTAAAGTTTCATTTTCACTGAGAAAAAGCCATATGTACGCATGTTTGTCACTCATTTCCAAAGCACTATGTGTTAGTTAACATTGTTATTCATATGTTCGTTTCCTTACCCACCTGCACCAGGAGAACTCCTCAGCTTGATAACATGATTTGTTTTGCAATGGAATATCATGGGCACGACTAACCCAAGGCTTGAAAAGTACTTCTATGATTGGATTCACTCTCTTCTTTTCTACCATCACCATGAGAAGATCGTTTTCAGACTAGCCTACTGTGCCAAGAAGAAAAAGAAAGGCTCATGGAGCAGTACCACCCAAGGCTGGTCCAGTCCAGATCAGCAAAACTCACAGCCTACCTCAACAGGCACATAAGTTAGATATTATTGCATGCCACTGAAATTGTGTGGTTATTACACAACATTGTAGCAATAGTTAACCTACACATATAGATCCAGAGGTAGGCATATTTTAGCTCATACGTAAGTGCCTAATGCGTGCTTTATTTTTTTAAAAAAATAGTATTTTCTATTTTCTTTGGTTCAGCATGAGTTTTGTTTTAACAAGAAGATATGGTTGACTTCCCCAAAATAACTTTGCATTTATAGATCTTTAAAAATCATAGAACATTTGACCAGGATGGGTTTTAGAGGTCGTTTTACAAAATGAGTTAAGGGTTCTGTGAAATTGACTTGTCCAAGGTCACACAATTAGAAATGGTAAAACCAACGTGATGACCCAGCTCTCTGATTTCTAGCCTAGAGTGTAATCAATATTTAATTGCTTTGGTATCTCCTTTTACTATAGACAAGAGCTGCTGCTTTGTGTGCTTTTAGGTCAATATTTTTTTTTTACACTTGATCTTAGCCAAAAGGCTGAGAAGCGATAATTTTTTTTTTTTATGCCTTGGTAGTATATGCTAAAAATTGTAACAGAAAACAATGAAAAGTAGAAATAATTAACCCTGGGGGATGGGAAGCTCTAAAAAATGTCAAAGAAAATGAGGAAATGAAAGAGAAAAGAGATTAATCAAGATCAGAAGTTGAAAAGAAAGTTTAGAGAAACTTACTAAGGCCAGAGATAATGAAAAATGTCTCAGAGGCTCTGAACAGGGGAAGAGGTCCTTAAAGGTAGCCCTCTTGGCACCCAGACTTAGGAGGGTGGCTTTGAACCTGAAGGTTGAATCTTCAGAAATATAGAAACTTTGTTCTCTCTGAGACGAGGGCTGAAATGCATAGCCTAACCGACTGTTTGACAACAGCAATCATGGCTGTGTCAACCAGCTAAAGGATGGGTGTCCACATTAACTGGCAGAAACACATAGTGAGAATTGGGGAATCAAGGCAGTTATTTCCCAGCTCCTGCAAAGGTACCTTTTTCCTGGATTTCCTCGATTACTAACAAAGGCACCATGCTCCAGCCAGGAAGGCATGACCAGAAAGCAGGATACTATGACCTTAAGCTAGGTCAGGGCCAGGGAACACTTTTGGAATTATTGTTAAAGCTTGAATGGTGCATCTGTGATGGGTCTTGATATTTTGTGGGTGCAAATAACACAGAAATGGGAACAATAGAATCTAAATTTTTCTCCTCAGACAGCATCTTTGTATCCTCCAATCTCTGTTATCCAAATCTCCAAACTCTTTCCTGTTCTGCACACTCAGGTTCCTCATATTTGTTCAAAGACTGTGGCATTGTGATTGTGGGGAGGGACACTGGGGGGAATAATAGGGAAGAGCAACAAACCCAATATCACAACATAAAGAAGAGAGCATGGCTGGGGCCATATCCAGCTACCCTGGGTGAATGCCACAAACTTATGCACATTTGCCCTGAGTTTTGTCAGACTATACCCCATTTACTGTCCAAAGAAGATATATCACCAAATAAAATTGGCTACAGCATTATGCCATTCAACTATCACCAGAAAGTACTTAAAAGTGCCAAGAAGGTAGGCTGGAGGGGATAGAACAACAGTTACATGAATCCTGCAGAGAAGTTTGATAGTGGACCTCATATCCTGAGAGCCATGTATAAGAGTTAACCTCTCTATTCTGCATTTTCTCTCTTCAAAGCTTAAATATCTGTTAAGGCTGAATGGGAAGATGATCAGGGATCTGAGAATTCCATCTATGGTAGAATCATTTTTGCATCACTGGTTTGAGATAAGCCTAATTCCACTCTTACAGATAATTGGGTTGCATTGGATTTTTCTTATACATAAAGCCATTGCACTGATTCAAAGGGACATGCTTTGGTGACTAACGAATCTGAAATCTAACACAGTAATAAATAAGAATTGATTTTAATTTTGTGGCTAGTTACTAGAAAAGTCTGACAAGCACTTTTCCTGAATACCTCTTTTCGATGGCCAGTTTAGGGTTTGTAGATTCCACACTCATGAAATTGATATTAAAAAAATCTAAGAACTACTTATTGCCTTCAGTGAATGTAAAATTTAATGGAAGAGAGAGACATTTAAACAAATATATACAGTACAGTGTTACAGATATAAAAATTAAGTTATGCGCAAAGAAGAGAAAATAATAAAGAAAAAGGTATGATTTCAGGGACAACATATGAGAAATACTTTTAAAGGCTTCAGAAAGGAGGCTGTCAATAGAGGCAAGGCCACTGCAGTAGAGACCCTGATATCTGAGACATAGTGATGGGACTTGAAAACATTACCTAAGGGTTATACCAAGAATGTAAGAAGCATCTGATGATAGAAAATTGCTTAATATAATTTACCATATAAATAGAACTAAGGAGAAAAAGGATAGGAATAATCTCCATAGCTGTTTAAAAAATCTTTGGCAAAATTCAACACCCATTCCTACTAAAAACTCTTGAGAAAAAGGGATATTTTCTTAACTACATATATACATAATACATGCATGCAAATCTATCTACAGCTGTATTTGTAGATACATATATATGTACAGTTATAGTATATAAATACTATATATAGTTTTATATATATGTATGCATATATACATATACTATTCTCTATGGTATACATCTATATAACTGCAATTGTATGAATATATATGCAATGAAAGAAAAGATGGATAAATTTAGCTACTTAAGAATAAAAATATTCATGAGAGAGAAAGCAAAGTCAAAGGACAAATAATAAAGTAAGTGAAAATATTTACAACATATATCACAGATGATATATCAATATACATACCTTTATCAATATACTTAGTTGATAAAGAACTTACAAATATTGAGGATAAAAAACTGAAAAATCCTATGAAAAATGGGCTAAAGCCATGAACAAATAATTCACACACAAAAATTAAAATGACTCTTAATCATTTGAAAAACATGAAATGTATTCATAATAAAAGAAATCAAAATTTAAAAATGTACTGAGACATCAGTTCTTCTCCATTTAGTTGTCATGAATTTCAAGTTTGACAATATTGTCCGTTATCAAGGCTTTGGGGAAAACATGCACACTCATATACTGCTGAAGGGAGTGCAAAATGGTGCCACCAATATTGAGAAGAATATGATGATATCTAACAAAACTATATATTAATTTATTCATTGACATTGTAATTCATCTTCAGGAATTCACCATGAAACTCAGCCTCCAACAATATCAGAATATATATGCACAAGATTATTTTGGTATCATTATGTGTATTCACAAAGTATTTGAAATTATCTAAATGTCCAATATAGGAGATTGGTTGAATAAAATGTAGTAAATACACAAAATAGAGTTAATGTGCAGTTGTAAAAACAAAAAAGAAGAAAATCTCTATCAACTGATATTGAGTGATTTCCAGAGATATTATTAAGGGAAAAAGGTGAAGTACAAAGAGCATGTAATATGCTACCTTTGTGTAAGAAAGAAGGAAAAATTAAAAAAATGAAATATGTATATGCCTATTTTTACAAAAAGGAACAGGAGAGATAAATCAAGAAATGCTGGAGTTGAGGGGTAAAGAAGGAAGAGTGTGACGGATATATGGAGAAGTGTCCTTTCCTGCATATACCTTTCTGTATAATTTTGTCTGAAAAAAAGAATATTAGTATTCTATGTATTAAAATAATAAAATTAAATAAATAAGAACAGGAAAAAAAACTAAAACTGAAAGAAAACTATTTGTATTTTAAATAAATACCATAAGCACACTGAAAGAGAAAAAAGAAAGAAAAAACTAATCCAGGCCAGGTGGATTAGTTTTTAGGAAAAACTAATCCAATCCAGGCTCACACCTGTAATCCCAGCATTTTGGGAGGCCAAGGTGGGCAGATCACGAAGTCAGGAGTTTGAGACCAGCCTGGCCAACATGGTGAAACCCCATCTCTACTAAAAATACAAAAATTAGCCAGGCATGGTGGCATGTGCCTGTAGTCCCAGCTACTCAGGAGGCTGAGGCAGGAGAATCACTTGAACCCAGGAGGTGGAGGTTGTGGTGAGCTATCACACCGCTGCACTCCAGACTGGGCAACAGAGTAAGACTCCATTTCAAAAAAAAAAAAACCTAATTCAAGTAGCTAGGAACACAAAATTTGACTATATATTTGACTATATACCCCAGTCTCGTGTAGGGTGGGGTGGGGGTGGTGGGAACAAGGTGAGAATTGTAAGCAAATCTGGAAGGCTTGGTAGTAAGATTTTTTTATTGTAATGATATAAGCAAAGCAATTTTGAAACATTGTTCTGTATTATAAGATTATGTAAATGTGTTGTCATTGGGTGCCCAGGTTCTCATTGAGGGAAAAGGAACATATAAATATGGAATAAGGAAAGACTGGAAAGAACCCTGTGTAGATGCAGGGATGGAGTCAAATTGGCAGTATCAATGCAAACTCATGATTTCCACAATATGTGTGTGTATATGTGTGTGTGTGTGCATGTGTATGCGCATGAAGGTTAGTGTCCTTCCCAAGCATCACATCTGGAGACCCATGATGTCCACCTGTCCTTCACTGGTAATCTTAATCTTAATCACGTCTGTGTGTAAATGTGCTTGAGCATGCATATGTGTTTTGCATTGCAAATATGTATATGTGCCTATATTTCCCAGATGTGCCTTTTGAAAGGACTAAGAAAGAAAGATATCCCGGTAGCAAAGAGCATACCTAGCATCCGCATCTTGGTCTTCAGTATAATTTCCTGCTGAAAGGAACTGAACTCAGAGAAATGTCTAAGGACAAAGTAAACATAAGTGAACTTGAAATACTTTGTTAGGTCAGAAAATAAGAACATAGTCCAAAAACTGCTAGGGTATGTCAGAAGGATATAGGAGTCAGTTTGAAAGGACTCCCACTGTATACATCTAGGAAAATTTGACTATCGATATAGTTAAGTATATTAATGAGTTAGAAACCATTGAGAAAAGCAGGAATTCATGAGTCCTTACCAGTAGTAAGTGATAGCTATATAGATAGGTAGATAGGTAGTCAGAGAGAGACAGAGAGAGAAAGGAGGGCTCTCACCTATAGCAAAACTTCAAGAGCAGATTAAGAAATACGAAGGGAGTGCTGAAATTCAGAAGTTATCATTTTGTAATCAGCATAATAAAGATTGCATCAGGCTAGAATCATCAATGGATACTAAGTTGAGGAAATTTTGATGAAGATCAGGATATATGCATGGTCTCTAAGTGCCTCCCTGTAAAATCTTATTGGTTACACAGGAGAAACAGAAACAGTAACTATGCAGTGGAGAAATTAGACAAGAACTTGACCAAGTGATCAAAATTAATATCATCAGTGAGAGAGACAGGGATCTTGTGCTCCTCCAAATGTAATACTCTGGGAAGGATACAATATCACCTATGGAGTATTAGGGCAGAGAATAACCAAACTAAATCTAATCACAAAGTAGCATCAAATAAATACAAAATAAGATATATTCTATTGTGTCTGTGTTCATCAGGGATATTGGCCTGAAGTTCTCTTTTTTCATTGTGTCTCTGCCAGATTTTGGTATCAGTCTGATGCTGGCTTCAGAGAATGAGTTAGGGAAAAGCCCCTCCTCCTCAATTTTCTGGAATAGTTTCAGTAGGATCGTGTCAGTTCTTTGTACATCTGGTAGAATTTGGCTGTGAATCCATTGGGTCCAGGGCTTCTTTTGCTTTGTAGGTTCTTTGTTACTAATTCAATTTCAGAAGTTGATATTAGTCTATTCAAGATTTCAATTGCTTCCTGATTTAATCTTGGGAGATTGTGTGTTTCCAGAAATTTATCCATTTCCTCTAGATTTTCTAACTTCTGTGCATATAGTTGATCATAGTCCCTGAGGATCTTTTGTATTTACGTGGGATCAGTTGTAATATTGTTTCTGATTGTTCTTATTTGAATCTTCTCTTTCCTTTTCTTTGTTAATCTTGCTACCAGTCTATCAATCTCTTATTTTATTTTTTTGAAGAACCTACTTTTTGTTTCATGGATCTTTTGCATCTCAACTTCATTAAGCTCTTCTCTAATTTTAATTATTTTTTTACTTCTGTTAGCTTTGGGGTTGGTTTTCTATTCTTTTAGGTGCAGAATTAGACTGCTAATTTTTAGATGTTTCTAACTTCTTGATGAAAGCATTTAGGACTTTAAACTTTCCTCTTAACACTGCTTTGGCTGCATCCCAGAGATTTTGGTAACTTGTAAACCTATTTTCATTAGTTGCAAGGAATTTTTTTATTTTACCCAGTAGTTATTCAGGAGGAAGTTCTTTAATTTCCAAAAATATTAGCAAACCAAATCTAGCAGCACATCAAAAAGTTAACATACCATAATCAAGTAGGCTTTATTTCTGGGATGCAAGGCTGGTTTAACATATTCATACCAATAAATAGGATTCACCACATAAACAGAATTAAAAGCAAGAGACATATGATCATCTCAATAGATACAGAAAAAGCTTAAGATAAAATCCAACATTCTTTCATGAAAAAATTCCTCAACAGATTAGGCATCAAAGGAACATACATCAAAATAATAGGAGTTATACATGCCCAACCCACAGCCAACATCATACTGAATAGGCAAAAGCTCAAGCCATTCCCCTTGAGAACTGAAACAAGACAAGTATGTCCATTCTCACCACTCCTGTTATACATAGTGCTGGAAGTCCTAGCCAGAGCAATCAGGCAAGAGAAAGAAACAAAAGCCATCCCAATAGTGAAAGAAGTCAAACTATCTCTCTTCACTTATGGCATGACTCTGTATAGAAAATCCTAAAGACTCTGCCAGAAGGCTCCTACAACTCACAGACTAGTATAATTTCAGGTCACAGAATCAGTGTATAAATCAGTAGCATTTCTATGCACCAGAAACATCCAGGCTGCGAGTGAAATCAAGAACACAAACCCACTTACAATAGCTATGAAGAAAACAAAATACCTAGGAATACTGCTAACCAAGGAAGTGAACAATCTCTACAAGAAAAACTACAAAACACTGTTGAAAGAAATCAGAGATGACACAAATAAATGGAAAAACATGCCATGCTCATAGATTGGAATAATCAATATTTTTTAAATGGCCATACTAGCCAGAGAAATTTGCATATTCAATGCTATTTCTATCAAACTACCAAAGTTATTCTTCACAGAATTAGAAAAAAAAACTATTCTAACATCTATATGGAAGCAAAAACAAGGCTGAATAGCCAAAGCAATCCAAAACAAAAAGAACAAAGCTGGAGGCATCACACTACCCAACTTCAAATTATACTATAAAGCTACAGTAACCAAAGCAGCTTGGTTCTGGTACAAAAACAGACACATAAACCCGTGCAACAGAATAGAAAATTCATAAATAAGGCCATACATGTACAACTATCTGATCTTCAACAAGGCTGATACAAACAAGCAATGGGGAAAGAACTCCTAATTCAATAAATGGTGCTGGGATAACTGGCTAGCCATATGCAGAAGACCAAAGATGGACTCCTATCTTTCACCATATAAAAAAATTAACTCAAAATGGATCAAATATTTAAATGTACCTTAAACTATAAAATCCTAGAAGAAAATCTAGGAAATACTATTGATGACATTGGCCTTTCTACTAGTCCATTCTCACACCTATAGAGACATACCTGAAACTGGGTAATTTATGGAGAAAAGAGATTTAATTGACTCAGAGTTCCACAGGCTGTATGGAGGAATGGCTGGGGAAGCCTCAGGAAACTTAACAATCATGGCAGAAGGGTGAAGGGGAACCAAGCATGTCTTCACATGGCGGCAGGAGTGACAGAGTGAAGGGGAAAGTGCTACACACTTTTAAAAAACAACAAGATCTCATGAGAACTCACTCACTGTCCTGGGAACAGGAAGGGGGACACCCACTTCCATGATCCAGTCACCTCCCACCAAGCCCCTCTCCCAACACTGGAAATTACAATTCAACATGAGATTTAGATGGGGACACAGATCCAAACCATATCATTCCACTCGGGTCCTTCCCAAATATCATGTCCTTCTCACATTTCAAAATACAATCATGCCTTCCTAGCAGTCCCCAAAAGTCTTAACTCATTCCAACATTAAGTAAAAAGTCCAAGTCCAAAGTCTCATCTGAGACAAGGCGAGTCCCTTCTGCCTATGAGCCTGTAAAATAAAAAACAAGTTAGTTACTTCCAAGATACAATGAGGGTACAGATGTTGGGTAAATGCTCCCATTCTGAAAGGGAGAAATTGGCCAAAACAAAGGGGCTACAGGCCCCATGCAAGTCTGAACACCAGCAGGGCCATCATTAAATCTTAAAGCTCCAAAATAATCTCCTTTATGTCTCACATCCAGGTCACACTGATGCAAAGGGTGGGCTCCCAAGGCCTTGGAAAGCTCCGCCCCTGTGATTCTGCTGAGTACAGTCCTCTTGGCTGCTTTCACAGGCCATCATTGAGTGCCTGCAGTTTTTCTAGGTGCATGGTGAGGTTGTCAGTGGATCTACCATTCTGGGGCCTGGAGAACAGTAGCCCTCTTCTCACAGCTCCACTAGGCAGTGCCCCAGTGGGGACTATGTATGGGGGTTCCAAGCTCACATTTCCCCTTTGCCTTACCCTAGTAGAGGTTCTTCCTGAGGGCTCTGCCCCTGCAGCAGACTTCTACCTGGACATTCAGGCATTTTCGTACATTCTTTGAAATCTAGGGAGAGGTTCTCAAACCTTAACTCTTACCTTCTACGCACCTGCAGGTCCAAAACCACATGGAAGCTTCCAAGGCTTGGGCTTGCACCCTCTGAAGCAACAGCCTGAGCTGTAACTGAGCCCCTTTCAGGCACAGTTGGAGCTGGAGTGGCTGGGATGCAGGGCACCATGTACCAAGGCTGCACAGAGCAGTGGAGCCCTGGGCCTAGCCCAGGAAACCATTTTTCCCTCTTAGTCCTCCAGGCCTGTGATGAAAGGTGCTGCTGTGAAGGTCTCTGAAATGCCTTGGAGGCATTTTCCCCATTGTCTTGGCTATTAACATTCAGCTCTTCTTTACTTATGCAAACTTCTGCAGCAGCCTCGAAAGTCCCCCCAGAAAATGGATTTTTCTTTTCTACCACATGGTTGGGCTACAAATTTTCCAACCTTTTATGCTGTGCTTCCTTTTTAAATATAAGTTCTAGTTTCAGGTTATTTCTTTGTTTATGCAAATGAGCATAGGCTTTAAGAAGTCACCAATTTACTTGCTTTGCACTTAGAAATTTCTTCTCCCAGATATTCTAAATCATCTCTCTTAAGTTCAAAGTTCCATAGGTTTCTACAGCAGAGGCAAAATGCCACCAGTCTCTTTGCTAAAGCATAACAAAAGTTACCTTTACTCCAGTTCCCAATAAGTTCCACATCTCCATCTGAGACAACCACAGCCCGGGCTTCACTGTCTATATCACTATCCACATTTTGGTCCATTCAACAAGTTTCTAGGAAGTTCCAAACTTTCCCTCATCTTCCTGCCTTCTTCTGATCCCTGCAAACTGTTCCAACCTCTGCTCCTTACCCAGTTCCAATGTTGTGTCCACATTTTCAGGTATCTTTATAGCAATGCCCCACTTCTCTGGCACCAATTTTCTGTATTAGTCCATTCTCACACTGCTATAGAGACATACCTGAGACTGAGTAATTTATGGAGAAAAGAGGTTTAACTGACTCGCAATTCCACAGGCTATACAGGAAGCATGGCTTGGGAGACCTCAGAAAACTTACAAACATGGTGGAAGGGCAAAGGGGAAGTAAGCAGGAGAGAGAGAGAACAAAGGAGGAAGTCCTACACCCTTTCAAACAAAAAAGTGAGTAGTACTTTTTTGCTACACACTTTTAAACAAATCTGTGAGATCTCGTGAGAACTCACTCACTATCACAAGAGCAGCAAGGGGGAAATCTGCCCCCACGATTCAAGCACCTCCCACCAGATCTCTCTCCCAACACTGGGAATTACAATTCAACATGAGACTTGGGTGAGGACACAAAGCCAAACTGTAACAGCCTTGGCAAAGAATTTTTGGTTAAGTCCCCAAAAGCAATTGTAACAAAAACAAAAGTAGACAAGTGGGACCTAATTAAACTAAAAAGTTTCTGCACAGCAAAAGAAACAATCAACAGGCCTAATATCCAGAATTTAAAGGGAAGTTAAACAAATCAACAAGCAAAAAACAACTCCTTTTAAAAAAATGGACAAAGGATATGAACAGACATTTCTCAAAAGAAGAGATACAAGTGGCCAACAAACATGAAAAAATGTTCAACATCACTAATCATTAGAGAAACACAAACCAAAATCACAATGAGATACCATCTCCCGCCAGCCAGAATGGCCATTATTAAAAAGTCAAAAAACAGATGTTGGCAAGGTTGTGAAGAAAAGAAATGCTTATACACTTTTTTTTTTTTTTGAGATGGAGTCTCGCTCTGTTGCCCAGGCTGGAGTGCAGTAGTGCTATCTCTGCTCACTGCAAGCTCCACCTCCCGGGTTCACGCCATTCTCCTGCCTCAGCCTCCCGAGTAGCTGAGACTACAGGTGCCTGCCACCACACGCCCAGAAATTTTTTTGTATTTTTAGTAGAGATGGGGTTTCACCATGTTAGCCAGGATGCTCTCGATCTCCTGACCTCGTGATCTTCCTGCCTCAGCCTCCCAAAGTGATGGGGTTACAGGCTTGAGCCACTGCGCCCAGCCGCTTATACACTTCTGGTGGGAATGTAAGTTAGTCACCGTGGAAAGCAGTCTGCATATTTCTCAAAGAACTTAAAATAGTGCTACCATTCAACCTAGCAATCACATTATTGGGTGTATACCCAAAGGAAAATAAATTATACTACCAAAAAGACGTGCAAATGTATGCTCATCACTGTGCCCTTCACAGTATCAAAAATATAGAATCAACCCAGTTGTCCATCATTTGTGGACTGGAAAAAAAATGTGGTACATATACACTGTGGAATACTATGCAGCCATTAAAAAGAATGAAATCATGTCCTTTGCAGCAACGTGGATGTAGTTTGAGGCCAAAATCCTAAGTGAAGTAATGCAGGAACAGGAAAAAAAAATACCACGTGTTCTCACTTATAAGTGGGAGCTAAACATTTAGCACATCTGGACATAAATATGGAAACAATGGACAATGTGGACTACTAGAGCATAAAGGGAAGGAGGAAGGCATGGGTTGAAAAATAACCTATCAAGTACCATGCTCACTACCTAAATGAAAAGATCTGTACCCCAAACCTCAGCATCACACAATATCCTCATGCAACTTGTACATGTACCCCTGTATCTAAAATAAAAGTTGAAATTTTAAACAAAAAAAAGGTATATTAAAAAGGGAGAGAGGACTATATTTTTCAAAAATGTCAATATAAAGAAAGGCTCTGAAAATATTCTAGATTAAAGGAGGCTAAAGAGACATGACAATTGATTGCAATACCTAACTCTAGATTGAATCCTGTACTAGAAGGGGGGAAATGGTATGAAAGACATTTATTAGATCAACTGACAAAATTAGAATATGGACAGATGACTAGATAAAAGTATTTATAACTCCGATGTTGTTATGTAAGAGATATTTTTATTCTTAGGAAATACACAGTTATTATTTAGCAGTCAAAGGACTATGATATAAATAACTTAGCCTCAAAGGGTGTGTGTTCATGTGTGCATGCATATGTATATGCATACACTTATACATACATACATGCATGTATAGATATACATGTATATGCATACAGAGAGAGATGGAAGCAAATGACAAAGTAAAGGGGGTAAATTGTTAAAGACAGATGAATCTAGGTAGATGGAATAAGTGTGTGTGTGTGTGTGTGTGTATGTGTGTGTGTGTGTCTTTTAATATTTTTACTTTTGCAACTTTTTTTGAAGTTTGAAATTATTTCCAAGTAGAAAGTTTAAACAAAAAGTACTTGAGCAAGACCCTAATGAAAGATTCTTAATTTGACTCAAAACTACCCTATTTTTCCAAGACTGCAACCTTTTTACAGTATGACAAAATCCAAAATGCTGTTTCATTGGCGTGGGGGGCAGGATTCTTTCTCTTTTCTCTGAGCATTGTTTAATCTGAAAGTTCAGAAAGAAAATAAGCAAGGATTCATCCCATAAGTTCGCTGTTTTTATATCATTTCTGGGTCTTATTCTACCCTAGGTATTGGCTGGGATCCACCAAAACTTCAATCAATTTTCCTTTCTTAAGGAGATAATTGGAGCCCTTTGATTTTCCCAAAACTCCAGAGCAAACTTACCCTCTCACCGTTGAACCATTTCATATCAAAGAAAACTAAGCTGTGTTTCTCCAGACTCCACCCAAGAAAGAGACTTTCATTCCTCCCTCAAACCCTTGGGCAGTGTTTTTTGTTGCTACTTTAGTAGAAACTACGGAAACAATTCACAGTTTACAGCAGTCCCTGCAGCAAGATCCCACACATGTGGCAGAACTGGGCAGACTCCTGCTCATCATTCCTACTTGGGGCTCCCCACACAGGAGCGGGGGCAGGAAGAAGGCTCAGCAATCACTTCTACAGAACCTCCTCCTACAGGACTTTTACCCATCACCCCAAATTTTGGGTACACAGCTTGACCAATATTTATCTGTTCAATAAATACTATTTGAAGATACTCTCTGTCCTATCTACTGAGATGAAATTTTTCAGTTTGCTATTGTTGCTTTAATGTTTATGTCAAAACGTGCAATGTCACTCCAAGATGAGGGAATGCGGGCTGTGAACTCTGTTGGACCCAAATGTCCTCAAAGGTGGAAAGCTGCCTTCACTCCTCAACGCCCCCACTGTGAGGATGAGGCCAGACACAAAGTAGTATTCAATTCAGTATCATGTGAATGAATGACAGGAAATGGCAAATGAGTGAGTAGGAGAAAGAAAAATGCCTTGTGGAGCAGAGAATTTGCTAAAGGTGGTGATTGTCACTCAAGTATGGTGAGTTGAGCTTTTCTTTTGACTCACTTCACATCACAGACTAATATATCCACTTTAAATCAATGCTCTTCTTCTAATGATTTTTATTGTGGCATGTCAGTCAGGCCAGGAGAGGTCAGGACCTAAATCTGGGCAGCTTGGCAGATGCCTTAGGCTGAATAGGCCACTGAGTCAGTTTCAAAGTTTAGCCCAGATTGGTAGAATCAGGCAGGCATCATAGGTGCAGAGGAAAAAAAAAAAAAAAACAGATCCAAGGAATCAGTGAAGACTCAAGTAAGTAGACACAGAACACCAGTCTAGACAGGTGAGGAAACTTAGTCTAAAACTCTTGGAGCAAGAACATACCTCAGCAGGCTAAAGATTCATAGGAGTTTGAGACCTGAGTCAGAGGCCTCTTGTCTTCTACTTCCGCTGTGTAAATTTATCAGGCTTTAATATTGTACATTCGGTACCAGAAGGGCAGGATGAGCCCTACAAGTGAAACTTTCTCCTGGTCAACTCAAGAGGAGGGAGTTAAGCTTAGGTGGGAAGCTTTCAGTTCTCTACTCTCTTTAAGAAGACAGTCTAATGGCTCATAATCTTGATTCTTCACCAGCGTTTGCTCCAGGTTGCCTAAGGTTTGGGCAAATAGACACGATTTCAAGCTTTGGTTTCAAATCCACTCATAGTCTTCTACTTTACTAAAGTTGGCTGGGCCATGAGTGAACAGAGCTTTCTTGTGCCTAATTGACTTCTTGGTGCCTTTCTTCCAGACCTAGGACTTTCACATTAGGGGTCACAAGTACCCAAGAATAAAGGCGTGTGCCAGAAGGGACTCGAAGCCACAGGGCAAACATAGCACATCCAGAACATCAATTTTGTGTGTGTGTGTGCATGTGTGTGTGTGTGTGTGTGTGTGTAACAAAATGTGAATGAATTTACAAAAACAAACTATGCAGCTTGAAAGAAATGCCAGGATCAGTGCTTGTCATGCCTGCCATACAGGGCTCTGGGGAGTGTGCATTTACTCAGCTCCATGATTAGGGCACATCTGGCGCAAGAGTTGAGAAGCTTTGCCCTCGGGCCGCACACACATCAATCCTACCACTGTGGAGGTGATGGAGGCACTAAAGGTGACTTCCATCCAGGTCATTCATACTTCCCACTCTGAGAGCTTCATTATGTGTTTTCTGAGCCTGACTGCCTGAGCTAAGCGCATCTCATCCTGGGTGCTGAATGCGGGGAGAGGGTAGAGAAAATGTTGAGGTGTCCCCAGAGGCTAGAACGTGTTACCAGTATAAAGGTACTCCCCAAAACACAATCTCAAGCTTTTGCTGGTAGCCGCATGATTTTAGAATATTAGGTCCATATTTATATAGAAGTTCTGTTAGTCCTGACTACAGCAAATGAAGTCAAAGATTTGAGTGAGGAAAGGCAATAAAAAGGAAAGAAAGGCTTAACTGTGCAAAGACAAAAGGTATCTACAGCAGGCAGAGGGAAAAAAACAGAGTACGGTTGGAAAGACCGTGAAGTTCATGTAGTTCAATCAAGCATCAGGTGCTTCAATTCTATCATGTTACTGTCTTATTGGTGCCAAGCTTGGCTTGGATGCTTCCAGTTATAGGAACTCACTTCCTCCTCTACTTCATTATATTGCTTAACTCTGACTTCTAGAATATTCTCCTTTATACTTGGCTGAAACAGAAAGATGTGTGGCATAAATTTTACTTTCTCTTTTACTTCTGCTACTCAAAGGAAGAGGAAGCTGTGGGTGCAGATGTTGCTAAGATAAACTACAACTTCCTCCATGACCAGTTTCTGCAGTTTAGGAAGGGCAGAGCCGAACACGTGGCTGAGTTGGGGAGTTAACTACAGACACTTAAGCAAATCAGAATCCTTTGAAACAAAATCATCAAAAGGCCAAGAAGCATTTGTAAGGGCTTTTGACTACAACCTAACATTCAGAGAGAGTTGATCAGAGAGAGTTGTTGACACACTAAAAATTCATTACTTTTATTTACATTGAAATTTATTTACTTTATTAAAAAATATTTTTGTTGGTTAAGGTTGTTTGTACAAACTTGTAATTTTAATATTTAAAAAGTTGGAAGAGAATGATAGTATTAGGTAATGATAATATTACTAATTTTTACTCCATGGATGAGGTGGCATCATGCTATTTCCAATTGATAGTGGCACACCAAATTGCAGAGTCATGTTGTTAAAAGAATGCATTCCCAAGATTAGATTGGTTAAATGATAACAAATGCACAGAGGTCATTCTGTTGTGACTGAAGCTCAAGTGATTACTAATATACACATTAATACAACAATGTCTCCTAATAATAGACATAATTCTCATAATTCTAGGAACCTTGGGGTGGGGTGGTAGCCTGGAGAAAAAAAAGGTAAGGGTGGCAGATCAATTGATTTTCCTGCTAGTTGAGATCAACTATCTCTGCCAAAATAGTCTTCCTAATTGCATAAAGTTATATGCAGCATGGATAAGAATTGTTTACTCTGCCATTCTACCTATTTTAACTTTTTTAAAAAAGAGAAATTTGTTGACATTTCAAAGCCTTCATCTCAAACATTTGAGACATAAAAATCCCCTGAGGAGAACATTTTAAAGACAGGAGGAAAAGATGCCATCCCAGAGGATCTGATGCAGGAGGGTTGGCATTTGATCCAGAAATCTGTATATTGCATAAACTCCTAGTTGTTCCTGTTGCTGGTGATCTACAGGCATTTTTAGGAATAATTGACACTGACAGAACATATTATACGTGCCTGAAGTGAGCCTTGAATACCAGTAGGTGGCTCTATAACATCTTAAATCAGGGACTTTGCAGCTAACTAGCTAACTAGCTAGAAAATAAAGGCTCTGAGGCCTTTATTTCCTCTCAATTTCCTTTTCAGGGATTGGAGGTGGCGTGGGAAGGAGAAATGGAAGAGGATGCTGGAATGTGGTGTGGTAGACGGAAATGAATGGATATTAAAATGAATTTTACAATCATCACTTGTTAGTAGCCCTCTCAAAAGTATTATAGTAACGACTACTGTTAAAATAAATTTTCTGAAAGCATACCAGAAAAACTTAATGTCCAATAAACTTAAAAGGCACAGAGGCTCTTAGGGTCTTCCTGAACACCGAGCTTTCAAATCTGGGAGAAACAATCTTATGGCCAGCCATTGCTGCCGTTCACTCTTGTCTCATTACAGAATCCCAGTTGTGGGCCATAAATACCAAGTGGGCATGAGGTAATATAGACAACGCTACTTCCTGCTTAAGCTTCTGCTTCTCTTCTACCCAGTTTCTCAAGGACACACCACCTGGGTATAATCCGGGAATGGTCACAGTAAAAATGACAAAACAATAGTCTCCGGCTCTACCCCAATCAACAAAATAAGTGGATCCCAATCCTCTGTCTTCTGATGTCAGGAATGTGTAAGTTGTATCATGTGTCCACAAGTGTGTGCCTCAGTGTCTCCATTTCCTTGGAGGCTCCTGAAGATCCCCAGTTGCTGCAATGATGTCACTCTTCCTGGAGGTAATTGCTGCTGCTGTCGTCACGTCCCAGCACCACCTATGTTGGTTGCATCTCCTCATTCTCCTCTGATCTTTATCATACAGTCTTTTGGCTTGAGCTGGGTGAAGAAGCTTGGGAAAGACTAGGAATAAACTCTACTGGTACGAGGCCATAAAGCAAAGCAGCTTCTACTCCATCCCATCTTTCGTTTACTTGGCTCCTCATTTCAGTCCCTTATTCCTTTTCCACCCACCCCACTCCCCAGCCAGAAAAAAAAATTGTGTGTGACGCATCACTGTGGAACTCAAAGCATCATATAACCTCACTCTCCTCTAGGCAATATCCCTCGACCAAATACATGTCTGTGTTCTGATTCTGCTTGGGATCTGTTCCTTCCCCATCTCGTACACAGCCTGGGAAGTAAGACAGTCCTGGGGCTTAGCTCTGGGGACCAGGGACAGCCCTGGTCCCAATATCATTAAATCAATATGCTTCCTCCAAGGCTTTTTGGGTGCCTTTAATCAAGTAAAATCAGGCCGGCTTATCCTGCCAACTACACATGTCTGAATGGCAAGCTGTTTTGGTGCTTTATCTGGGATCCTCACTACTCATTTATCACGTGAATCCAAACAAAACAAACCACTTGTAAAGTACAGACATTTCAAACAATAAGGGAGTCTCCAAATAGAGGGCTAAGGTTATAGTCAGCTCTTCAGGAATCCAGCAGGGTCTTTACCATTACATGTCACCTATTATAATTGTAACCCTGGTAAAGGCTGTTTATGAACAAAGCATATTTAAAAGCTTGGAAAATTTTTTATGTTGACAAGAGAGGCCATTGCAGGTTTTTAAGAAGGGAAGCAAAATTATTCACATTGTATTTTGGAAGATAATTATGGCAGAATGGGGAATGGTTGGGGAAATAAGAGTGTAATGGAGAAAAAATTTCCAGAAAACAGATTTGCATATGTATTTACATAAATGAGATTGGTTGTATTCAATAAAAATGGATGAACAGTTTGATGAGGTGTTCAAGTAATAAAAAATAATTTAAGAGATAGGGAAGCTACCCACTCAGGCCTTAGAATTACAGGTCCTTGGGGTGAGAAGTAGGGTTGGGGAGCCAAGCATCAGAGTTCAGAAAAGCCATGCGTTTAGTCTCTATGTGCCAGGTCTTTGCATTTTTTCTCACTTTTCATTGCTTAGATAATTGGTTTCAGTGATTTATCTGAAAGACTCTTTATTTCCCCCAAGCATTCTCCATTCTGCCATAGTTACCTTCCTAAAGTACAATGTGAATCATTTTACTCCCTTTCTCAACCTGCAATGGCCATTTTTGTCAATAGAAAAAAAAAGTGCAACTCTTTAATATGCTTTGGTCATAAACAGCCTTTACCAGGTTTACAATAACAGGTAACATGTAACGGGAAGCCCTTGACACAATGATCAAGAGACCTGGAGTCCCAGCTATGCAACTCACTAGCTATGAGATCTTGGACAGCGTTATGTAGCCACTAAGCCTCAGTATCCTTCGTAAAATGGGAACAGTAATAGTATCTAATTCATTGGGCTCATGTGAAGATTAAATGAGAGTAAATGAACAATATTTCCCACTTCTCTCATATGTCACTCTAGTATATTTTCTGTTTCTCACATCTATCATTCATTGTCATAGCTTTGCCTCTGTTTTCCCAGCTACATATGCCTCTCCCATGCCAAAACCCTCTACCCATTTTCCATGAGCAAAACTTTTCTCAGAATTCAAGACCTGGTTTGAATACCACATCCTCTAACAGTGCATCCCTTGGCTCTTCCTCCATCAAAATATATACCACTTTATTATCCTCCATTTGTGTGTCTCTGTTATCCCTTCATTCTCCCTGATATTACAATTTGTAATTCACATATTTGACTCTCTTTTCTACTGGATTATATATTATCTAAGGATCATTTCACTTTTCTTCCACTCCTAGGACCTACCAGAATGATTTACACACAAAAAAAGCACTCCATTTGGTTGTAATTATTCATTAAAATTTACTTACTTCAAAATTTCAGTCCTACTGTAATTGAGTTCTCTTCTTTTGATGTCATAATATAGAATGTATAAAAATATTAATTATCCAAACTCTAAATATTAATTTTTACTTAAAAAATATTTTTCCCTATACTCCTATAGCATAGTAGAAAAATCCCACTGGTAATTTGGTTTCCATGGCATAATATGATAAAAAAATTATCTTAGAGATTGTTAGCTGAGTTTTTTAAAGCAAATTTATTTTATGATTATAAAAGTTATGTAAAAACATTATAAAATCTTGGAAAAGAGAGAAAAAGCACTGCATATCCTTCCTGTCAAACATGAGCCTGTTCTCTAAGGCCTTGCTACTCAAAGTGTAGTCTGGGCCAGGAGTATCTGCATCGGTTAGAAGCTTGTTGAATATTTGGACTATCAGGTCCATCTCAAATCGATTTAATCAGAATATGATTGATTCACATAGTAATATCTGAAAAGCACTGCTCTAATACACTCCTTGGAGCTCAGCAGAGCATGACATTTACCAAGAGCTTTTACCAAGCATCTCCCTCCTTCCAATAAATACTGAGCACCTGCTATATGCCAAGTACTGTACTAGACACTGTGTTTTCATTTGCTAGATTTTTCCCAAGACTGACTCAGGAATATATGGAAAAAGTGTTGCCCTCCTTTTGAATTGTTTTCTTGGGCAAATCAAGTAACTGTAAATTTAAAAGCTGCCAATTTCAGAGAGGTGCAAATCATCTCATTCTGAAGCGGTTCTACTTCCTTTCAAGTTCTCACTTAGTAATGTTGCTAAGTCTCTAAAATTCGAGGCTTTTTTGCTTTTTTTTTTTTGAGATGGAGTCTCACTCTGTCACCAAGCTGGAGTGCAGTGGCGGATCTCAGCTCACTGCAACCTCCACCCCCCCGGGTTCAAGCGATTCTCCTGCCTCAGCCCCCTGAGTAGCTGGGGCTACAGGCATGCGCCACCACACCCAGCTAATTTTTGTATTTTTAGTAGTGACTGGGTTTCACCATGTTTGCCAGGATGGTCTTGATCTCTTGACCTCATGAGCCACCCTTCTCGGCCTCCCAAAGTGCTGGGATTACAGACGTGAGCCACTGCGCCCGGCCAAATTTGATGCTTTCTAAATATCACTCATTCCTTTCATTAACAGCTGAAAAATAAGGGGAAAAAAGGCACTAAAATTAACATTTCACAGTAGAGACTAAAGAATACATTGTGTTTGCCTTATACCGCTTCCATAAAGTTTTATGTTTGGAAATTTTAGGCTGAAGGGAAGCCCTGAAAGCTGTCACTTCAAAAATAAATCTTAAGATATTACTTCACAGAGTGATTTTTCTAGGAGAGTGGGTGGGAGGAAAAAGCCCAAAAACATTGTTGATGCAAACAGGTAGGTGACATATTACCAGTATCCTGTGGTGTACTTAAAAACAAAGAATACCACGTTTATACTGAAGTACCCTTTAAGCATTAGGAGATATATGAAAAATATTACACACTTTCTTAACATACAAGTGATAATCCTCCAGACCAAACCAAACAAACAAAACAGAAAAACTGGGACTATTATGCAGCAAAGCAGGTTTAAATGAATGTTAATAGCCCGGAAAAGGAAAGATTGATAAGATGTCAAAAGGGGCCACTATGCAGCAGGAGTTATGTGTATGGAAAGGTGGTTTGGGGCTCAGGAGATAAGGTGGGACCACTTGGTGATTAAATGTTAGCTGACCTACAGATCTATATATGAGCCTTCAGTCTTGTCTTAGCTCAGGCAACCGCCTTCTTTTCCCATAAGGTCCTCCTGAGTTACTGAGGACCTGCCTGACCTGGAGCCCTCCAGGACCCTACCGTCAAGCCCTCCGGGTCCCTACCATCAAGTCCAGGGTGCTTTTCTTGATTTGTCTGTTTGCCACGGTGTCCCTGTGATTTTCATGTGCAAAGTCCTCAGATCAGCAGAGACCTCGTAGTTTTCCGTCACGGAGAAGTACCATTTGAAGGAGTAGGGAACACTGCAGAAAGCAGGGAAATGGGTTTGTATGCCTACGAGCCTCCATACCAGCGAGACTCTTTCCAAAATGGGATTTCCAATAGTGCCACCACATTCAGCTCCCTGAATGCTTCCAGACTTTCATTTCATCTACTAAAGGGAATTATGTCAGCAACCCTCCCTGCCTGGTGGGGGTACTGTGAAGAGCAAATGCGACAAGGAATTTGAAAGAAAGTTCCAAACAACAGGACAATACAAATATGTTTCATTATTGCCTCCTCTGTAAAATGGGAATAACTGCACAGAACTGCTGCGTAGTGATGTGTAGGTGAAGCTTAATTATGTAATGCCTGAAACACAAACCATCCTAGATGTTGTCATCCAAATATGAGATACAGCACCTTTCTGGGCCTCTTACCTATCATATTTCTGCTGCTTCTGTGGTTTACGGAAATTGTAACCCTTTCCGTGTGTGTATGGGTGTGTGTGCGCGCGTGTCTGAAAGAAGGAAGGAAACATTTGCGGTCGCGGTGAACATCTGAGTGCTGACTGTGTGAGGGGCTGGAGGAAAGAGGACCTATCTGAGGACCGACTGGCCGAAGCCTGCAAGTTTCCACAAATGCAGTCGCTGCCGCGGCGTCTGTCTACACACACACTGGAAGGCAAGAGTAACGGAGGGAGGAGACTGGGGAGCAGGGAAGGCGTGGGAGCGGGACAGAGGGGCAGCCCGGAGAGCGCTGGCCAATCGGAGCGCGCTCCGCCAGCGGCCAATCACGGGCCGCCTAGCCCGGCAAATCTGCCCGGCAGTGCGGGGAGGGGCTGCTGGGAGTCCTGGTGCCGCCGGCTGCACTTCTGTGTGTCTTTCAGGAAGCCACAGGGCAGGGGGCGTCTGTGCAGAGAAGCGGGGGAGTGAGTAGCAGGCAGGCCCAGCTTGTGTACCAGCCCAGTGACATATATAGAAACATAAATCAGGCTAGAGCCGGCGCGCCCGGGCGCGCACCTGTGTATGGACCCGCAGGCATGTCTGTACACTGGGTGGGCACCTGTCTTGTGAGTGGCTCCGGGTGTGGCTGCTCCTCGGACTTTCAGTTTATGTAAGATTTATCTCTAGGGGCCTACCTTCCCCCATCTCCAGAGGGGAACATAAGAAGTTTAACGGAGCTGGGACTGAGCAGATTAAGGGAGTGGAGCGGAGGCTGGGCCGGAGAGAGTGGGGACTGTGAGTGCTAGTGGGTAAGGATCCATCTGTTTGCCCCGTCCCCCAGCCAGAAAGGCATTTTGGAAAGACTGGCGTGGCAAGCGTCGCCCTGAAACGTCCACAGAGCCCAAGAAGTGATGATCACTGAGTGAGTGGCACTGGGCTGAGACTGGCCAGTTTGTTAACAACAGGGATGCTAGCAGTTAGGAAGGCCAGGAGGAAACTCAGGATGGGGACCATCTGCTCCCCCAACCCCAGCGGGACAAAGACATCATCGGAGGTCTGCAATGCCGACTGGATGGCCTCGCTCCCCCCTCACCTCCACAACCTCCCCCTTTCCAATCTGGCAATCCCAGGTATTCGTCTATTCCTACTTGTTCCCACTGTGTTTAATTCTGCCATTTTAGTGTTGTTAAGGGGTTGGGTTGCTTTTCTATTGTGCTGAGAAATTAATTGTCAGTGACCCCTTTTTATTTCCAAACCAAAAACTTAACACTGAAGCAGCTGCTTTAAAGAGATTGCAGTACACTGCATCATTGGTAAAAGGACTCATGAAAACAGAAGCATCATTGTTTTTGTTTGTGGTTTTTTTGTTTGTTTGCTTATATTTGCTAGCCCCATTCTAAGAATATTATCCTTCTTACTGTTGTTATGTGTATGTGAGGGGTGCATTGTCTTAAATCACTTGAAGGGGAAATCAAAGGCAATGAATTAAAAGTCACAAACAATTTAGATCTGGATCAAAATTAAAACTGAAAAATATTTTATTTCTCATTTATCTGACCTTGTGTATTGGAAAAACAAAAAATGGATAAGCATTAGAGAATAGGTTCAGAATCAGAACTGAGTATAAAGACACATTTTTGTTGTTAGAAAGCCAGAATAGAGAATGCAGACTCTCATCACAGGCAGTCATTAGGTGTGATGAGGTGGTGGTGTTTGAAGCTTTGTCTCTGTATGTATGTATGTATACAGGTGTCTGCCTGACTGATTTAGAACTGCAGCCTTGAAAAGCACTTCTGCTCCAGCCACTGTCTCTCTGCCGGAGGTTTTATGCCTTGACATCATTTGTTAAATGTGTCCTCTTCCTTCCACTCAGAAGGTGGTTATTGTATGTTTTCTAGGGAAGGATATTTGGACAGTGAGTTTGGCCTGGTGTGCTGAGCAAGTCCTACAAATGCTGATACTGGAAAGCACTCCTAGAAGCAGGGGATGGACTACTGCCAATCCTTTATTTCACTCGGAGACATAACAATTGAAGTTCACCCACAGACTACCAGACAAACTCCCAAGTATTCCCTAGACCCGTCTGGGTTTTTTTTGAGGTTTGGTTGGTTTTTTTGTTTGTTTGTTTTTGGTGGCTGAAAATCTGACCTCATGCAACTCCCGATCTTTGCTTTCTGTGCATGAGGAAGAGCAGTGGTGGCTTCAAATGCAGGCTTTTCTTTACTCACCTCCTCTTTTGGGTGTCTTCCAGGTTCATTGTCCTCATAGGCCCCGGTTGCTTTTGAGCAAGGAGAGGGCTGCGAAATTTCTTTATAGTTATGATCATGTATGTTTTATCAGCCATTGACTACAGTTCCTTGGGAAATGCCAGATGGGCATGCTTCAGAACAGGTCTTTTCCATGTTTAATTGGCGCCTGTGGAGTTGTCACTGAAATGATGCATGGGCCACTTTTAACATTAGTCATTTGCCTTCAGGCCTTCTGATGGAATTATTTTGTTGAGTGATATGGCAGGTAATATGTGTTTGCAAACAGAATGGCATCTTTGGCAGGCCCTAAATGGCTGTGTCATTCAGGGCATGTCCGGGGTAGGTTGGGGCTTCCTCCTTCCTTGTTGTACTTTGGCTCAAACCATAACTCCAGCTCTGCTAGTGGGTTGGCTGTGTACTCTGACCCCGTGACTGTAGAAAGGAGTTGGGCATTTGTTCTGTGATTCATAGGATATCTCACAGTTACTAGAATTGCTTGGGTAGCGGGGGAGCAAATAGCTGGTGCCAGCTGCTGAAACTGGAAATTATATGATTAGCCACCATGGAGATCATGCAAATTCTTTCACCCTGCTTTGTGAAGTCCGGTCCTGCTAAGGAAAAAGAAAAAAAAATGGCTTTGACTCCTCAAAAGATGCTGAATTCACTGCTGTGAAATGCCGTTTCCTCAGCAGTGGAAGGGACATTAAGTGTATGTATGTGTAGGCTCAAGACAGGAAAATTACATATTAAATGCTAGCCATTCATGGACTTCCCCCTACTAGTTCTCTTTCCTCTACCTCGAGCTTCATACTCACCAGATAAAAGCTGGCAGTCAAGTCAAGTTCTACCAGTCCTTGCTGAGAAATCCTGAAATATAGTAGGCATTTGGGAAATGGGGGCCATCATCGTCCCCCTACTTCCTCTTTAACTCTTCCCTCTTATCATCATCTGCATCATAATAGCTATTATGTACTGAGCACTACCACGCAGGACCCATTGGCATACATTACCTCCAGTCCTCATAACTCCATGAAGTAGGTATTAACATCCTCACTTTAGAGTTAAGAAAATTATTGTTCAAAGAGGTTAAGTAATTTTCTCAAGATCACACAAATAGTAAGTGGTAGATGTTGTATTTAAGCCCCTGTGTAGCTGCAAAACCCAGGCACTGTCTCTGTGCCCCTGAGGGGTCTTGGGAATGGCAGAGCAGTGGGTGTAATCTTTAACTGAAAGCCAGTTTCTTCAAACCATCCTCTGCAGTGAATGAAAGAATTTTTAAAAGCGAGTGGTATTTGTCTAAGTGATTATCACTTTGAATATATAGGTAGATACATACATATTATATGCACATCTACTTGTGTACATATATACATATTATATATACATATGCCTGTTTAGAATTGAAACCCAGTAAGTTTTAAATTCAATTTTAGTGCTTCAACCTGTTGTGTGCGTGTGCGCCCACATGCCCAATCTGGGGCATCTATAGGACTGGGTCAGATCTATCAGGATGGTGATGAGGCGGGGGACATGGGAAAGGGCAGGGAAAAGGCAAGCCTTCTGGCAACAATAGCAGAAATGAGATGGAGTAAACTATGCCACGTTTGAGTGCACCTGCTGCCTTTGCCTAAGTCATGATGGGAGAGAACATGTGTGAATGTGCACCTCTCAACAGAGCCTTGATGTATTATTTTACTTCCGCAACTGTTAAGAACACCTGTTAATGGCCAATACCACCAAACATATTAAAATATCTTGGAGAAGAACCTCAAAATAATTCTCATTGCTAACTGTATAGAATCATTTGATGTCTGAAGGATAAAGGATCCAGACATCATAAAAGACAGATTTTTAAATTAAAGCTTTAAACTCTACAAACATTTTCACTGATTTTTGTAAAAGCGTGATATTCTCTATGGACAAATGGACTAATGGGAAGACATTTCTCTATAATGTATACTGCTTTTCAATGAATTTTTTCTCTGTACATTTTAATGCTATTTCATTTTTTAAAAAACACTTTCTTTCTTATTAAAGGTAAACTACTTGGTTTACATTTTGGGAAGGTTCTATTGGGAAGAGCCTTGAACTTAAGGGTTGCAAAATTTATTGTTGATTCTTGCTGTGTAATATTGAAGAAGTATCTAAATTTCTCAGGACATAGTTTCTTTATTTGTAATTAAGATATTGGGTTAAATGAAATATAGAGTCCTTTCCAGATTAAAAATTATGTGATTAATTTGAGGGTTTTTTTGTTTTATTTTGTTGCCTGTTCTTTGTCCAATGTAGAAAGAGCTGGAAGGAATGATTGGGTCATTTTAGGTCTAAAACCTATTTCTTTTATGCCTCTTCAAAACAAGAAAATGTATAAACAAGGTTTCACAATTGCCAGAATGAAGCAGGGTCTATTCACTTTAGCCTCTTAAAAGGGGCTGTAGATTACTTGATGCAAATGAACTTTTACCTCATCAGACCCTAAGTGCACTTTAAGAAACCTCCATAGAGATATTTATATATATATGTATATATGTACCTTCATCATACATAGTTTTTTTAAAAAGAACTAATTAGAAGAAATTTTAAACCAGAGATATAAATAACATGTTACAGAAGCACACAGAATGGAAAGATTAATTCCACCTTCTGAGAATTAGGAACTACCTTGTTGAGAAAATAGCATTTGATCTAGAATTTGAGGAATGGTCAAGACTTCAAGGGATATGGGTTGAGGGTCAGGGTTGGGAAGGAGGCTTTCCAGGTGGAATGGGGGTATATGGGAGTAAATGGGGGTATATGAGGGAAATGGCTAGAGGACACCCTCTCTGGTCCTTCCATATCCCTGTTATAGTTTCTTTGTCATAGTACTTCTCAACACATTGTTATTTTTAAGTGTATGTTTTTCCCATGTGAACAACTTGCTGACAGAAAATATCTTATTTTCCTTTATAATCCTGAATCGCAGTAGAAGGTAGCAGCGCAGTCATTGGTGACAGTTGAGTGAATAATTGAAAGTATGGAAAGTATGGAGTAAGAATGCTGGAAACATGGTTTGCAGCCACCGCTGTTTTTCATTGTGATCAGAGCTGAATAGATTGGTTAAGTTCAGCTTTCACAAATAGCCACATGAAACCATATGAAGATTTTCCAATCCATTTCTTGTTATTGCGCATAATATTCCTGAAGATTAGGCTTGATAAGGCTCATCACTAAGCCCCATTAGAAATGAAAATTTTGAGGCTGAAAATGGTCGCAAGAGTCAGAAGCAGAGCCCTGGTGTAACTTCTTTTCTAGGAGCGATTCTTTCACCCAACATCCCTCCTGCCTTCCTTCTTCCCTTGTCAAATTAGAGCTTTTCATCTTTGCTGCCTGGCTGCTGCCTCTCCCAGATCTCATTTCTTGTTCCCCTCTTTGCTTTCTTTCCACTGACCTGACCTGGTCTCCAGCCTTCCCTTGGCAGGGTCAACCCTTCCACAGGTGCTCCTCACTGCTCTCCGATTCCCAGATGATTCTCTGATCTCATGTTGCTAGTGATCATTCCCTTCTTTTCTTTTCTACCTTTCTGGAATCCTATCCTTTTCCTAGCAGTTTTGCCCTTGAGTACTTAGTGATTTCTATAGGTCTTCCTCCTGTGGCCGCACACCCTCTTCCCACATGTGTGACATGGAGACAAAATCCCTTAGTGGAGCAGGATGGAGTCATTACTCAGATCTTGCTTCTGAAAGTTGAACCAGATTTGGCATATCTAAAAGAGATTTGGAGACCACCCCAAAAGAGCACAAAATAAATTGTGTAACAAGAAGTTTTGGTTGGCTCTACTTTGAGGATAGTATGAACCGTGAGTTGGCCCTAAAACAAATCCATTTTCCTACAGGATTTGAGGTTGTGGGAAACCAAGGACCAAGCTGAATCTACCAAGGCTGACTCAATCATGAAAAAAAAAAAATCATACAAGACCAAAACTGTCTCTTAAATGAGAATCGTTTATTTTTGTTTTGTTTTGCTTTTTCCCCCCTCTGAGTGGCCATGGTGAAAAATAAAAAGACACTATGACTGTGGTGGTTCCATTAGTAGGTTTCACTCTTAAAAAGGCTCATCATTTCTCTAGCCATCTCTCCTCCTGCAAATCACAAAAGCCACAAGGAATTCCAGAATCACACATGTCTATAAACAGAAAGATCATGGATTGGTTAAGAGTATGAATACAACAGCCAGACTATCTGGATTTAAATACTGATTCTGCCCTTTACAAGCAGTGTGACTTTGGACAAATTACTTAACCTCTCTGTGCCTCAGTGTCCTTCTCTGTAACACAGGTAATCTATGCACCACCTCATTTCTTAGTGTGAGAAATAAATTAATTCATATAGTATGCTTTCTCTCACAAAATAAGCACTAGATAATAATAACAATTGTTATTATGTATCGTTTAAAAAAATCAATCAGAACATTCATTTATTGAAAGCCTGTGACTGGAATGGACAACAAAAAAGAGGTGTAAAATGCAGTTTATACCCTCAGGTAATTTACAATCTAGTTAAGGAGCTGGCTGTCCAATTAAACTGTCTGACTCAGTGTTCTCTGTCTGATCAGATTAGGGTAACTTGAATGGTTACCCTGCAAAGGAGGCTTTAAAGTTAAGGGAAGGATACACGGAGGGTTCCCCAGGATGTGAGTGCCAAGGGTGTCTTAGATGCAATAGCAGGTGGCTGATCAAGACAGCCAGAAAACTTTCTTTAGTTATTTACTCTGTCCTGTCCCATCCCAAATTCAGCTGTCAGACTGTCATCCCCAGACATCCAGAGCCTTTGGGAAAAACTCAGCCCTCTGTGACAGAAACATGTTGTTAACTTTTTTCTGCTCTCCTCATTTCCTCATCACTTGCCCTCCTAACCCAGTCATTTTGTTCCTAGCTTGAGAGTGGGAATGTTACAAAATGCTTTCCTTTGAACAAATCCTTATACATGTTTTATAATTCCTTCCCCCAGCTATTGGAATAATAGCTTCATCATCCCTCCAAACACATACATCACCCACACATGCAACACACATGTACCACCCATTACCCAACACACACACATGCACAGATACTTAGCTATGACGTTAGCCTCAGCCTCAACCTCCACTGGGCCCAAATCTCAATACATGCTATCGTTCACCAGTCATAAATATCTTGCAAAACATGCCCACTGACACTTCAGACCCTTGGAGCGTGCTGCTTGCACCTGCAAGCTCCTCTCTCAGACATGTTTCTGAAGCTGAGGAGTTGGTTTCTAACACGTGATCTGACCTGACCTCCACTAGATTGACAGGTAGCTTCTACATCTCTCTCCTGCCTCTAGGAACTTAGGAGCACAGGCACACTAAAGGTAATGCTAGTGAAATGCTTTAGCGTCCTGCAACTTTGCCTCTGGGAAAATCGCAAACCACTTTGCCAATGCTGACTAACCCCAATTAGAGTTTCAAACCAGGCCTGCAGAGGAGGGATTATTTGTAGACATTGTAATAGGTGGGTGTGTTTGTGTGTGTGAAAAGAATTTGAACACGCATCAAGAACCAAATTTAGGTGGAGGAGATCTGTGACTAAATTTATTTTAGTATTTACATTTGTGGTTAAGCAGGAGTCCTTCCACCTTCTCTCTTGTGTTGTTAAACATCGATAGGAATTTGGATTATATTACTGAACACTGTGAGGATCAAAGTACATGGGAGGATTATATTAGTAGGTCTCTAGGTAACTTCAAGATAAAAGAGGTTGAGCTACAGAGGTCTGCATTGCTCTAAGGGGCATGCCTAGGTTATATCATCTATGAAACACAGGCAGTCTTTTGTGGATTCATTGTCTACTAAGCAGCTAAAATTTTCTAAGAAAATAACAGGTTGGGGTTTTTTTGTTAATGTCCAATTACTCTAGAACTGTCAGCTGTAAAGTATCATTTCTTCTTAGAGAATGTTCTATCAGTATTTTTATTTCTGTTCAGACCTGACAAGATGAAAATAAAGGAAAAAATAGTACACATTTGTGCGCTATAATGCAAATGTCTTGGAGTGTGGCAGCAGTCTGCAGTAGTGGTGGAACTGAAAAATGCCTAGGCCCTGTCAGACTGAGATGAATATTTTATGAACATGTATGATTTGGAGGCTTATATATTAAAAGCATTATTTTTAAAGTGCGATTGAAACCAGATACACCCCTCCCCAAATAAATGCCAAACAGAGAAAGGTGAAAACAGCATTCTCGTCCACCCTCCCCAGGTTCGAGTTTAGGTGATCATCTTGGCAGTAGGTGTCCATATGGATCCTCACAAGAATTATATGAGTGTGTTGTGTTAATTTGGCTAAAAATATATGTCAGTGCCTGCATACTCCTTTTGCTTCTTTTGGTTCTCATTGCCTATATTTAAAAAATTGTATTCATTTAAAGGAAAATCATTAACTCAAAAGGTAGTTACTGAATGCCCTTTTGTGCCAGGTACTGTGTTAAATCGGGTGATCACACAGATTTGTAAGATTCTTCTCCCTGCTCTTCCTGAAAATATGACCTTAGAAGAAAGCCAAAATTCAAACATGATAGAGAAAATGTATGGGGTCTGTAACACTCAGAAAACCAATACCCAATTCTGTTACTGGTAGTAGGAGGAAAGCTTGGTAGGTTGGACTTCCAAGAGCACCCTTGGGTTGAAATATAAATAGCGAGGAGTAGAAAGCCAGGTGTCCCAGTGCAGAGGGACTGAGGAGTCAGACAGCATGGTGACCTTGGGCAAAGCCAAGCAGTCTGGTGTGGTTAGAGCATGGATTTTATTTAAAGAAAGGAATAGATATGAGGCTGGGAAAGTAGGCAAGAACTAGATCCTAATGAGCCTTATATGCCCATGCCAAGATTGAATGTCATCCTGATGGCAAAAAGCAGCCATTCAAAGAGTTGGTCAGAAATGGGTGGAAAGTCCCCCCTAAAATAACTGCATAAGAGTGAAGTGAAACAAAATGACCCAGCAGTTATTAGGGATACTGTGGGTTAAGATGAGAAACTCATTGTTTCTTTCACTCTATTCAACACTTGTATAATTTTCTTCCATATACTGGGCTCTCTCCTAGGCACTGGTGATTCAGTGATGATCAATACAGACATGGTCCTTGCCTTCAAAGAGCTGACAGTATAGTTGGAGAAATGGTCATTTAATCAAGCAGTTATAACACAATATGCTATGTAGGATGACTGGAGAGGTATACATTACTGCTGGAAGAAGCATATAGCAAGGGCATCTTAACAAGACTAGGGAGGCCTCCTGGAGGAAGTTATGAATAAACTAAACCCTGAAAAATACACAGAAATTAGCCCTCAGGATAAGATAAACACAGTAAGGATGCTCTAGAGGGGGAAATAAAATGAGTGAGGATCTTGAAGAGAGGGAATGGCCCATTTAACAAACCAAAATAGTTTATTATGGTTGTACTGTGGGTTGCAAGGAGGAGACTGTCAGGGAGTAAAGTGGCAACATACTTAGAGGTCTTAAAAGCCATGTTAGGCCAGGCGTGGTGGCTCACACCTGTAATCTCAGCAATTTGGGAGGCCAAGGCAGGCAGATCACAAGGTCAAGAGATCGAGACCAGCCTGGCCAACATGGTGAAACTCCATCTCTACTAAAAATACAAAAATTAGCTGGGCATGGTGGCATGCACCTGTAGTCCCAGCTACTCGGGAGGCTGAGACAGGAGAATCGCTTGAACCCGGGAGGCAGAGGTTGCGATCAGCTGAGATTGCGCCATTGCACTCCAGACTGCTGACAGAGTGAGACTCCATCTAAAAAAAAAAAAAAAAAAAGGCATGTTAAAGTTATCTTACTTCAGGCTGGGCACAGTGGCTCATGCCTGTAATACCAGCACTTTGGAAAGCCGAGGCTGGTGGATCACTTGAGGTCAGGAGTTTGAGACTAGCCTGGCCAACATGGTGAAACCCCATCTCTACTAAAAATACAAAAATTAGCCAGGCATGATGGCGGGCGTCTGTAATTCCAGCTACCTGGGAGACTGAGGCAGGAGAATCACTTGAACCCAGGAGGCGGAGGTTGCAGAGAGCCAAGATCATGCCATTGCACTCCAGCCTGGGCGACGGAACAAAACTCCGTCTTAAAAAAAAAAAAAATAAAGTTAACTAACTTTACCTGAACAGGAGTGGGAAGGGTTTTAAGCATGCAAATCACAAGGTCAACTTTGTGTTTTGGAAAGATCACTCTCGCTGCAGCACAAAGTATATGGGAACTAGGAAGTACTGTAACCAAGGGGACCAATTAGGTTGCTGATGAGGTCATCCAAGTGGGAGGCGACCCTGACCTGAGGAGGAGGGTGACAGCATGGACAAAGAAAAAGAGAAAGTGTCAGCAGGACTTGGCGATTAATTGGAGGGCAAAAGAGAAGGTGCAAGGGGCTTGGGTGAGAGAGAGGAAGTTAGTGGCATTCTCAGGAATATGGATAAAGGAGAAGGAGCAGGTTTAGAGGTGGTGGAAGGAAGCAGGTGCTTAGTCTGGGGCATGCTGAATTTGAGGCACCTGTGGGACATTTCAGAATTGGGAGAAGGGCACAGGTGGGACACAGTGGAGATGGTTTCAGAGCTAAATCTTCACATTTCACAATTTGCCCAACCTTCTACCCTCACTAACAGCTACTATTATACCCAATATCAGAAGGTTTGAATTTAAAGCTGATATCCTCATTTTTAGATTATATATTTTAGATTTGAACTAAGATTGTACTTCTTTTAGAAAATTTGTTGAGTTTCTATTCCCAGAGAGGTGCCCCCTCGTGTTTGTCTAGTGTCCAGTGTTCTGCCTGTTCTGTATGAATTCTCTCTTGGCAGCTTGGGCATGAGTGTAGGAGTTAGCTTGTGTATACTATACCATAAACCAGCTGTGAAATGGAAACTTTTAGTTGCTTTACCACAATCATCAAACACAATTTATTTCATACATGGACATCTCAGGTTGCACCAATAAGCTCAAAAAAAGCAGGAGAATTTTGCAGTAGAATAGTTCATTTAATGTAACTTTTTCTCCTACCCTAAACATTTTTCTGGTTTCTCCTAAAGCTTATTATTGTTCTTTCTTGTGTGTTTACAAAAAGGTTGTTAAAGCAAATATGGTTATCTCAGAGCTGAGAAGGCTTATTAGGGAATGACCAAGTGCCCCTTGCAAGGGGTTACTTCACAAAAAGATGACGCCATCTATTTGGAGACAGAGCAGGATGCATGGTAGCAGAATAGAAGAATTTCTTGTGAATGAATTATCTACAATGTCTTATTTGGAGTAGGGATTGGGGTCTATTGGACAATTGAAGAAGAGAAAATCTTTCAAAAGAGAATAGGTACCCCTCCCCATGTAGAGGGCTTTAAAATGCTCCCCCCCACAACATGGGATTGAAAACCCTTTGGCTCACATAAATCATAGGACGTTGGAGCTAACTTGGGGAATACCTTGGGCAATGGAATGCTCATTGTGCCTTGCAGAGCAGGGAAGGTTTAGTACCCTTTGGTGCCCCTCTGGCAATCTCAGGTTAAGGGGTGGAGACTGTTGGGGAGAAACTTCAACTAGAGAAGGTCTGGTTGCATTTGTTTCACACATAGATACTTCATTTGAAAGTATTGCAGGTCTAAAAAGTACCCTGTAAACCTCTGATTTACTTCAATTATCTCTGAGCTCATCCAGCCAGTTGCAGGGGTAGACCAAGACAGACTTTTTTAATTCCCAGGCTGTCTCTCCTCAGACAGTGAGATGCACCTTGGCTTCTCAGCACATAAAAAAGAATAAGTTGATCAACATCCTCTGCTTCCAAGTATTCTGCCTTAAACAGTTGCTTTATTGCATTGTGGATAATTATGAATTTAATAGGCGACTGATTAAAAATTAAATTGGCCACATGGCTCTCTCAGATTTTGCAGGCAGTTTGATGGTTATTATGAATACTCTCCCACATGCCTCATGGAAAATAAACAAGTATGATATGTTGAGAAGAAGGTTTAAAGATGTTATCTTTGGTTCAAGGGACTACTAAGTGGCCCCCCTCATTTGGAATCTTGGACTCATAATGACTAATTTTGTATACCCTAAAGATGCCTCAGCCTTTCTCTACTTGTTAATATGGAGTCAAGCTCTCTACAAATGTCACATTTTTCTCAAGGACCTAATTCAGAAGTGTGAGATTGGTGGCTCCAAAGAGATATTATTAGAATATAATTTATGCAGGCATAAGTTTCAGGAAATCTCTCTGGTACCTTTCTTTTAAAATTGTTCAATGTAATATTTTATTATAGTTGTTCCTTTAGTCATCCTTTCTGGTTAATTTTGTCCTCTATGTTTTCTGACACATTCCTCTTCATTGACCCAGATAACTCAAGCTAGAAGGAAAAAGGGAGATAAATGGAGCTAGGAAACAGGTGCAAGGGGTGAAAAGGAGCAGAGAGTGAACCCTACCTGTTTAATGTTGGATGGACCTAATAGAAGTTTGGGAAAGGATCAGGAGAGCTAGGCCCACCAGCCTTAGGCAACTCTCTGAGCATCTGTTCATTCAAGTATCCATGCTTGTATTTATTCTGTATAGATGCATTTAGTACCTACTAAATTCCAGAAACTAAGTTTGGAGATATAAGCGTGAAGTTGACATGTTCCTGCCCTGAAAGACTTTCACTTAGGTGGCAGAGACAGATGTGGAGATAAATAGCACTCAATGTCCTAAGTTCATCAAATATCAACTCACTGCCATGGAATCACAGAGGAAAGAACAGGTCAGTCTCCTTGGTAGAGTCAGGTGAGCTCACAGACTAATGATGGTAATTAAAATGGAAAGGCAAGGGACAATAAGATTGTCCCCAAGGACTCTAAGGGTTTTTTGTTTTCTTAGACAAGTCTTTTGCTATATTCAATGACCATAAGGCGTACTTATATGTATTAATAACTTTGTAAATTAATATATTCTTAACTCAGGCCTCAAATATTTTAACATGCACAATTATTATCTGTTCATATTAAATTTATTGTAATATTTGTATGGATTAAATACCTGAATTGGAATACAAGATGTTTTTCTATGAAAGCCACCCTAAATATCTTCAGCATTTAAGAACACATGTTCATCCCTCTGTTCTTTATGGGTTTTTTCTTTCTTTCTTTCTTTTTTTTTTTTTTGTTTTTGAGACAGGGTCTTGCTCTGTCACCCAAGCTGGAGTACAGTGACGTGACCATGGCTCACTGAAGCCTCAACCTCCTGGCTCAAGCAGTTCTCCATCTCAGCCTCCTGAGTAGATGAGACTACAGGCACATGCCATCACACCTGGCTAATTTTTTTTTATTTCTAGTAGAGACCAGGTCAGGCTGGTCTCAAACTCCTGAGCTCAAGCGATCCTCTCGCAATGACCTCCCAAAGTGCTGGGATTACAGGCATGAGCCACTGTGCCCAGCCTTTTCTTATATCTTTTATCCTCTCTCTCTCTTTGTTATTCACACAGGAGGCACTATGAAAAAGTAGTTCAGAGTGTAGGTTGTAGGCTCAAATCCTCGCTACTATTAATAGTTGCATGACCTTGAGTAAAAAGCTTTACCCCTCTGTCTGTTAGTTTTTTCATCTGTAAAATTGAGATAATTATAATATCCACTTCAAAAGTGCAAAGTTAGAGGAAGCACAAGCTGGAAGACTACCCTCACTCTGATACCAGTTACAGGTTTGGGAGCCTTAAGATCACCCTTGTTTGATAATTTGCTAGGAAGATTGACAGAACTCATTGAAAGTTGTTATACTCATAGTTACTGTTTATTGCTCTGAAAGGCTGCAGATCAAAATCAGCTAAAGGAAGAGGTGCATGGAGCAAAGTTCAGGAAATTTCCAAATGTGGAGCTTCCAGTTGTCCTCTTCTCATGGACAGTGTTTCTTTCCTCGTATTGATGTGTGACAGTACCACACAAAGTACTGCTAACCAGGGAAGCTCACCTGAGCTTTGGTGTCCAGAATCTTTTCTGGTCTTCCACATGGCTGACCTAAGTATCCAGCCCCTTCAGAGGTTAAGCCCATGCCCATGTGACTCAAATCCTGCACCATAAATCACATCCTTATACTTTCCCTTATGGCCCAAAGCTGTCAGGTAAATAAAGATACTTTGATCAGGCAGGACATTCCAAGGGCTTAAGCAATTGCCTCCCAAGGACTGAGGGCGAAGACCATACCTCCTTTTGGGTAAGGTTTAAATTTTTTACTACACAACAAAGTTACTTAAGAATTAAATTTCAAAAAAGAATTAAACAAGATAAATGTAAATTAACTTTAAAAAAAGAATTAAATAAGATATACAATGTGATTAGAATATTGCCAATTATGAAATAAATATGTTATATATATATATAGCTATTATTATTAAACATCCTTTTGATTACTTAATATATACCTAATATCATAATAGCTACTGTGGGACATTTTTAAAAAATGAACAAGATGTAGTTTGTAGATCTTATAAGAGATATACAAGAGTTCAAATAAAGTAAATAAAAGCAGAATGAGGTGAGTACCATGATAAAGAAACAAGCAAACTGTGCTGGGACCTGGAAAGGGAAAGGTTACTTCTAGTTGGTGGGTAAGGAACTGCTTCAGGAGAAGAGCACCTGTGAGCTGGACTGTGAGAGACAGGGAGGATTTCAACATGAAGAGGGAAGGACATTCCAGAGACAGGGAAGCAAATGCCCAAAATTAGAGATGAGAAAACAAGGGCACCTTCAGGAAACAGAGAAGGGCTGCCATGGTCACCTGTAGAAGTGACAGGAGAAGGAAATGGGAAAGTTACGGAAAGACAGACAAGCCAGTTGGAGAGAGATTTTCAGCACTGTGCTAAGCACTTTATGCTTTGTGTTGTAGACCATAGGGAGCCAGTGACAATTTTGGGCTTGAAGAAAACTGTGAAAGAAAGTGTTCTATCCCTGTTATAATTCCAGTCTTTGAACACCCTCCCTTCCAATAACCCACCTTCGCTTTGCCTCGCCAATTACAGTTCAGTTCAGGTATGACCTCTGTGCACATTTCCATTATAGGACATGATATACCCCATTGGGACTGTTTCTCTCTGCTGTATACAACTGTTTTGTCATTTCTGTATACTTGCTGTCTTGTTCAGAATAAGCACCTTATGATAAAAGTGGAGGGAAAGAAGAAGGAGGGGAAAGATGGAATCTTGAAATATATCTACAAAGAATTTAAGCATAAAAAACAGATATTTAAAAATCTATATTTCTAGTTAAGGAGAAACTAGGACAGGCAGGAAGCAAGTAGTAACGCCTAAGGTAAGACAAAATCTTATAACTGCATTGCAGTCTTCTCAAGATGCCTCAAGGCTTTAAGAGTAAGAACAAGTATAATAATAATAAAAGAAGCAGAAGAAAGATAGCTTGCTCATTTAATATTTATATAGCACTTCCTAGGGGACCGATATTGCTGTTTGATTTATATAAAGCCAATTAATTATTATAATAAATTAATGATGTAGATACTCCTACTATCCCCATTTTACAGATGAAGAAATTCAGTCACAGAGAGGTTAAGCAGATGGCCCCCCAAAATCCTGATAACAATACTAGAATTGTAAAAATTAGGTCATGCCAAATTCATTTAATTGCATTTGAATAAAAGTCATTGATAGAGTTGGAGATTGACCCAGTGTTGGGTTGTAACTTTAGTTTCTTTTGTTGGTTGTAATAAAGGGTAATTTTCTTTTCATCTGAGGCCATTTGCTCCCATGTCGGGACTCTAATGCATGAGCACCCATGAGGATGGTGATGTTTGAAGGACTACATGCTGACCTGTTCTGGCTGAACAAGTTACATTTTTTTTTTCAAGACCAGACATCTAGGAGGCTTTTTATTGACTCAGAACAAAAGCAGCCCAGTGGTTTAAGTGGTCTATGTAGTAATCACCCAGCAAGGCTCCGGCACAGAAAAAAATCTATCTGGCCTCTATTCTGCCTCTACACAGAAAGACCAGCATGAGGCTTTAGCAGGTGTGTAAGCTCTCAGAACACTGGTCTTCAAGGGTGGGGTGTGTTTTCATTCACTTTCCCCGTTGGGTGTAATGTACAAATTCCCTTTAAGCCCACCATTTCATGTAATTTAAACTGCTACTTACTGGATTTTCTCTCCTCCCTTTTCCCTTTCCTCTGTCAGAACACCTAGCTTAGGCCTTTATTTACAGGAAAGAGAAAAAAACCTCTTCTTATCCTGGAGGGGAACTAGCTAAGAAGCTTCTCTGTATCTCATTCTCCAATTTATCAAATGAATCTTAAAATAACTCTGCCCTGTGAAAAATTCCAGCCAAACTAGGTAACTTTAAATATGTTTTTTCAAAGTCCCAATGATAAATTCCATTAAAATGACCCACAAAATAATGAAACAACAGCCTTTAAAGTGAAGGGCACTGTCACATAAATGCTAAACAATAAGTGAACTATTAGCCAATGCATTTAATCACTGTAGGACACACCTAAGACCCAACAGGAATATGGGTCCTAGGAATCTGTGTGAGCAGAAAGAAGGTCTCCAGCAATTTGACGAAATTCTCAGCCAAAAAGCAATAAATACCACTTTAGGCTTGGAATGATTTGCTTTTTGCAAATATGATGAGTTAAATTTACAGGCATATTTTCTGTTTAAGTATGGTAAGTGTGAAAGAAAAATGTTATTTCTTTGCAATGATGAATAGTCCTTCATAAATATGGTCACAAATGCCTTTAGTAAGCTGTTAATAAGTGGAATTATCCAATTCTTAAGATAGAAGAGACCCTAAGTCGCATTTCACTCACTTTCCTAAGTTTGCAAATGAAGAAACAGAATTCCAAGTACAAGTTTGGAAGCCCAGGTTCACAGAAGTAATCACAGCAGAACCAGCACTGGGATTCAGGCTCAGCTGTGGAATTACAGACTGTTTCTTCAACTGAGAGAAGGTTAGAGTGCCCTCCTGTGTCCCTATGTAGAAATTCTTTAGGTCTTTACAAAATTTAAAATAGCTTTAATCTCTTCATCAATTTTCCTGCACTGGCAGGGACCAGGCATTTAGGTCCAAAGACAAACTCTGCAATCACCATGTTATTGAAAGTAAATGAACAATGCACTTGACTTGTTTAATCAATAAGGACATAGAACCAATACTATCATCCCCAGAGTATCTTTGTGTGCACTGAGGTCTGACAGACCTGGGTCTATGTCCCGGGCAGCCACATGCAATCTTTGCAACCCTGAACTAGTTGCAAAACCAGTCTGAGCCTCAGTTTCCTCATCTGTAAAATGCAGGTAATCACTGCCCTGCAGGATTGTAGCACAGGTCAAATGAGATCATGTAAGTAAAATGCCCAGCCTGGCATTAGGTACATAATAAGCACTCAATAGATTGAAGTTGTTTCAGTTATTTTCAGGCAAGAGCCCCCACCAGGGTTATAAAAAAGTTAATGTTAAAAGAGCTGAGGTAAAAACACTGGGGAGATAAACTGAATGTCTTCAGGTTCCTTTTTTATTTTTTTGAGACGGAGTCTGGCTCTGTCGCCCATGCTGGAGTGCAGTGGCGCGATCTCGGCTCACTGCAAGCTCCGCCTCCCGGGTTCATGCCGTTCTCCAGCTTCAGCCGCCCGAGTAGCTGGGACTGCAGGCACCCACCACCACGCCCGGCTAATTTCTTTTTGTATTTTTGTAGAGACGGGGTTTCACCGTGTTAGCCAGGATGGTCTCGATCTCCTGACCTTGTGATCCGCCCGCCTCGGCCTCCCAAAGTGCTGGGATTACAGGCGTGAGCCACCGCCCGGCCAGGATGCTTTTAGTTATTAGGTGAAAAGGTTTCCATGAGTTCCAGGGGCAGAGGAAAGGGGGAGAGAATTTTTAAAGAGATATGTACTGAATATGTGATTCCTGAAAAATGAATTTCTTCTTCAGATGGGGAAATTTAAATGAACCTAAGCCACATGGCTTGACCACAGATAGAAGCTCTCTCTCAAAGGTAACACCTGGCAGTAAGGGTCCAGCAATATTTTTTTAAAAGCCTCTATATGAAAGAAAATATTTGAAAACCAGATTCTATTTATGTCATTGACCCAGTTTTAGAAGTCTTTATTTATTGAGAGGGTAACCAAATTAAAATCAATTAACAACAGAGGTGAAAAACAATAGCTGGATGAATTCATCCTTTGATGTTAACTTCCTTCAACTCTTCATGAAACGAGCTATCTCAGCTAAAGTGTTCAGCAAAATTGCAGTAAATCAAGTCCTTTTGCCAGGTGAACTTTCAAAGGTTCCCTCCCCCTCTGACCTTAGGTAATTTTCAGTTATCCTTTCCCTACGTGTGGAAGGGAGATATCATTATTTATGATACAAGGAGACTTGACCTTTAAATGTCAGTGGAAGTGTAGAGTCTGGCCATTCTGTCTGTATCTTCCACCAGCTTATAGGAGAATTAAGGGAAATAGTTCAATAACGTGCAAATGGGAAAGAGGGAGGGGTAGAAGGAACACATCATCTATGCCACCATTTTTTGTTATATAACCAGGGAAAAGCAAAGGGAGAATTGGGCTGGCCTCTGTTATCTAAATACTTATTCTAGATAAGACAATCACCAGGAGGTTTATATAGATTATTGTACTGCAAAAGCTCATAAAAGGCTGCTCAGAGTTTGTGAGGCTTACCCCTGAGCCCCAGGGGCTTGCTTACCCTTTCCAGTAATCTGTTACCTTTAAATAAGGCAAATGCAGCACAAGGCTGAGGCATTTATTATTTATAGAAAGTTCCTCATCAGACTCATCTGTGGCTACGGAGGAGCAGAGTCGGAACCTCTGAGCCTCCGCAGTGACGACCTGCTGCATTCTACACTAGTGCAGTGCTATTCTGAGCAACGTGAAGCTTAAGCTAGACTCTTTGTGGTTGTACATTTTTAGTCAACTAATGAAAAGATTTCCCTGCCTCATCCTTGCAAGTCACCTATTTGTGTGGATTATCTGAACACTACATTTTCTGGCTATTGTAGTTACTTCAATAGTATCTGTGAAATGCTGTATTCCTGGTGTTCATCTCATTTTCTACTTCATGCTTTTGTGACTTTATACATCATTCTCCTTCGAATGCCCCCAGATCGATATATCTTGCTTCTCGATGTTTATGTTGCTAGCGCTTTGGGTAGGGTTTTAATTCCAGTATACCAAGAAAAACATTTGTTCATAAAGGGGTCTTTTTTAAGATGTTCATCTCAATCAGAGAGAAAGCTTTCTCTTGTACTTTCCCACCTCCTTCACCCCTTTGTGTGGTATTATCCCACTCCCCAGCTAGGTCTACACCTGCTTGGGGACTGTGATCCAGGCACCAGGTGAGATGAAGCCAGGAGGCAAGGTCCACAGAGCAGAGCCCCTTGAGGGATGGGGCATCAAAATGGCTAGACTGAGACACGTGTGCTTCAGACAGCTTAATAATAGGCTACCCCTTCAAGCTGTCGCTTTAAAAATATTTACACCTCATTTGGTAAAAGTTGTAGAAGTGAAAGTATACTGCAGCTTTGAAAATTTTCTATTAGGTTTGCCTCCTTTCCTGAGTCTTTCTTCTGAGCCCTGCAGCCCCCTCTGATCCCTCTCCTTTTCCCCTTTGATTCTCACCCTCCTCAGCCTTCACTCCCAGCTTCTCAACCTCTCTCTGTTTCCTCAGCAGATCCACTGAGGTCTTTCCAAGAGTCTATCTCTAAATTGGCATACCCCTACCCACTGCTTAATACTGCTTCAAGTATGTCAAAAGCTATTAATGCCAGAGATGAATATTGCAGTTGGTGCTCAGCAAACAGAAGATACTCCAGCTACCAGTATTCACTGTGCTTAGAGGAGAGTGGTGATTAAAAATGACTTTTTCTCTTATCGCATGTTCATTTTCAAGATAAAGAGTTTACTATGTGCATTGAAGAGAGCTTTTTTTTTTTTTAACATCTTGCCCATTTCATAAGGAGTCACTGGTGAAAACCTGCAGCAACTGGCACCAAATTTGCAGTTTTTCCAAGCAATATCTTAACATCCTTTGTAGACTAGTCCCTTTAGTCACTGCTCTGTGGCCATGCCCCTCAACATGGCTGTACCTGGAAGCTCATAGTCCTGGCAGAGCTGGCTGCTGTTGTGAGTCAGGAAGATGTTCCACAGGGAAGTGAGCTGGTGACAGCCTCCATGGGAAGTCAGAGCTGGACCCTAAGGGATCCGGAGTCCAGCTAGGCCGGTGCTCTCTGAAGGGCCAGAGAGGTGTTCTGGCATATCCTCATCACTGTCAAAGTCTGAGAGTGGACATTCATGCTGAAGGAGGAGCAGCTCCTAAATGGCTCTTCTTCCAGAAACTTGGCCTGCTGATTTTGCCTGTATTGCCTGTATGCATATTGAGACATATGTTGTCAGCCATTTGTAAAATGAAGTAGTGGTTTCTCTAAACCTCAGGAATATATTCAGAGTTTTTAATCAGGGTGAACTTGAGTGGGAATGTTTTGACTGCCTTCGTTTTAGTACATTTGAAAAAAATGTTGAATTTCTTAAAAATCATAAGTCATTAAAATCCAAGCACTTTTAGTGAGATAATGTGTTTGAGGGCCTAAATCTCATTTTTTTACCCATTTTCTAAAAAAAAAAAAAAAAAAAAATCTTGTTGAAACATTTTTAATAGAAATTCTATGAAGATAGGGTCTTCTGGCTCTCCATAAATCAAATCATAAAATCTTCTTACAGTAGTCTCTTTTTATCTGCAAGTGGTATGTTCCAAGGCTCCCAATGGCTGCTGAAACCATGGATAGAGCCAAACCCTATACATCCTGTAATTTTTCCTGTACATACATGCCTATGATAAAGTTTAATTTATCAATTGGGCACAGTAAGAGATTAACAACAATAACTAGTAATACAATAGAACAATTATAACAATATGCCAGCATCACTGCTGTCGCACTTTGGGGTCATTCTCAAGTAGAGTTAGGGTTCCTGGAAAACCAACACTGTGAAACTGCAACAGGCATGCTTGGCCATGCTTATGTCTCTAAGAACTCATCATTAGTATTTTCAGTTTGTAGAAAACATACAGAAAAACTTCTGAAAACATTACTGGTTCTGCTGTTTACATTAGGGAAAGATTATCTGTTGATGGTTATATTGGTGTTTGAGTGTTTTAATGATAACTGAGATGGCTAAGTGACTAATGGTTGGGGAACCTCTACCAAGTAGATATGCTAGGCAAAGGGATGATTCACATCCTGGGCTGGAAGGCCTGTGGGATGGCAAAACACTTCATCACGCTCCTCAGAATGGGGCACAATTTAAAACTTATGAATTGTTTATTTTTTAAATTTTCCATTTAATAGTTTTGGACCACAGTTGACTGTGGCTAACTGAAACTGTGGAAATTGAAACTGCAAATAAGAAGGGACTACTATTTTTTCTCAGAAAAATTCAACTCTTTAAAATTGGTTAACAACTCATGAGGTTGACATCTCTGAAACCCTCAAAGATGGCAGTGATGAGGGAGGAGGAGCTATTGTTTAGCTGGACATCTCTGATTCAATTCCATTGGAGGGGGGCATCTGTTCTCATTTTCGTCCTTCAGAGATGGGAAAAAATTACTCTTTTTCTTGGCTTGAACACTTATATCTTCTATCTTTTTATAAGCATGATACTGCTTTCTCTTCTGCTGTTTGCACAGATTGTCTTCTGACCTAGTTGAGCCTTTACTGCTGCCCAGACACCTTCTGGTAGCTAGCATCATATGAATTACTTAGCTTTATTAAGATAAAGTGTGAGCAAAGGGTTTTTTTTGGTCTTTTGTGTTTGGGCACCTTTAATATCTTTTTGCTGTTGCTGGGCAGGGAAGAGTCTTTGCAGCTGAGATCTTATTAATTTGCCTAGAATTTTTTTTAGTTTATATATTTTTTATTAATTAGGAAAACTAAATTTGACATTCAATGCAATTTTATGCAGCATCAGCTATAGTGGGTAACTGGAAAGATAGCCGCACCTGGTTTTTTTGCAAGCTGCCTGCATTACTCTGACCTCACTTGACAAAGTATAGGCTAATAGAGAAAGAATATGCAAATTACAGACATGTGACCTAAAATTCAGACTGAGATAAAATAGACAAGCTTTAATTGAACACTCTGACTATTCGTTATAGAAAATACATGCATATCCAATATATGTTTTTAGCCCAAGCTTACGATGGACCGACCAGATGATCTTAGTTTTGATAGAAATAATATGATTTAGGTCTTGATAAAAATTTGGAGCTTACATGGCATTTAGATGACTCTCAAAAATGAGCTCAAAATAATATTTGTCTTTAAAAGAATTTTTAGAGAATAATTATTATCTATTAGAAGTTTTCTATTGATATTAGTAAACATATTTCCAAATAAATGAAAGGTGGGCTTTTTTTCCACTGAATAAGAGAATTTTCTGGATTTCATTTAAGATGGGCCAGTTTTAGTGCCAACATGTACACATAGACATGCACATAAATACTTTGGTAACCGAGAAGACCTTAGCTCCAAACACGTCTGTAGATATTCCATCCAAACTCTTGCTATCCAAACATTTGCTATAACTTATAAGATTTATTTTATCCAGAATTCACTACTTAAATAAAAAAATCCCATCGTGTGAGCTAGCAAAAACATTTAAGTTGCAGGTACACCTTGTCAAAAAGATGGAGAATGTGTTACATCCATAGTTCAGCTACCCTCCCAGCAGGCTCGAGCTGTGCATTAGCGCTCTCAACTTACCACATTATTGAGTGAGAATGTCTTCTAAGAAAGCAAAAAGCCTCTGAATAAAACAAGCACACTCGAGAGGCCTAAAAAGAAAAATTGGGTGATAAAGCATATTGAGAGAGATGAACTAACATAAACTTGGCCATACTTACATCTCTAAGAACTATGCATTAATATTTTTAATTTGTAGAAAAAAATACAGAAAAACTTCTGAAAATATTACTGGTTCTGCTGTTTATATTAGGGAAAGATTATCTGTGGATGATTACATTGGTGTTTGAGTGTTTTAATGATATTTGGTATTTGAGAAAACTGATAGGGTTTTTTTGATGGGTTGGGAAGACATTACTGTTTTTTCCATTTCAAATAATGGATTATATAGGCTTCTACTCTCAAAAAATCTGTCATTCAACATCTTTTTGGCAACAGGTTGGATTTGTTTTTCCATAAAAATCACTTGATGACATCTAATTTTATGTTGTTAAAAATAAAAAGTTTAAGAACATCCTCAGAATTTTCTGTCTTATACTTGCAAATTGTGTAGTCACTGTATTTATTTCCAAGTACTGACATAGGAGCAGACTAGAGATATTAATAATTTATAATTTTAGTTTTAGTGCCAATTTGAATTTCAACTGTAGAATACTATGATCCAAACTTACTCCTTTTGATGTTGATTTTGGGTGTAACCTAAAATAAATGACTTAAACTACAGACTTCATTTTTCCTAGCCCTAAATGTTAATTGCCATGACAGATCCTCAAATATAAATATTTACTGAGGTTTCATGGCTTTATTTAAAAACCAGAATTATTTGTTTCTCAGATAGTATCATCCAAATAAAAGATGACACAAATTTCTTAATAATTAATAATAATAACATGTTTGAGCTCATTCTATTAGCCAAGGACTCTTCTGGGTGTTTGCCTGAGTTAACTCATTTAGTCTTCACAACAGACCAATGAAGTTAGTACTGCTGTTGTCCACATTGTGCAGATGAGGAAACTGAGGCCCAGCATTTTATTCACATAACTAGTAGGCAGTAGAGCCAGGATTATGAACTCAGGCAGCCTGACAACAGACTCTGTGCCCCTATCCACTGCGGGGACACTCCATTTAGCTTATTCAGAGCTATGGTAATTCACTAAGTTAGGTGTTAGGACTCACCATTTGTGAAGTTCTTTCTTAACTAGTATCTTACAAAGTGCAAGTCTGAGTCCTTTGGGACTGTGTAGACAGAAAAATGATTTGTTGGTAGTCCTGGAAATTGCAAGTGAGAATACTTAAAAAGATTACTGGAAAAGAAGAAATTCAGTGGTTCCCAACCCATTAGTGTTCTAGAGACAGGGGATGGGAATAGAACCTTCCAGTACTGGGTCACCTTATGGATGGGAGGGAAACATTGCTGGAGGCATTGAGAGGCAGGCCAATTAAGGATAAAAAGAGACAGTGTCAGAGGTTCAGCCCAGACAAGCCAGGAACCTCAGTCTAGGGTGGTGGTCTGTCTCAGCCTTTTGTTCATAATCACTCCCTGAAGGAGTCTTATTAGGCATTTCTATTCCTTATTTCCCCCCCTCCTCCCCTGTGAAATTATAACACTCAGATGTATCTGTACTTTGTACATAGAAGAATAAGATTTTTCACTCCCTAAGAACAAATTTTTGCAATGTCAGTGCCTAAAGGCACAGATACACTGAATGGTGTCAATACACATGGGGTGGGGAGAGTGGGATCAGTGAAGCACCTGCAGGAACTAATGGGCTTCAAAGTTAGAAGGACTTAGAGACAGGAGGACCTAAGGGAGGTGAAGACAGGAGGTTTTCTTAAATATGTGAAGTCAGGAGTTCTTTGACTTAGGGTCACCATCCTCACCTACCCAGATGGGGAGTTTCTCTCTATCTTCTTATAAGCTTCACTTAACTCTTGTCTCAATCTTCCCTCCATGGCTACAAGTGTGGTCATCATGTAATCTGAAATGCCATTGTACTGTAATGAAATGTATCATTTCATAGTGTGTGTTTTGAATTCTTTTTGTTTTATTTATAAACCAGGTTCCCAAGAAGCCTGCTTTAAATTCTTTTTATTTGAGCTCAGAAAATGGCAGCTACTCCAATTTGCAAGAAATGGGTAATGAAAGTGCTTTAAAAACTAGAATGCACTCATTTGAGATCTCTAATCCCCAAATGGCAACCCTCAGGAAGAATCAAGCAGTAATTTGTGTTCCAGATAAAGAGCAAACTGATTGTGCCTGGTCTTCACAAGGCCAGCTAGCTCATTTTCTCATACCTTACCTCTCAAATAATCTAACACTACCTAGGAGGCAATAACTATAACACTGAGTAAAAATCTTGCTAACCTTTTCGCATTCAAATCTCTCTCTTCCCGTGTGACTTTGCTGCCACAGGGACTTGATTCTGAGCTCTGTAACCTAGCGCACATCCCAAGGATCCTAGTAAACCTTAAGTAACCTAATCTAATCACATACTAGGAGGCATGATAAGGAAACCAAGGCCTCCCAATATTTTTCTTCTTCACAAACAAGCTGTGGTTATTTAATTGGTTAAAGGGCAGGGTGTATCTTAGAACAAAAGGAGTGATGAAGAAAGCATCTACCAATACATGGGAAAGGCACTTCACCAGATTATTATTTGAAGGTTTGAAAGTACTAGAAGTCCAGCCAGAGAAGACCATGCCCAGAAATCAGAGAACTTTTGGGAAACTATAATCTTACATTTGTGGCTGTAAGTATCAAGCCTGGGTATACATTAGAATCAGCAAGAAGCTTGTCAGCTTCCGTCCCAGAGAGATTTTGACTTAGAAGGTTTGGGGTGAGCTCATGGGCACTGGTGTTTTTTAAAAGCGCCCCCTGCTCTGCCACCTCCCAGTGATTCTGATATGCATCTAAGGTTGAGGATCACCACTTTACATTATAAAGTGCTTTCACATACATGATTCAGGATTTTTGTATGCACACAGAAAGGAAAAAGAAACACCGTTAATGACTGTTGACTGTAAAAGAAAATAGGAAGAAACAGGGGTAGTAATTGTGAAAATGAAAGGATTAGAGAAAAGTCAATTTCTAGAAACTGGAGGAAAAAAACTTCACCTTTCTAAGGGCTAAAATTAGTCCTATGCATATAGAACATTAAGGAGGGACTTGTATGTCCATATTTACTGCTATATATGGAATAGTTTTTAGATGACCATAAAATTCTCAGCACAGAGAAGTCTGAAAACAGTCATTTAGTATTTGATGCCAATTACTTCCTAAGATCATATTGCTTCTCCTCTATAAATGAAATATATTGGAGAAGAGGAAAAAAAAAATTTGTTGTTAGTAAAAAGGTGTGTTAGAAAATGTCATATTAATATTCGTATGTGTATTTCAGGACTGTATAGACAGACAATATACCTCAGCAGGCTCTTAACAGCTTTCAGATAGTTATAATTAATAATTCTGCAGGTGAAAACTGGCAAGTGGATGATCTTGGATATAACTGAAGGATGAAGTAAAGCCAATGCTGTGGGCTCTCAGACTGTGTAGGGCGGGGCGGGGGGTCAGGGGCAGAATATAAAAGTCAGGTTGCAGCGTGGCAGAAGTAAAGAAACTTGTGATCAAAAAGTCAGAAATTAAATTTTAAGATTTTCAATGTGGGTGATGACAAACTTAGACTGTGACCAAAACAGTGGTGGTGGCTATAGTCAACAGAGTGGAGGCTAAGTTTTCATCTCCATGTCAGCTAATAAGATAGAGAGGAACAATGAATCAGGTACAGAAAATAAAATCTTCTAGACCATCAGTATTTAAGGCAAGAAGCTTCAGTTAATCAGCCCTTCACACTCTGATTTCTGACTAATTAAAAATGGCTAATAATAGCAATAATTACAGTTCAGCACTTACTAAGTGTCAGTATTGTTCAAAGCACTTTGCTTACATTTCAATATTCACAATAATTTTGTGACAATAGGTACTATTGGCCCATTTGACAGATGAGGAAACTGAGACATGGAAAAAGCAACTTACTCAATATGGGTTACAAATGCTGGGGAGAAAATATAGACATATTTGGGGTGAGAAAATATTTTACAGAGTATCAGCAAAAGTGAACAGAGTCCAGAAAGGGGCCTGCCTATCTGTGTATGTTGCATACCAACAGTTTCCAGGCTATAAGTAGGGGCCTGGTAAGAGATGAGTCTGAAATAATGCATTGGTACCATATTGAAGACAATTCTAAACCCCCAGTGTTGAGTTTGAGCTTTATTTGGAAGGCGGGAAGTGGGAGGAATGTGTCATAATCAAAGCTGTATCTTAAGAAAACTACCTTTTAAGTATGAACAAATTAGAGTGAAAGGACCCAAATTAGGGTTTCTGTTTGTTTGGGTGGTTTTTGGTACTATTTGACAGGCAATGAGTCTATCAATGAGAACAGTGGCAGTTGAAGGTTAATGAAAGAGACAGGTTTGATGTATGTTACAAAGGTCAAATGTAAGGTTTTGGTAACTGGTTAAATGAAGACGGTGAGAGAGAGGGAAGAGTTTAAATAGAATCCAAGATTTCAAGTCTGAGTGACTGGGTGACTACTGGCAGAAATTCAGGAGAGGCACTTTGTGGGGATGAGAGGGCCAGCAGGAGAAGCTAGACTTTGAAAATACGCACTTTGTTGTGTGAGCAGGCCATTGGAGGCAGGCCATAGCAGGAAGGTGGGAATGTAAGTTTGCAACTTACAAGAGTCTGGGCTAGAAAGGAAGCTTTTGGTGTCATCTGCATAATGATACTGTGGTAAACTGGGGAGTGGGACTGAAGTCTCTGAAGGTGGACAGAGGAAGTGAATACAGAACAGATCCCTGGAAAACATTTAAATTTAGGGACAATAAAGACGAGTCAAAAAAGCAGACAGAAGGTAAAGGAAGGATGGGAACACCCAGAAATGTGCAGAAATATACACTGAGCACAAGGGAATGGAAGGTTCCACAAACAAACTGACTTGGCAAACCCACATAGAAACCAAGAAGAATATGGCCATTTGAATTAGAGTAGCAACAGAAGGAGAGAAAGTGGACTCAGATGGAAAGAAGTATGTCATAGCAGACAAAGGCGGCAGGACTGGCCTACACTTTCAAGAATTTGATAGCAAGGAGGAAAGAGAAGACAATCGTGTGTGGAGTAAGGCATGTAAGGAAAAGTACTTTGTTTTGTTTTAAGACAAAGGGGTACCACTTAAATATATTTTAGACAGAGATAAAGAAGCCATAGAGAGAGGTGAGTGAAGATGCATAGGTAATACCAGGTAGTAGCAGCAAAGATGATTTTAGCAGCAGAAATTACAGTGGGATGAGGTCCTAAGCTGTTTGCTGACCTTATCATAAAATAAACTGCTATCCCTACCAATTCCCAAGCAGCAATTCTCTTAGAGAATAAGGCAAGGATCAGTGGTGCAGGGTATTTTCCTCCTCTTCTGAAGAAATGCTCGAATTTTATTCATACATTCCAGGACAGAAGGGAAGAATCACTGTCTTTAAAGAATAAAATAATTTCCATGAGTTGTAGGGGAGTAATAAGGGAACAAACTTTGATAGTGAATTTGAATTATAAAATATTAGGATTTTCTATTTGTAAGTACTATTTGCAGATTACATGGTTTATAAATATTGTATGTGCAGGAATGGGGGGACATTGTTAGCCTGTTTTTCGAAAAAGAAATAATTTAATGCACTTAGGCAGTTAAATGTTGTTTCACCCACTCCATATGACATGAAAGCTTTCTGGAAAAGAAATAAGTAGGACAGGAAAAATATTGATAGTGGTTAATAAGTGAGAGTTGGCTTTGACTGCTATAGGCCTATATAGGGCAAGTGCTATAAAACATTCAGCAATCTGCTTCATTGTTCTGTCCTGTCCTGTCCTGTAAAGGGGGTTGGAGGGATGCAGGGATGGTGCTGGGCACAGGATGTCAGAAAGCCTAAGGTGGGGCTGGGGAAATGAAAAGAGAACAAAGAGGTAAAAAGAGACTCTGTTCCTAGGAAATATACATGCTCTCCCTCTTCTGTGGGATGGGCTGGGTACCTTGTATGTCCCTCTATATTCAAAATGATCCCTGGGGTCCCATTGCTGTCACATTTCTGCACAGTCCTCAGACACAGAGAAAAGTGTTGGAGGTTGTTAGCACATCTCCCTCTGGAGATGAAACTGGGCTCAACACCAACAAGAGAACACCAGAGGGGATTCATCTCTCCTCCACGCTTGGATAATGGCTATTCCCTAATGCCCAGGGAAGAATTAAGTTCAGTATGTGCCTTGCACTATATTACACACTCAATCCTGAACAGCTGGGCTGTTAATGAAATTTAAAAAGAAGAGAGAACTCACTATTCACCATCTATATCTAATGTATTCATAATAAATCTCTCAATGAGGAGGTATAAAAATTTCCTGTTGCTATACAGCCAAAGGAAGCAGAGCAGTAGGCAGGTATCCAGGGAGCCTCGTTAACAGAGATAACCAATGTGGAAAATCCAGGGGGACTTGTTCCACATTTCTATTAGTAATGGCAATTTTTCTTACCTGAAATATGCTGGTAATTTTCTCACTTGCAAAATTCAATTTGCCTAAGGATGAATAAATAGGTCTTTTCTTAATACTTACTGGATAGCCTCTATGTTCCAGATGCTACATAAAAGTAAAGCATTATTTGATGGGTTTTTTTTTCCTTTTTCACTTTATTTCTTAGGAAACAAAACACTGAGTCATCACAGAATGATTTGTTTTCAAGAAAATTGAAATAATATAAAATGGTAGTGTGGTAAAATTTTGTATTATATGTGAAATACCTACGCTAAAATTTATAAAAATGGAAAATGGATGACAGTGAACTAGTATGAATACAGGAATTCTGATGGTAATATTGCGGGGGGTAGTGGTTAAGAACAAGGTTAGTAGTGCCAAAGCAAAGGCATTTTCCTTCTAGATTTTACTTGCAAAGTGAAGCCAGCTGTGTGGAGTCCCTCACCTCAGAGCCAGTCACAGCAGTAACCAAATTAGCTTCCGTATGAGTTAGTGGATAATAGACATAAGAATGGTTGACCCTGGATAGAACCAATAACCAAAATGAAAGATATTTGCTAAAGATGATTTTCATCTAGAAATAGCTACTATTGAAATATTTTCTCACTGTAATTAGGAATATGCCTATGGTGGTCACTCATACTTCATAAAAAGATAATCTCTGTCTAGGGGGATTCATGCTTTCTTCCTCACACCCCCTGCCCTTTTATTTTTAGTTGACAGTAATAATTGCACATATTTATGGGATACAGAGTGATATTTCAATACGTGTATACAATGTATAATGATCAAATCAGTGTAATTGGTATAACCATCACCTCAAACATTTATCATTTCCTTGTGTTGTGAACAGTCAAAATCCTCTCTTCTAGCTCTTTGAAAGTATACAATAAATTATAGTCAATCATATTCATCCTACAGTGCTGCAAAACACCAGACTTCATTCCTCCTATCTAGCATAATTTTTTTTTTTTTTTGAGACAGAGTCTAGCCATCTCCCAGGCTGGAGTGCAGTGGCACCATCTCAGCTCACTGCAACCTCTGCCTCCTGGGTTCAAGTAATGCTCACGCCTCAGCCTCCCAAGTAGCTGGGACCACAGGCATGCACCACCACACCTGGCTAATTTTTCTATTTTTTTAAGGTAGAGACAGGGTTTCATCATATTGGCCAGGCTGGTCTCAAACTCCTGACCTGAAGTGATCTGCCCGCCTCGGCCTCCCAAAGTACTGGGATTACAGGCATGAGCCACCACGCCTGGTCCTAGCATAATTTTGTATCTGCTAACCAGCCTCTCTATCCTACCTGCTCTGCCACCCTTCCAGTCTCTAATACCCACAGTTCTACTCTCTATTTCTGTGAACTCCAAAAGTTTTTTGAGTTCCCACATATGAGTGACAATATGTAATATTTATCTTTCTGTGCCTGACTTATTTTGCTGAACATAACGTCCCCAGGCTTATTCGTGTTGCTGTGAATGGCAGGATATCATTCTTTTTTATGGATGAATAGTATTCCAGTATGTGTTTATACCACATTTTTTATCCATTCGTTGGTTGATGAATATTTAGGTTGATTTCATATCTTCACTATTGTGAATAGTGCTGCAGTAAACATGGGGGTGCAGGTATCCTTTTGATATATAGATTTTCTTTCCTTTGGTTAAATACCTATTAATGGGGTTGCTGGATTGTGTAGTAGTTCTACATTTAGTTTTTTCAGCACCCCCCATACTGTCTTCCATAATGACTGTACTACTTGACATTTCCAACAACAGTTACATACATCTCTACAGCTTCACCAGCATTTGTTATTTTTTGTCTTTTTTGTTTTTATAATTGCTGTTGTAACTGGGCAGGGATGATACCTCATTGTGGTTTTGATTTGCATTTCCTTGATGATTAGCGACATGGAGCATTGCTTCCTATGTTTGTTTACTATTTATATGGTTTTGTTGTTGTTCGTTTGTTTGCTTGAGACCAGGAGGTTGAGGCTGAAGTGAATGACAAACATCTTAAAAAGACAGGGTCTTACTCTGACCCAGGCTGGAGTGCCGTGGTACGATGTTTGTCATTCACTTCAGCCTCAACTTCCTGATCTCAAGCAATCCTCCCACCTCAGCCTCCTGAGTAGCTGGGACTGCAGGTGTGCACCACCACTCCTGGCTACTTTTTTTGTATTTTTTGTAGAGATAGGGTTTCACACATGTTGCCTAGGCTGGTCTCAAACTTCTGGACTCAAGCGATCCACCAGTCTCAGCCTCCTGAAGTATTGGGATCACACTCATGAGCTACCATGCCCATCTGTGTGTCTTCTTTCTGAGAAATGTCTATTTAATTCTTTTGTCCTCTTTTTAATTTGATTATTTAGTTTTTTTGCTATTGAGTTGTTTGAATTCCTTGTATATTCTGGATATTAGTCCTTTGTAAGATGAATAGTTTGTAAATATTTTCTCCCATTCTACAGGTTGTCTTTTCGCTCTTGATTGTTTCCTTTGCTAGGGTGGAGACGTCAGTTTAATATAGTCCCATTTGTCTATTTTAGTTTTTGTTGCCTATGTGTTTGAAGTCTTAGCTGTGAAACCTTTGCCTAGACCAATGTCTTGAAGCATTTCTTCTATGTTTGCTTATAGTAAAGTTAAACAATAAAAGAAGAAGAAAGGTACAAAGAATATACAAAGTAATTAGAAAATAATTAACAAAATGACAAGGACTAAGTCCTCATCTATCAATAATAGCCTTAAATGTAAATGTTAAATTCCCCAATTAAAAGATATGGACTGGCTGAATGGATTAAAAAAAAAAAAGACACAACTATATACTGCCCACAGAAAACTCACTTCACCTGTAAAGGCACACGTAGACTGAAAGTAAGGGATGGAAAAAAATATTCCACACAAACGGAAACCAAAAGTGTGCAAATTAGCTATACTTATATCAGACAAAATAGACTTTAAGGCAAAAAAAAAAAAAAACACAAAGAGAAAGAAGGTCATTATATAAAGATAAAGTGATCAGTTCAGCAAGAGGATATAACAATTGTAAATATATTTATACACCTAACACCAGAGCACCTAGATTTATGAGGCAAATATTATTAGAGTTAAATAGGTAGACTCCAATAGAATAATAGTTGCAGACTTCTTCAGCATTGGACAGATGGATTATCTAGAAAGAAAATCAACAAAGAAACATCAGACTTAATCTGCACTATAGACCAAACAGGCATAACAGACATTTACAAAACATTTCATACTATCCCTTTGTTAAGACAGAGGAACAGAATGTGCGTTTGGACCATTTAATAGCAGTTTTGGCTCATTGAGGTACGAATTCAAAAAGAGGGACATATTAACTAAACTGTGTTGAGCCCATCGAAATGGTTAGCTGATCTGTCAATAAATCATTCCTACTGACTCAGACTTTTACAATAGTAAAATAATATATACAATTTTTTATATATTTTAAAAACATAAAAAGAAAGCAAGTTTAGTTTCTTGAAATCCTGCCTTTCCTAGAATTTAAATCCCTTTCTCGGCATTGTTGAGATAGACACAGTGTTTTCATACCCTCTGTTTCAATGATGGCATGAATAAAGTGGATATACCACAACAAAGCATTCTTCTATAAGAGACACTTAAGCATTATCTCCAGTTTGTCTCTATTATGAATATTCTTTGGCAGACATCTTTGTTTTCCTGAATGTTAGAGTTTATTTCCTCAGAATAGCTTTCCTGAAATGAAATTACTGGAGCAAATTGTATGAATATTTTAAAGCCCCTATTTTCAGCATATTTCTAAATAGCTTTGCAAAAGGATATTTATTAATTTGCCTTATGCCAGCAAAATATATGAAAACTATAGTATTACCCCAGGCTTAACAAGCTGCTACATTACTTTTCTTTGTGTTTATTTTATTCCTAGCAAGCTTGGCAAATTTTGCTACTATTCATTTGCAGTTTTAGTATGTTATTTGGTGCTTAATTTTTGTTTTGTTTTGTTTTCTCATCAATTGGCTTATTTTTCCCAGCTCCCGTCTCATCTGCTTTCCTCACCTGTATTCCTTTGTACAGGCTCACATGATTCATTCAGCTACTGGGTGGATGAAAAGTCCCCAGTGGGGCCTGACCAAACCCAAGCTATCAAACGCCTCGCCAGGATCTCCTTGGTGAAGAAGCTAATGAAGAAGTGGTCTGTGACTCAGAACCTGACATTTCGAGAACAGCTGGAAGCTGGGATCCGCTACTTTGACCTGCGTGTGTCTTCCAAACCAGGGGATGCCGACCAGGAGATCTACTTCATCCATGGGCTTTTTGGCATCAAGGTCTGGGATGGGCTGATGGAAATTGACTCGTTTCTTACACAGCACCCCCAGGAGATTATCTTCCTGGATTTCAACCACTTCTATGCCATGGATGAGACCCATCACAAATGCCTGGTTCTGCGGATCCAGGAGGCCTTTGGAAACAAGCTGTGCCCAGCCTGCAGTGTGGAAAGTTTGACGCTGCGAACTCTGTGGGAGAAGAACTGCCAGGTAGGAGGGAAGGAGAGATAAGCTTCCAAGAGCAAGAATTTAACTCTTCCTGCTTTTCCTGTATTGCCGTCTGTAAAATCACTCAATCCAGGGCTCTTAGGCTAAAGAGTGGATTGTTTGGAATATTAAACATATGCAAACTAGTTCCTGGGCTCTAGAATAGGTTCAAGGGCCAGGGCTAACACCTGCCAAATACTTAAAGCTTGTCCAGCAAACTGTTTGACATCTAATTGACTTTTAGTGGCCTGGCCAGAACCAACCAAGGCAAAGTTGTAAAATTGGGCCAATAGGTCATTACTATTCTCTGTTTCCCGAGGTCCATTTTTACCCTTCTGGTTCCCCTCAGGGATAGTCTGTTCCATCTTGCCTTCAACTCAATGTCAGATAATCCTGGCCAAGGTATCGACTGATTAGGAAAAGTATTAGCTGACTGAAACATAGTGATTCATCTCAGGAGTGTTAATATTATAAAAGTATTTGGGTCTTAGAGGGAGAGAGAGTTAAGGAAGGAAGAGCCTGTTGAAGGGGCTGCAGCCTGTAAGAGCATTCCATAGTCTGCTTAAGTTGAGAAGAGCCTGCCAGCCTAGGACCATGAGGGACACGCTCAGGAAGAGGAATGTGGGCCTCAGATATATTCCACTCTGATCCTAAAGGATGACAGTAGGAGAAAAGAGCTTCAGGAAAGTGTTTAATTTACACTCTCTGGAAAAAAAAAAAAAAAAGACATACCTTTCATTCAAAGTTACTCACTTGCTCAGCAGATGCATTAACCAAAACAACTTTACGAGGCAGATATTTTTTAACTCAAGGAGGAGCTTTTGATTAAAAATAGTTTAAAGGTTATTCACTTGAAAATATTTATTAAACACCAGGTACATGCCAAGTAACCTCTAAGGACTAGGGATAAATTAGTAAATAAAATAGACAAAGATACCTTGCCCTAATGGAGCTGTCATTCTGGTGGAGGGAGATAGATCATAGATAATAGAGATAATAAACATACATATATGTGTGTGTATGTGTCTGTGTGTCACATATATACATATATGTATATTCTCTCTCCATATATGTGTGTGTATATACACACACACACACACGCACACACACACATAAAGTGTTAGAAAGTGATAAGAGCTATGGAAAACGAAAAGGTCAAGCATGGTGAGAGGGAACCAGGATTCTGTGGGTTGGAGGATTGGTTGAAATGTTTAAAAGTTGATCAGGAGAGGCTTCATTGAAAAGATGACATTTGAAGGGGTTAATCACATGCTTATTTGGGGGCAGAAGAAGCAGGCAGTGCAGAGACCCAAAAGCAGGAGTGTCCCTGCCATCTTTGAGGAAAAGGAACATGCAGTATGGCTGTAGAGCAGGTGAAGACAGAGTAGTGAGAGGAGGTCAGAGAGGCGACTGGTGATCATGTGAGCCTAGAAGGCCCTGTAAAGACGCTAGCCTTCACTCACTCTAAGCGAGGAGAGTTCTGGCACAGGATGTTGTGGCCTGACTTAGGTCTTAATAAGATCTCTCCGGTTGCAATACTAGGAAGAGACCAGGGCAGGGGGATTGGGCAGAAGTAAGGAACCCAGTGAGACTGTTAGTGGCAAGTGGTCAGATTTTGCATCTGTCAGAAGGTAGAGCCGACAGGGTTTCCTAATGGATATGATTTGGGGTATGAAAGAACATGAGGATTCAAGGATGAGTCCCAGGCTTGGCCGGAATAACTGGAAATACCAAGTTGTTTTTGCGCACCCTGAGAAGTTCTAAATGTCTTCGACACCACGGAGGCTTCATGAGTTAACTCTTAGTATCTGCTAAAGTCTATCTAAACAAGTTTCTTCACTAAGACTTTTGTAAGTGATATTTTGCTAAATATTTATCACACCTCTATACCATAAAAGTAAGTTTATATCTGTTCATGTCTAACTTGGAGAGACTTTTTCCCAGTGGCATTTCTCTTTTACAATATGAGATAATGGTAACAACAACTAATGTTTATTGAACCTTTACAATGAGCTACGTACATGGATTAACTCATTTGATCCTCTCAGTGACACCATGAGATGGGTACTTTGTTATTGTCACCATTTTACAGATGAGGAAACTGAGGTATGGAGACACTAAGCAACTCACCCGAGAGAAACCTGGGCAAATTTTAAAATCCTAGTTAGTGAGAACCAGGATTCAGTCGCAGGCTTTCTGGCTTTCCAGAGTTCTTACAGCTTCTCATGCTCTCTGAGGGGTATTTAGGCACATTGGTGTTTTTCACAACTGGTGTTGTATATTAGGCTAATGAAATACTTTGCTTTTATTAATGAGCCCCTATTATCAGAAGATCTCAGAGAATTAGCAGAATGGGAGAAAGGGATGGAGAGCTTTGGAATTTGGGGATTCGGTTAAATTTGAGTACAGATATAATTTTATACACAGCCAGGATTGAGATGGGTTGACATATTGCATACTAAACTGCTTACAAATCTGCAGGAGTAAGGGGTATCTTCAGGAATAAAGAATAGTGTAGGCAGTGAATTTCTAACAGTAGAGTGATGATCTATCATAGTTTTTTAAGCATGGGCTAATTTAACTGTATTATCCAACTACAAATACTTCTAAAGTTATGAAGGAAAGAGACTGTGATGATATCTCAGAAAAAGGGAGAGCATCATCAGTTTAAATCCTAAGATCCCCCTGTGCTCCCTTCTTTCCCATGTTTTTCCTGCCACATTTCTTCTTGAAAGCTAAACAGGCTGGGTGCGGTGGTTCATGCCTGTAATCCCAGCACTTTGGGAGGCCGAGGCTGATCATCTGAGATCAGGAGTTCAAAAGCAGCCTGGCCAACGTGGTGAAACCCCATCTCTACTAAAAATACAAAAATTAGCTGGGCATGGTGGCACACGCCTGTAATCCCAGCTACTCGGCAGGCAGAGACAAGAGAATCGCTTGAACCCAGGAGGCAGAGGTTTCAGGGAGCTGAGATCGTGCCATTGCCCTCCAGCCTGGCTGACCAGAGTGAAACTCCGTCTCAAAAAAATAAATAAATAAAATAAAATAAAGCTAAACAAAGAGATTTCAAACAGAGGCACCAGTCATCCCTGCTACTGCCAGGGCAGAGTTAAACTTTAAATATTTTTCATGTAATGAGCTGCCTCACATGTAAGCCCCTGCGTATTTTATTACTACAATTTAGTTGAAAGAAGTATGCTACCATTCAGTCAAATTTCATTTACTTAACATGCAATTACATCATAGCCATAGGTATATATTTATTTGTACATTAGTGGCTATGGGTTTTGAGGGTACAATGAGTTAGAGATTTAATCTACATCTTGGAAGTATTTAGGATCTTAATAAAATGGTAAGAGTACATAACACTAGGGAATACGAAACAACTGATAGACAATTGCATGATAAAAGTGCCTCAAATGTTCTGTACTATATGAAGAAGGGGATTTTGTAATAAATCAGTTGAAAAGTAGAACGTAGCATTAAGTCTATATCCCAGAGGCTCCAAGTAAAAGAATGACCAGAATAAGAGGAGGTCCATCAAGGAATCGTTCTTGAAGGAAATGAGACTTTTAATCTGAGTCTCAAGAGAAAAACTGAACATGAACCACTGAGATAGAGAGGAGAGTATTTCAGAGAAAAACACAGCAGACAGAGGTTGGGGGGAGAGGGAGGCAGATGCAAAACACAGGCCCTGAGTGACAGTTGCTGCACCTAGATCCCTGTACAGTGGGAGTTGGTTTGCAAGGCCGGCCTCCCCCTGTAAACAGAAATTCTCCCTGTAACCTTTAGGGTCAGATTGCTCAAGAAGGCTCTTGAAGAAAGGCATAAAGACCCTTTTGGATAATTTGTACTTAATGCACTTTTTCCAAGGCAGAGTAAAGAATGGCACAGTCCTCTCGTTCCCTGAAATGTGGCCCACGGGCAGGCCCAAGATGTGTCTGACAGGTCCTGTCACAGGGCTGCACCGCCTCCCACCTCTCCCACGGTCCACTGCACAGGACGGCTTTCCTCACAGCCCCCAGGCTTACCACCTGGCCAATTACACCTCTACAAGGAAATCCTCCCCTTCCCCCAGGCAATCTGCTTATCATGAGCCTGTGATTAACCTCATTAACACACCGGTTTACCACAGACGTCATTAGCAGTCAGTCAGACATTACTCAAAACCATTAGAAACAACAAGAACAGCCGTTACCCAGTTCAGTGCAACCAGCCTGGTGCTCCCCAGCTCTGGGCCTTGGGGAGCAGTTAGTCAGGCACCTTAGTCACGAGCTAAATGCACACCGGAAATGAGGCTGACATCCAGAGCTCTTGTTCTTGGGTGCCCGGGAGGATTACCCTCTGTGGCCAACTATCCGGGGATGGCAGTCCAGGCCTCGTGAGCATGTGCAGGGCATTCCTCCAGGAAAAGATTACTAGTGCCTGGGACAGGGAAAAATATATTCCTTTAGAAACCTTCACAGCAGAGCTCTGAATTGGGACGATCAAAATAGCAGTTTCCTATCCCACAGCTGCCTCCCAGAAACTAATTAATGCTGTGGATGTAGCTTGCTAATTATTTTCAACATCACCACCATCCTGAGCGGTCCCTGTGGAGGCCAGTTGCCTCTGCAAAGTCTCCCCTGACTCAAGTGGCACACTCCCCACTCTCCTGGGAAGGGCAGTTCCAGGCAGAGCCAGCACACACGATTGAAAGTCTATTTACCCACAAATTAGTTCAGTGTTTTTATTTCAACTCCAAAAGCTGTCAGTTTTGTAATTACAGGAGACATAACTTCTAGACAGCGCTTGCTGCTCAGCCTAAGAGTTCTCAGCCTGAGGTCCAAAGCTTCCCCAGAGGGATATGAGGGTAGAATTTAAGAAGTCTTTAAATTTGGATGGGAAAAAAAATACATATTCATTTTTACTAAAATTGAACTGAAAATTAGTATACCCATAGATTATGAGGGCAGGCGGTGACCCACAACAATCTTAGCCCTGCCTGATTTTTATCTCCCTAGATGCGTCCATCTCACATTTTGGTTATCGCAGATATCTGAGATACCACTTATGCTTATCCCTAACTCACAGTTATGGGACTTATTAGACTTACAACAAAATATTTTTATTGAATGCATTTATCATGCAGCACATACATTAATTTATTACAAACTTATTTAATATATTGATTGCTATATTTCCATATCATAGATTTTCTTTGTAATCCTGTATATTGTATGCATTCATTTAACATGTAATTCTGAGAAGGGGGTCCATGATTTTAATATACTTCCAAAGGTATTTATGCCAACAAAATTAAGAATTTTTGAGTCAGACATATGGCAAGTGCTCTGTAAATCTTTGCTGATTTCCTAAAAATATATATTAATATAAACAGTTCTTGACTTTCCACATATGATTATATTTTCTTGCCTTTTTCCTAGCAGTCCGTATAAAACGGAGGAGTTAACATTCAGCATTTTTATGGATTGCTCTCCTTTTTGTGTTTTGAATATTTCAGGTTCTTATTTTCTACCACTGTCCCTTCTACAAGCAGTACCCCTTCCTGTGGCCAGGAAAGAAGATTCCAGCGCCCTGGGCAAACACCACAAGTGTGCGCAAACTAATCCTCTTCTTGGAGACCACTCTGAGTGAGCGGGCCTCACGGGGCTCCTTCCATGTCTCCCAAGCGATCCTCACCCCCAGAGTGAAGACCATTGCCCGGGGCTTGGTTGGGGGCCTCAAGAACACGCTGGTTCATAGGTAAGAATTTGCTTCCACCCCACAAGGAAAGCTTTTTAAAAAATATTTATCTTGATTCTATTCTGAGTAAATCGCAGTAAAGCCATGTAGTCTGAGGAGTTAGAAAAACAACAAAACAAGCAAAAAACTTTGTATTCGAGAAAACCATGCAGTTGAGGTGGATTGTATTAACAAAGGCTCTCTAAACACTTTGTTCATAAGTACACATCATACCATAAATACTGTACTCTCTAAATTTTGCTATAAGGCAAAGCACATTGAGCCAACACCATGTCTGTTCACTCCTGGTACCTGGCCACATGGGGTCCTGCCTGTGCCTCGCAGCTGACCCAGGCACTCATTTAAGAAGCATTCAATATAGGCTGCTGTCCTAGGTGCTAAGGATTCAGAGCTGGCCCTTCAAGAATTTGTTCTCCTTTCCATGGTGACCATGAGTCACTGAAGAAGCAGCTTAGGATGCCACCCACCATGCCCATGCTGTAGCTTCAAATACTTCCTCAGGGCAGAATTGAGCCTGGTTGTACAATTAGATAGCAGAAGCTTCAGTAATTTTGTATCAGATGGTGTTCCTTATCCCGGACACCAATGAATGATAGATGTTCTCAAGAAAAAGGATGGTTTATTTGTATGCGTGTTTGTGTGTGTGCGCGCACATATATGTGAGTGTGTGTATGTATGTGTCTATGTACCTGTACATGTGTATGTGTATATGTATATGTATAAAAGGAATGTTATAAATACATTTGGATAACAGGGAATCCCTTGCAATCCAAGCTAAGGAAGCTAATACGTTTGGGTAGCAAAAGATATTTACAAGAATCAGTTTGGTCCCTGAGTTTCAGGTTGACGAGCAGAGTTCAGATAATGAAAGATTCATCCAAAAACATGTTTCTATTTATTTGGTCCTGAGTTTAGGTAACATGAGTTCAGATAACAGGAGTTCACCTAGCAGGAGTTTAGACAGCAGGACTAGATTTTTCTTTCTTGGTGAGAGCTCCTGATTATGTCAACCATGGACAAAACCAGAAAGTGTTTTCTGTGTGGCTCTACTAAGTCTTGACTGAATTCATTATGCTGAACTTGGAAAAGTGAATTTTATAAACCAGCACTATATCTCTTTGAAAGATCCCGAATTAGAAGCTTTATTGTTTTAATAATATGTTTGTGTATCCACACTGTTTTCCTCATGCCTCTGGTATATTTGTAGATCAACATTATTTATATATTCATTCAACAAACATTGAGCACCTAGGAAGAGCTAGGTACAAAGATTCAAGGTGAATATTATACTGTCTGCTGTCAAGGAACTCACAGTCTAGCAGCAGAAACTGGCATGAAAATTTCTATAAAGCAATGTGAAATACCACTGTGAAGAAGTCTGTGCAGACAGCCATACTAATAATGGAGAGGGAGTATTTAAAAAACTAAGGATAAGTTATATCTGTATACCATATTCTGAATATCAAATGGCTTTTTGCAGATGATTTCATTTGATTCTTAAATCAAGTCAGCCTCTAGGATGGCACATTGTCTACAGCATATTATCATCCCCTCTTTAGATGGGATTCAGGGAGCTTAAGTGACCCCAATCCATACAGCTAGTAAAAGTCAAGAATACCTCTCAGACTCTGGCCTTCTGATCGTTAGACCACTGCCCTTTTCAGCGTTGGACACTGACTTGGATACTGCATATTTTTGTGCTTATTCTTTTCTGTTCCACAGGCCTGCAGTTGTCTTATTAGTACCTGAATCTGGTAATATCTCACAGGTTATAACTAGTAACCCACAATGTCACAAAGCTTTTCATATCTGTACATTCCTAAAACTTTAATCTGGCTGCAAGTGAAACATTGGCTCTTTCCTTTATGATGAGAGATAATGATGTTGGCATGCGCCCAAAGCCAAGGGATCCTACTATGCCAGAGCCCTTGCACTACTGCTAGCAGCAAGCCAATGTCCCCAAGCTTGGAAAGATACTTTCTTTGGCATCTCGCCCCCCTGCCGGCCATAAGAATATTGCAAGTATGCATGCATTCCTAGTCCTGCACATCAACTGAAGGAGGAAAATATAGCTCTGGTTGAGTTTGTTCCAAAAGGCCAGTGCAGAGTGTGGCTGTCATTTCCTCTGGGCTGTTGAACAAACATAGGACCTTCCCCTGTGTGCCAACACCCAGAGGGTCTGTCCTAACAACTGGTCGCTGGCACTGGTGGTCAGCTCAAACCAAGAAAAAAAAGACAGGGTATATTTTCTTACAAATGTAGAGGTGGTTTCTCGGCAGGGATTTAACCCCCTAACTCTTCGATAAACTTTGGAGCTAAGATCTTGTTCATTTTGGTTCAACACCGTAGAAGGAAGCCACAAGAAATATAGCCATTTGACTCAATTTCCATGGTGGTTTCTCCCAGACTTATAGAAACCTGAAATTCAGGTTCATGGCACTCTCACTGAAATCATATGAAAATGCTTTGCCTAAGCTTGAGGACAGAGCATCCATGAACTCTATAAGGGAACATGGACTGAAATCAGAAGGCCTGAGAGTGCAGCCTGACATGCTCCCTGTTCCAGGGTGCATTGTGTTGTGCCCCGTCCCATCCCCGCCATCCCCAAGCTCACATATTGAAGTCCCAACTCTCAGTTACCTCAGAATGTGGGTACATTTGCAGATACGGCCTTTAAAGAGGTAATTAAGTCAAAACGAGGATATTAGGGTGGGCCCTAATCCAGTCTAGCTGGTATCCTTAAAAGAAAAGGAAATTTAGACACACAAAGAGACACCACAGATATGTGTTCACAGAGGAAAGGCCATGTGAGAATGCAATAAGAAGGCGGCTGTCTGCAAGCCAAGGACAGAGGCCTCAGGAGACATGAAATCTGATGACACTTTGATCTTGGATGTCCAACTTCTAAAACAAGAGAAAATACATTTCTGTCATTTAAGCCAACCAGTATGTGGTGTTTTGCTATGGTAGCCCTAGCAAATCAATGCAGTCCCTGAGCAACAGGGTGGCCGTGGACAAGTTTTCTGAGGTCTCTGAGCTGTGGTTTTCTCACCAGTTAAACAGGATTAATAAACCTCATCAGATTGTAGCCTTAACATGAAAATGCCAGCCACAGTGGCTGGCAGAAAATAGACATGCCATCCCTATTTGTAAAGACACCCAGAAACACTATGGACCACCCTTGTTCCCAGCTGGGCCCCAAGGTCAAAGGGAAGTTTTTAACCTCCTGCTCTGCCATCCATGGGAACTGTTGCCTCACGGGCCTGTCAGCACTGTCAGGTTCAGCCTTTTGCACAGATCCCTTGTCCTGGTAAATACCAAGAGCTGAGAAAATAAAGTAGCTCCTCTTCACTGTGGGTTCTGCATTTCCCCTTCTTCGTACTTAATCCTAATTATTTGATCCTTGCCTTGGAGAAGGTTGACACATGCTACCCGAAGCTGACACAGAACTCTTTGTCACTGGAAACCACAGGTACATACCTTTCACTGCATTTCTCTGCTCAGGCTCCAGGGATCCTCCAAGGTGAGGAGGCTCTGGCTGCAGTGACTGGAGTTACAAGCCTTTAAGGCTCATTTCCCTGTAATGACCAGCAGAGGGCGCCTGCACCTCATACTTCAACACTGACTCAGGCTTTTAAAATGAAGTCTTGAATCTATCAGGTTCAGTACTACTGTGTCCTTGGTGTGGTTCCTTGTGTATCCTTGGTCTATCTTTAAGGAAGTCTGTATTTGCAGCTTCTCACTTCCAAACCACAACATGTTGTCACGTAAGCAGGAGGATGTGACCTCTTTAAGGTGTAGTTTCTTACTCCCAGCCACCAAATATTTCTACCTCACACTCTTCCAGTTATGATTCCTTACCTTTTTTTTTTTACCACACTTATCATATCACAGAAACTCTTCTAAACACTTTACATGTATTATTTTGTTTAATTCCCCAAAAATCTGTATGAAGCATTATTATTATCACTCTTCAGGAGTCCCCGTTCAAAATGGAAGTACCCCTGGGAGGGTGATCTTTTAAGTCATAATCAGCTATTAATATAAAAATATAGGCCAGGCGCAGTGGCTCACGCCTGTAATCCCAGTACTTTGGGAGGCCGAGGTGGGCGGATCACCAGGTCAGGAGATCGAGACCATCCTGGCTAACACGGTGAAACCCCGTCTCTACTGAAAATACAAAGAAATTAGCTGGGCGTGGTGGCGGGCGCCTGTAGTCCCAGCTACTCGGGAGGCTGAGGCAGGAGAATGGCGTGAACCCGGGAGACGGAGCTTGCAGTGAGCCAAGATCGCGCCTCTGCACTCCAGCCTGGGGGACAGAGGAAGACTCCGTCTCAAAAAAAAAATAAGATGATGGATAGATGATAGATAGATAGATAGATAGATAGATAGATAGATAGATAGATTGATTGATTTATGATATGTGTTTTAGCCCGTGGCTGATTGTAGAGTCCACTGAGAGAGGGAGGAGACCCAGGACTGATTATAGTTATGGTAAGAGAAAAAGAAAGAGGAGAAGGACAAAATGCTACCAAGGCCTGAACAGGGTTGTCTGGAAAACTGAGAAGTCAAGATATGTGCTGAAAGAAGGGCAGGCAGCATCAAGGGAGAGTTTCTTCTGTCTTCTTTAAAGCATTCTCAGCCTACTGAGTATGTATTGAGCTGTTTTTACTATGATGTAAACTGTGAGTACACTTTATTGCTTTCTTCTCTATGCTGCCTGTGGTAGTTTACACTTACTATTAATGCAGAAATTATCACATTGAATTTTCATTATTCCTTTATGTCACTAAATAACTGGCTGTCACCTAGGAAGCCTTTGATTAATAAAATGAGACTGAAAGACCGTTAGTGAGACAACTGATTAAGTATTGGTCTATTAAGAAGCCACACTTAGTGATCGAATAACTGTATATCCATATGAAAAAAGTAAGCCTTGACCTCCTACTTTATACCATAAACAAAAATCAATTTGAGATGGTTCTTAGAGCTAAACCTAAAAGCTAAAAACCATAAAGCTTTTAGAATAAAACATAGGATATGTTTGTAAATTTGGAGTGGACTGAAGTGGTTCTTAGATCACAGAAGCCATAAAAGAAAAAAAATGGACAAATTAGAATCTGTAAAAATTAAGGAATTCGGCTCATGAAAATATGTCACTGAGAAAACTGACAGACAAGCTATAGGCTAGGAGAAAATATTCACAAAATATATCTGACAGAAGACCAGTATCTAGGCTATATAAATAACTTCTACAACTCAACAATTTTTTTAAAAGAAAATGAAAAAATGAGTAAAAGAATTGAACAGATAACAGTTTTACTCATAATATCCAAAAAACTGGCAATAGCCCAAGTGTCCATCCTGCCAGTGTAGGAAACTGGATACACAAACTGCAGTATATACATACAATGGAATTCTCTTCATTGATTTTGAAAGGCAACGAACTACTGATACATGCAGCAACGTGGATGAATTTCAGAACAATTATGCCAAGTGAAAGAAAACTCACGTGAAATAATACATTTTTCATGGCTTATATGAAGTTTTAAAACAGGCAAATCTAATCTACAGTGGAAAAAAAAATCAGTATAGCTGTTGCCTCTGGGAGAATGGGGCAGGTGTTGATGAGGAAGGGGCTTGCAGGAACTTTCTGGAGTACCAGTTATGTTCTAGACCTTGATATGAGTTTGAATTATGTGTACGTATTTGTCAAAACTCGGCAAGTGTACCATTAAGATTTGTGAATTTTATTGAGCGTAAACTTTATGTTAAAAGAAGAACAAATTAAAAACAGATATTGAACTCCAGTTAATCATATGCATGCTGAAGTACTTAGGGAATGTGTATAGATGCTTGCAGTTGGAATATGTCAAAAATACAAGATGGATTGATGGAAGGATAGTGACAGATTGATGGATAGATATGTGGTAAGCAAGTATAGTTAATGGTGGGATCTAGGTGGTGGATATATTTGCTGCAAAATTCTTTCAACATTGCCATATGTTTGAATATTTTCATGATTTAAAAAAATTAAAGAACCCATTAAAGCTGAGGCTCTTGGTCTTAGTTTTTCTTTTTCTTTTTTCTTTTTTTTCAGACAGAGTCTCACTCTGTCACCCAAACTGGAGTGCAGCTCTTGGCTCACCGCAGCCTCAACCTTCCAGGCTCAGGTGATTACCCCTCCTCACAGACAGGGTTTCACCATGTTTCCCAGGCTGATCTCAAACTCCTGGATTCAAGTGATCCACCCACCTCAGCCCCCCAAAGTGCCGGGATTACAGGCATGAGCCACCGCACTGGGCCTGATCTTAGTTTTTCAAGTTCCTGTTGACATGGTATCTCTTTGATGCTGGAAGCAAATAATCTCCTCTTCCAGCAGAGAAACCCTGGAAAGTGTAATTTTCTAATGGAATAGAGACTACTTCATCCCTGAAGGAGATATAAAGCTTAAATGGAAATACCTCTGAAAGCTTGTGCTCTTATTAACATATTTTTGTAATATTAAGGGAAATGTTTTATGTCCATGTCTGGAGAAGACCCTCTAAGCTGTACTGTATCCACTCTCTTCCTCCAACACTTTCCTCTGTATAGGAATCTTCCTGCCATCCTGGACTGGGTGAAAACTCAGAAGCCTGGAGCCATGGGTGTCAACATCATCACATCTGACTTCGTGGACCTGGTGGACTTTGCTGCGACTGTCATCAAGTTGAATGACCTCCTACAGGAGGACACAGCTCTGGCTAAATGCTGATTTAATTTTTAATTTAACCTTAATGTTGAATTTGTTGATCCAGGGTAGAGTTCTAAAGGATGTCCTGTTAGGATGGCCCCTGGGGCAGTGATGATGAAGTAAGAGGAAGATGGCTTTTTTTTCTCCCTTCCTCACAGGGCCATTTAGATAAAATTACAGGGCTATTAATTGCATTTTTCCCAAATGAGACTTTTTTTAAAACTTAAGTCCAAGGGAAGAAAGCACGCTTCATGTGACCAAGGTCAGGACCTCCCCAGTGGCTTATGGTGGTGAATGGAATTTGGAAATAGGATCTCTAGGACCCATTGGGGTATTGAGTGTCCCCCTAATTGGCCCAGCTCCCTATTGTCGTCTGGGGTGTTGTGTTTGAGCCGGTGAAAAAGTTGAACCAGAAACACATTCCTGGTGAAAAAGACTGGCTCATTGCAGCTGTGGACCACCATCTGGGGTGGATCTAACATCAACCAGGGGCTCTGAGGGGGAAAAGAGCCAAGCACCAGGTCTCTCTAGGATTGTTGGATGTCACCACTTTTCTGAGAGAGTAGGACTCATTTATCACTAAGATGTTTCAAACACAAGCTGTTCTTTCATAGCGTATACTGGTAACTGGTCACCTCATTCTTCAGATAAACAGTGCATACTACCCTTAGTATCAGAAACATGCTTCCCAGTTTTAAAACTTGGATTCCTTTCTATTTCTTTTGGCCCCTTCTTAAAAGTGAAAAGAACAATGATGGGAGATCTTTTTAGCGTGGGGCCCAACAAGAGATAGATATGCATGTTTGCTGCATGCCAGATATCTTTTATTTAATTCTACAGCTTTTTCCAGAATGGCTGCCAGGTAGAGCACCTGCATCATTTTGGCAAAGTCCTCTTTGGAGTGGGGTCTTCAAGCCTGATCTTGGAATTGCGTTTTATTATTGTCTGCCTAGGACTCAGGTCTGCACTGTGGGACACAACGCTAAGTGGAAGGCCCCTTATCCATGGCACCATGGAAGCAGGCGCAGGATGCATGGGAAACTGCAATGGCATTAAAGGAGGAAGCTCCAAGTGGATTTGGAGCCATTCTATAACTCCTTGAAAACAAGACTACCTCGGGGATATTTAGGATGACTCGTGTGTCACCAAGTGAGAAATACCTAGTGTTGGAACATTTCCAGTCCTTCTCTTGATGGTTCTACTTTCTGCAGGTTGTTTTGAGCCTACCAATCACTACTGCATGAGGACTTTGAAACTCGAGAGGGAATTTTTTTTTTATCGATAAGAGGTGCTTATCTATAAGGAGCCCTCTTGTGTTTTGATTTATTTATTTATTTATTTATTTATTTATTTATAGATTAAATATCTGCCGTGCTTCTTACATCAAGAGCACTCACACAGGAGCTTACTGAACTTTTCTTACCCAGGATAGATGCTGCTATGGTCTTTCTGTCCTGAACAGGACCACGCATCTCAGGGCTGTGAGTGATTCCTGACTCTGCTGTTCATGTCCTGGCTCCCCCAGTCCTCCTGGGGACAGTATACATGTGTGGATGTGGTCTAGATCTGAGAAGTCACTACCAAGCCATGCCCATGAACGAAGATAAAATGGGTCGTGAAGAACTATTAGTTCATAAGTAGACCCTCCAGAAGAGTGTTGAAAAGAAAGGCTCTAGAAAGAAAACTAGGCATGGAAATGTGTGCACTTTGTTGCTCCTCAGCACCATCTGAGAATCCCTAAGGAAGTGGCAGCTTCTGGATTCTTAAGAAGGAAATATAAACATGGAGTCCCGAATGGATGTATGCATTTATAAAGATTGTCAGACTCTTCTTCCAGCAGTTTCCTGTTTCTGTCTTTTGATGCCCATAGATGGATTTTGCATGTTGCTTGCAGAGAGGGGTGTCCTAGGTGAGGTACTAAAAGCACATCCACACCCCCAACTCTTGGTCTTCCACCCTATACGTTCTGTAAAACAATTTAAGACCTGGCTTTTAGCTTGCACCCTTGAGGAGGTCATAATAGAAATGCCTCTGGGAAAATCTGGTTGAACTTTCCTTTTTTTGCATTTGAACCCCTCCCCAAAGGGTTTTCTGGGATAATGTCAAATTCTGTAGGGCCTTCTCTGGATAAGAGTAAGTAAGTGTGTTCCCTCGTTTTCTAAACTTTCCTTCAATTCTGATGCTAAATGCTAATGACAAGCTCTGAAATCCCTGGTCTACCCTCAGGGTTTTATTTTTGTTGTCATTTCATTTTGCTTTTGTTTTTAATTTTTGGTCAATTGCTAGGGGCTAGATCATTTCCCCACTTTTTACCCTTTGTTACTTGGCAAAGAGATAAGGAGGCAAGAGGAGAATTACTGTTCTCTGTTTTATTTGAGCCTCGGCTTTGTCCAGGTGTTTGGTGCTATGAGGCCAGGTGTGTTGACAAGTATCTACACAGGATGCCAGTAACACCCAAGGGCTGCTGACTGTTCCATGAAATGTTTACATGATTTTGTCCTTTAGTTCTTAAATATATGGTTGCACTTCACTTGGGTTGTAACATTTAAGTGCACCTCAGTGTTTGCATGATAAATGTCATCAAGCATGACACAAAAGCCCAGAAAACTGTACCAAGGTTGCATGCACGGAGTCCTGCTCTGCGTGGTGCGTGCAGGTGCTCACTCCTCCATGCTGCTTGGAGCTGCCAGCCTTGCTTGCAATTTGAAAGTCTGCACAAGAGTTCTGGGAGATAGGAGGATTATTTACAATTTTCCCTTGATAAACACCTTTGCATCAGCAGAATCTCTGCCTCAAGAAAAAGTTGCTTAACATATTGTAAAGGATGTGTGCCTTCTGCTCCTTGACCGTGAGACCAGACAGGAGAACTCAGGCATGTGGGACAGAGGGAAAACAGATTTTAGGTTCATGACTCATTCTGCAACTGCCAACAATAAAATAGTGACCCAACCACATCACTTATTCTCACAAGTTCTGGAGACCTTTCAGATCAAAACAAGGCTCTCATACTTGCTCAGAACTAACTTCAAGATCAGCTAAGAAGCTACTTGATTGAGCCAAAGAGGACTTTAGTTTCACAGAATTTTAGGTCATATTTATTCTGAAATACAACTGAGCTATTCATGAGCTCCCTGGACCATTTCCCACACAGCCATATTTCCATGGCTTTGTGGCAAAGGGGACCATCAAAGGTTTTAGTTCGGTTAGAGTAGTGTTTACAGGCTTGAACTTTGAGCCTTTTAGAGAGACCACCAGGATTTCATGGATACAGAAGGATTGGAGAGAGAGGTCGAGATGGACTTAATGGAAGGGAATAAGTTATTGAACATTAAATTTTAAATTAGTGGCAGACCTCCAAGAGAGTCATGCCAAAAAAGTTTTTATATTTGCTGTATTAAACTCAATGGTAATTACTTTTAGTCATTTTCCTTAGCACTGAATCTAAACCCTGAATTACCGAGAGCAGTTAAGCCACAGTCCCAGGATTTTATTATAAACTCAAAGAAAAGCACAAAATCTGAGCCCAGGTAATGATCCATCTTAGGAATCCTAGTTCTTTTTACATGATCTCATATTCATCCAAAAAAATTGTTTCTTCTCAATAAGACAACGTAGTAGAGTATTCTGGAATTAAATGCAGTTTTATGGCGTGGCGGGACTTTCCATCTCTCGTTTTGAGAATCTTGCCATGAGAAAGTGCTTCCCAATGAGACATTACTACCTCCCAGCTAGGAGGCTTAGCACAATGCTAAAGGTGGAGCAACAGAAGAAATTCAGATGGAAATGAAACTACTTCTTCCTGGGAAGTAAAAGAGCTACATGAAACCAGTCCATCCTGCAGATTTAGTTCATGCCACAGTTGAAGTTTGTGTGATGTTTCTTAGTAGCTAATTTCAAATTTTTACTGTTAGATTCTAAGAAACAGAGTGGGCTAATGATTGGAGCACAGCCATGAGACTCCGCTCCGTTAGCTGAGCATGTGATCCTGTGCTAAATCTTTCTTGGTTCCTTCATCTTTGAAGATGCTGTCTGCTACTTTAGTGCTGACTGATTTGCAAATCTTGGTTGATTAGCTCCCCAATCATAAGGTCCCTAATGATTAGATTAAATGCCTTATACTCAGGGGGTGTGCAGATATGCTATTCTTCCTTCTGTGGCTTGGGTGGAAAAGCTGCTTGGGCTTATTTCCCAACAGTGTGATGTAGGATGGCAGAACTTATCTAGGAATGGCACCTTTGATGATCCATATAATGAAATGTGTAGAGCTCAAAGAAATCTGCCAACATGTATGTGGACTCTTGAGAGGTGGGCTTTCCCAGTACATGCTAAACAGACTTGTTATGCCAAGAGGAAGTGAATAGAAATGATAGCATCAAATATCCAAACTGACAGGAAGTTTCTTTTGCATAGCATAGAACATGGTTGTCTTCTGAGTTCCACTAATGTTCCAGGATATCTTGGCCCTCTGCCTCTGGCTGCTCCCTGGTGTTTGGCACCATAGCGTTGTCACTTACAACCATTGCCTTGGGACACACAGAGTGAACTGTTTGAGTGATAAGTAATTTAGGTAGAAACTTTACCCTTAATTTCAAATGATACCAAACAGCTCATTACTACCCCAAGGGACGCTCTCCGTAGCTTCTGGATTCCCCAGTTTCCTTCTAGAAACAAGGACTCCAATAGCACTATAACCCTAAACAGGCCCTAACCCAGAAGAATACACCACAAAATGCGATTGATTTTCTCAAAATATCACAGTCTTAGACACTATACAAATAATTCAAGAAAATTCTTTCTACCCTGCAGTGGATATAGTATTCTATTATATTCTCCAGCAAAACTTTTAGGACTTTTCAAACTCATTTCTAAGCCAAATAGTTTAGATAAATATTTACCCTTATATTTGGGGGGAATTCAGGCTCACCATTTGCCGAGGCAAGCCCATCAACAGTCTAGAGGCATATTCTGTGTCATTCCTTCCCGTCTCCTTCATAGAATACTACTTTTTCCTTTTGTCTCCTGGCCATTCTCCATCATCTGCTGATTATTGCTAACCACAGGATGCTGGCAAAGCTTACAGTGATAGGCACGTGTGTTCAGTGATGTCCAATACACTCTTATCACAGTGGTTATTGCTTCTTACTCTTTTCAAATGCATTATTCTACCCCTCAACCTACATCCAATCATTAGAACTATACTGGAGCCCAGAACTTGGGACCAATACTTAATTCAAATAGCAGGGGCTTGCTCACAAACATTAAGCCCAACAAGAAGCACAGCACTTTGAAAAGTCAAATAGGCCTTTGGTAGCTCTGTACATTTGCAGTTTTACATTTGTTATTAGTTTATAGCACTAATAACACTTCAGTCGTGAATCTACAGTCTCAATATGATAAGTCTTAGAACATGTTCTAGAAATAGTGGTACCTTGCTGCTATTATACTTAGTAACTTATACCCCAATATAATAATAAGTATTAAATACAGATTGTGTATGCATTCTTTGTGTGTATATGCCAACTGTACTACTTAACCTCACTGATGAGCAATTAGAAAAATACAGAAATTGTCATAGTGAAAATAAGTCTTGGTCAATTCAGATGATACGTGAACCTGATAAATGCTCTAATAGATATGCTATTTTGTCCTGTATTGCTTGTTTTACAGTATGGTGCATGTTGTTTGCTAAGTAAAATGATAATAATAATAAAGTATACCAATTTTAAGGTTAGAATTAAAATTTTGCACATATGCTTCTTGATATTCTGAAATGTATTCTGTGGCTTAATTATCTTATTCATACACATTTCACTTGGCTTTTTACCCCTAGGAAATAATTGTCCAAGTATATATCTCGTCTTCTTTCTTGTAACTTTGATTAAACTGCTTACTTCAACTTACAACATTGTAAAGCCAGAATACCTCATTTTAACAGTGAAAAAAAATATGATGACCTGATGTGTTCTCTTGTATTTGATTTGAACTACCTAAATAGGCTTAACTGTAATAATAAATATACAATTTTGGCAGGCATTTTTTCCTTTGTTTGGATGAACATTTTGTTATTGGTCCACTTCTAATTTTGTCTTAAAGAGTTATAAACTCAGTGTCAATAAAACATCTTGTTATATAATATTGGACAAAAACCCTCTCGAGCATGTCTGACACATATTTGGATTAAGTAAATGTGCTTGCAGTCCCCAAGATTGAACAGTGCGTGAAATGTGTACACAACCTTGACCCCATGCTTTTCCAAGCTTCATCCTTAGCGCTTCAGTTATTTCCACTAAGCTTAGACCAGCTCTTATTGACATCCACACTCACCTGACCACCACCTCTACCCACATTAATTTGAGTGATTGCTAAAATGCCCAGAAATAAAACAATGCAGAGATAATATATTTGTGTATACAAAGATTAAATAAGGGTGGACCTGCAGTTTCTGCTGCAATGAAGATTCCAGTATCTTCCTCATTTCTAATTATTTTAATAGAATATCCAAGACCACTTAATTTAAGTGAATTCTGTGTTTCCCTTATCCTCTACAAAAAATAATCAGTTGAGACTTTTTTGTATGAATTTAGCAGAGATCAAATTAATTCTAAGTAACCATTAATTTCATAGAGTCAAAGTTTAAACAGGTAATTAAGAATAATTATAAGTGTTGAAGTTACCATAGCAATTTAACAACATAGTCATATTCAGAATGTTTAACTTATATTTATAGTTATCGTTTAGTAAATCTACCATACTGTCCTCTGGCTGGCTTTACCACTTACAGTCATTCCTGTGCAGTTTTTAATAATAAATTGCATGATGTAGATAGGGCTGGGTCCAAACATAAGCAAAGCATGTATAACCTGCATGGTGCAATTGCAAAGATACCACTGGCCTGCCTCAATTTCTGAACATATACTTGGGTTTAAACATTGCCTCTATAACAATGGAGCTCTCACATTATGTGTGAATTATTTTATATCTATTCACAGATTAATTTATCATATTACAACAAGGTTATGAACATTCTATTTAGCACAGAAGTTAAGTATAGGCATTTCAGAAGTGCACAGACCTGGGTTTCTATCTCAACTCCATACCCTGGCGGAGTAACCTTAGGCAAATTAACGTCTGTACCTACATAGAAGATAGGGCTAAAAATACCAACCATGAAGGGTAATTGAGAAGACAAAATAAGAAAATGCTTAGGAAGCATTTTAGCACGGAGCATGGCACATAGTAAATACTCCATAGTAGCTCTTAGTCTTAGTAATAAGGGACTTTGCACCCTCCTCCTTCAAATGGCACCCAACGATCACTTCAACATGATTGCTAACCTTTGTGTTAATTGGTAGATGATTTAGCAGGAACTAATTAATGAGAGGTAAGTCAATATAAATTTGACAGTGAAAGAAAACGTGAAATCCCTTTGTGTGGCAAATTCTTGAGGCTCTGCAGTGGAAGGTCAAGGCAGCTGGATGGTGCTGAGTGATTAGACTTGGTCATTCATCTCTCTGTCTTTCTCTCTCTCTGTCTTTCTGGGTGTGTGTGTGTTTGTGTGTGTGTAGGTGAGAGGGGGATGGTTGTAAGGGGCAAAGAGTAGAAGAGGGCGGGTGTGAGGAAGGCACTAGAGACAAAGTCCTGGGCTTTGGCTATTGGTGGTTTCCACCTCTGGAAGCTTCCTAATCTGGAGGTACTCATATTAATATATATTTCTGTACCTGATCCCTGAAGATTATGATTCTTTATATCTTAGGGCATATCTTAGGAGGAATACTTAGAAACATGTATTTTGGTGTGTAACCAGTTGGAGAGTTACTGAACCAAAAATGCATTACTCAGAGCGTAGCATTTATGCCACAGGTGGTATGCAAGATGATGTGAGGTGGAAGATGGCCATATCCTTAAATAGCATTAATGTCATTAATCACTTAATCAGTTCTGATTAGTCAAGAGGGAAGTCTCAGTTTAGTAATGAAACCTCTCTATCCCTTGCTTGTCAACTAAAACCAAAAAGGCAATAGTGTCTAGCTAACATTTAATCTCATTTTGTTCGTACTGTGTTTACGTTGTGGTTACCTTCTGTTTGTAGCAGGCAGTCCTAGGTTTGCAATAGTGATATAAAGTCCCCTTCAAAATAAATTTATCTAAGTTTTTTGAAGAGCCCACTATGAAAAAGCTATGAGAATGACCTAAGTTTATGATCCTTTCCAGGTTGAAAAAAAAAAATACAGTTGATTGTACCACTCATTTTTGCCTAGAACTGGGTTTGACTTTGTTCTTCGTAAACATTTCTTAGTAACTAAATACATGAAGAAACTGCTATTTGGAATAGAAAATTATCTGTTTTTTTCATAAGGGAACTTCCTTTATGTTTCCTGTGGAAGTCCATGCTCAGATAATCTATCTCCATGTTGTCCTGTAGAGCAGTTTAAACTAGGGAAAGAAAGGTCATGGAGTCACTGAGTCCCACCTATGGCTGAGCTTGACAAACAAGAAACGCAGAGTAAACTCCATTTCTTCAACTTTGAAACTGATTCCCTCTCTGTTAATCCCTGAAGTCAGGTTGCCTGATGTCCTGGATTTTTGTTGTGTTTTTTTTTCCTAAGGAATTCTTCCTGATCAGCAAGAAGTGATCGTGTTTATCCCTCTGCAAATCTACTCGGTATGACCAAAGGAGTGTTATTATTTTTAAGACTTGAAACCTTTCATTCTCGGAGAGGGTGGGAGGTTGCAAGGGAGGGACAGTGGCCAAAGCCCATGTGCCTCAAACCTCACCCGGGATGGCCTGGACAAGTGCCAGTGAGACAAAAGCACTAGTCAGACCAGGGTGTTTTCACAGCTGGGCAGTCAGTGTTTTTGGACAGCATGGGTGGGGAGGAGGCCACAGCAGTGTCAGCCTCTGTCCAGTAGCATCATGCAATTGAGAGAAGCCTTAGGCAGGCAGATGGCTTTAATCTAAGGAGCTAAGCATCTAAAGAATAGGATTTATCCTGTAGAGAAAGGCCATAAGAAGCAATATTCTTGTAAAAGGAGGCCACTGAATGCTGTTTTTTTGTTTAACCTGAGAACTGAGCTACTTTTTAGCCTGGAGACTTTCCTACCTTGATCCTCACTGGGCATTTGCACAATCCAGTTCCAGGAGGTGTTTCTAGGACCTCCATGAAGTATAAGGAGATCTGGAAGAAAACATTAGGCTGCCTTTTGCAAAAACTTCCCCCACCAACAACTTGTGAGTGTAGAACTAACTTACACACATCAGAGGGGCAGTGAACTACTTCAGGGGGGCTGAAGTGCCCCAAAATGACACAGACAATTTTAGATGTATGTGCACTTTTTTCTGGTAGAGGACCCATAACTTGCATCAAATTCTCAAAGAATTTATGATCTTAAAATGTGATAAACCACCGCCTTTCAAGGGCCTATGAGAATGCATTATCATTTAAATGTTGTTAAGCAAGCAAGGCTGACTAATTTAGGCTAGCACTGGCAAGTCTTTGTCCTTCCTATAAAAAAAAATCTAAGATTCTTGTGGAATTGTTCACTATAGGTGCTCTGTTTCGAGAGGTAAGGTCAGATCAGACAACTTGAAAAGAAACAGACTAGGCCAAGTTCAAAGGATCCTAAGGAATAGTTAGATGAGACCCAGCAAAAGAGTGTGGTCAGAGGAGCCAGGAGAACCAGGTACACTAGCAGACAAGAAATGGCAGGGGCACTATGTGAAGACTTGGGCACCACATTTCAGAGGGAAATGGCTAAATTGGAGCCTTCATAGAGAAGAGCAATTTGGAGATGGAAGGGTCCAGAAGTCATGTCACACGGAAAACTGGGGTAGTTGGAACAGGAAACATTTGGAGCAAGGTGACAGAGATATCTTCAAGTATTTTTAAATTGTTACATGACTTGAGTTTAGAATATTATGGCTTTAGATATAGAAGGGATCAAAGAACATTTGTACAAGGCATTAATGTTACAGGAGAGAAAACTGAAAGCCAGAGAGAACTGACTGGCTAAGGCAGAGGTAGGACTAGAATCCAGATTCCCTTCCCAGTACTGTTTGCCACCATTTCCAGCTGCCTCCCCAAGTGCCTTATGTGCGGGGAAGAGCTAGGACCAATGAATGGCCATTTTAAGAAGGTCGAGCTTAGCTTGATAAAGAGTATTCCTTTATAGAATAGGAAACTAAGTGAAACAGTGATCTCACCATCATAAAGAGTATTTCTGAGGAAATGTGTATTCATTTTCTATAGTTCCTATAAAAAATTACCACAAACTTGGTAGATTACAACAGTGCAAATGTATTACCTTGCAGGTCTAGAGTCAGAAGTTTAAAATGGTCAGTGGGGCCATGCTCCTTCTAGAGGCCCTAGAGTAGAATCCACTTCCTTGCCTTTTCAGCTTCTAGAAGCGGCCTGCATTCCTTGGTTTGTGGCCCCTTCCTCTACCTTCAAAGCCAGCAGCATATCAATCACTTACCCTGCTTCTGTCATCACATCTCTTTCTCTTTTTTTTTTTTTTTTTTTTTTTTTTTTGAGACGGAGTCTCGCTCTGTTGCCCAGGCTGGAGTGCAGTGGTGCGATCTCTGCTCACTGCAAGCTCTGCCTCTTGGGTTCATGCCATTCTCCTGCCTCAGCCTCCCGAGTAGCTGGGACTATACAGGTGCCCGCCACTACGCCCAGCTAATTTTTGTATTTTTAGTAGAGACAGGGTTTCACTGTGTTAGCCAGGATGGTCTCCATCTCCTGACCTTGTGATCTGCGCCCCCTTGGCCTCCCGAAGTGCTGGGATTATAGGCCATCACATCTCTTTCTCTTATTCTGACCTTTCATAAGGACCCCTGTGATTACACTGGGCCCACCTTGATAAGCCAGGATAATCTCCCATCTGAAGATCCTTAACTTGACCACATCTGCAAAGTCCCTTTTACCATGTAAGATAACATACTCATAGGTTCTGAAGATTAGGATGTGGACATTTTTGGGGGGCTATAATTCAACCTACCACAGAACGTGCGGAAAGGCTTATTAATGCTGGTGCAGGTATTAGAACAGATCTGGATTCAAATCTTGGCTTCAGTACCTACTAGTTGCATGACCATTACCCCTTTGAGCCTTTGTTCCCTTGTGCATAAAATAGAAATAAAATCTCAACATTACCATCAGGATTTGTGGTAATATGCATGAAATGCATAACATATAATACTCTCTCAATGAATGGTAGCCATATTTATTTAAAAAACTACCAGATGCTTCTCACCATACAAGAATTTAATAGAAGAAACTCCACTATTAAATAGGACATTTGATAAAGTGACTTCCAGATTTCCCTCTGAGATTGCTGAAATCTAAAGGAATAAAAATTTCGTTTCCTCTATAAACTATTCTCGGGGCCTCTTGTCCACTTCCCAGATGCAGTTACAAGGGAATCACTTTTCTGGATAGCCAATGGCTATCAGACTGTGCTTTCTGCCCCCCACAGTCCTGCCATCTGATTTTTCCATGCAGCTCTGGTTGGATTTAAGCAGGACTAGCAGTCTGTCCTGGTGTGTAATGATTGGCTAGACCAGGCGGCTGAGGCCAGGGCAGACTCCCTCCTTCACATCTGTCAATATACCTGGCTGCAAGCAAGTTGCTGCCTGTGACCACAGTCTGCAGAGGCCAGAGAGAGCAGGAAAGGAAATGGAAAGGAACCTCACCTTCATGCTTGGGGAAAAGGAGAAACCTGTGTTAATGTGTCTTCCCAACATCCCACTCTCTTCAGCAATCGCTGGAACAGCCATGGGCCATCCCTGCTGAGTCAGGAAAGAAGCTGAGGGAAGAGTCGGGATTGAAAAGCAGCAGACAAGGTAGGTGATCTCTCTGGTCACTGGCCCTTCTCTTGTAATAACAAAATGAGCAGCATATACAGCCTCGTCACCAGAGTGTTTCTGAGGAGGGTCTGCTGGAGATATGGTAGACCCGGGTGTGTGTCTGAATTCAGTCATTTTTCTATCAGCCTGTTCTGGAAAGCAGGCTGTATTTTCCTTCTGTCTTCTATCTCTTCTGAAAATTGTTGTTGCTCCTGTACGTATTTCAGAAACTTGGAAGGTTTTTTAAAAATTTTTCATTATAACAAATTATATGTGCGATTTATTAAAATGATTTCATTGGTGGTAACTCCACAAGCATGGTTTTGTTCCAGAATTTTCGTTGCATAATTTTTTTCAATTTTCAAGACATACCAGAGAGGACAGTGTACATATACTGTAGTATATGGTATAGAATAATATATTCCGAGAAATATACTGTCCATTCACAGGGCTGTCAACCTCGTATGATAGGCTCTCCCAGGAAGTCACGTATATTTTTCTGCTTTGGAACCTAGAGAGTTAAAAGTCCTGAAATTACTGGAGCAGAATCAAGCCTATTTACCTAAGCTTATCACATCGGCAGCCAGGTCAATCATTTACTGAGACTAGGCCGTTTCTTACCCTGAATCAGGAGGACCACCAAAGCCTTTGCTGGCCTGAGTCCCTCTGTAGCAAAGGCATGGGCAACACAGAAGAAATGCTCCTCTGAAGCTATAGTCCAGATTCTCTTCTCACCAGAAGTAAGTTTTTCTCCTTCCGAGAATAGTAAATATCCCAAGACCCCCCTTCCCCAGCTCAATGATAAACAAACATGAGCAAAACTAATATGCAAACCTGATGATACCAATGCCACTCTATGTACAAAGCTTGTGGCTTTGGAGGGAGCTTCCCTCATCACTGGAGGTCTATGGGGAAGAAGGAGATGATAACTATGAAACAAGTTATTGAGTGATTCTTGAGGAAGAATAAAGTTATAAAGTAATCACCAAGGAAAACATGGAAATTTTCCCCTTCAAGTCTACACACTCTAGAAATATGTAATTTTTATCTAATATGATTCACTCTTCCTTAAGTCTGAATATAACTCCTCTAATTGCAGAAATGTTGTCATATGGTCACCACATACAACTTTCGGGCCTGTGCAGTGGTTCCTGGCTCCTATAGTCATTAGTTAGAAGCCTAGTAATGCTGAAGTCCTATTTTTCTGAACTCCCTTTAGGGAAGGAGTTGGGTCATGTAGGACAAGGTAATGTTTGACATTATTTTTGTCAATCAGTTGTGGAACTGAAGTGACTCCCCTCAGGCAGGGTTTGTGGCTGAATATTTAGTGTCTGAGGCAGTTAACTAGATGCAAGAGTGGAGGCCATTGTAGACATAAACCCTTGTGTGACTTTGGGTAAGTCTGTGGCTACCTCTCAAGAATGTTGTGGAGAATTATGGAAAACTGATACGTTTCTGTGAAGATATTAAGCACTGCAAAATGTTAAGTGTGAATCTGGCTGGTATCCAGAGGATGTTCATAGATAATGCAAGTGATGGAGGTGGTTTTGACGAGGGAAAAGGATCTTGGGGTGATCAAATGCATTGGCTAGGTCGGGCATGGCAACCCATGCCTGTAATCCTAGCACTTTGGAAGGTGAGGCAGAGGATTGCTTGAAGCCAGGAGTTCAAGACCAGCCTGAGCAACAAAGTGAGCCTCTGTCTCTACAAAAAATTTTTTTTAAAAATTTATGCATTGGCCATATTTCCCCACATTACTGAAGGCTGCCTTAGGGACAGACACACAGGTCTGACCTGTCCTTTTTTTGTAGCTTCTGGCTCAGGGCCTAAAACAAACTGGAAGCCCCTAAGGGTATGTACAGCTTTTTCTTTCCATTTCCTGAATATTGGATAGTAAGTAGAGGGAGACTATTCTTCAGATTGACTAGATTAGAATAGGCATTGTCATTGTTTTTCAACGTTAGGTAGTTAGAATATAGAAGTTAATTAATTTGCCCAAAATCATGCAATTAGTCTGAGCCAGGATTCTACTCAGTTCTGCCTTGTTCCCAACCCAGTGCATTTCCCATAAGGTCATGGAGTTGACCATGTGGATAAGCATAAATTGGAGGGTCACTGAGGTAAGCAAGGCTGACTAATACAGTCAGAAGTTCTGAAGTTCTCCACTGGCTCTTGGATGTGCCATGCCTGAGCCTCTGTAACAAAAAGGCCAGTAGTGGACTTCCAAAAAGGATAAAACAGGCAAGAGCAAAAGCAAGTGTTTTTAGTCATGGCAGTCACTGGAGTCTTCTCTGTCCTGTATATTTTCTAAATAACCCAGATAATCCTCAGGCTAAATCTTTGTCCCTTTTTATACTGTAGACTCAAATTCTGAGCCCCAACTAAAGTACAACATCTGAACTCTTTCCAGAGAAGAAATGACCCTATCCCAATCTTTCTCAAGGAACTCAAGAATTTACTATCTCATCTCAGCAAATACCCACTCATTTAAATCTAAGAGACTTGGGCACAGAGAGGCTTAAAGCCCGAGAAACCATCAACAGTCCCTCCTGTCAAGGCTCTCACCATCTGCAACCCAAAGAGACCCATGTCGGCTTGGAGTCTAAATGGCTTTTTGGTGTCATTTGAGCAGTGAATGAGTAATGTACAGCAGAAGCCTTAATCCGCCCCCCACCCCTAGTTTCACTTTTGTTCAGATATGTCCTAAAGATTCCATTAGCTGTCTGTCATAAATTCCAAAGTAGCCACAATTCCTGAGCATTTACAAGATCAAGATAAAGAAATGCCATCATGAAATGAGGTCGACTAAATGTCTTTGAACAAAGGGTTTCTAGTGACTTGCCTCACATGTATCTCAAGTGTGTGATAGCAAAGGCATTACAAATAGAGATTGCATCACCATGTCTACCAGCACCCTTTACTAATCAACTGACCTTGCATGAACTGTACTTACATGCCATCATTTTCATTAACCAAAACGCTAGGAGAAAGAAAGTTGAAGCTAAAACACAAAGACTCATCACAACATTTCACCTGTGTCAAGTACTTATTATGACCAAAACATGAACTGCTGCCTTCTTATCTACACTTTTTTTCATTTAATTTTCATAACAAACCTCTGCAACTTGCCCAAGTCACAGAGCTAGTAAGATGAGGTAAAATTTGAGTTGGGATCTGAATCCAAATCCCATGTTCTTCAGCATTCTGTTCTGGGAAACATACTCACCCAACAGTGTCTACACTGTTCACGTTCTAAATGTAGAAGAGTAAAAAAAGTTCTTTCTAAATTATTTGATCAGATCCTTAGAGTATATATTTATTCCCCCTTCCCACTCACACAAGATGTTCTTGATGTTCTTGAGTGTAAGCATAAAACTCAGTATGACAGTGGTTTTCCTCTCCTCTAGAAAAGGAACCACAAAACACACATGCACACATGCACACACACAATAGCAATTGCCCAAGAGTCAGTGCTTTGATTCCTTTCTGAAGCTGAGAGAGAAAATTGTTCTTATCATCTCCTAGTTTATAAACATTGTTTTGTTTGTTTGAGTGATTGACTTTAACATAATGTACAAGACAAATTTGTCATTTATTTTACCAAGATTTTTTTAAAAGTTTATTTCTGCAGTGAAATTTCAGTCTTTGAAATCAGCTAAATTTTTCAAAACTGTCCAGTATGTCAATAGTTGTATTTAATCTTCACCACAGCCCTGTAAGATGAGTACTGTTTTCAGATGATATCCTTTCAGATAAGGAACCTGAGACTCAATACAGGTGAATGGCCTTCTCAGTCTCACTCAGCTAAGTCCCTTAGATCTTGGGACTCCAAATTTTTTGTTCTTTTTTAAATTAAATATTCACGCAGTTCCCTGGATTCCTAAGTCCTACAAATGGTAGGAATGGGGCCTACAAGCTTTTTATTTAAATTTTCAGAAATTAAAAATGCCAAATGACTACACAGCCTGTTCTCAGGCAGAGACCACTCAAATATTGATTGCTTTGCTTTGGGCTAGAATTCTGTCAGGTCAGTGTGGTAATGCTGTTATTCTAATTAGATTTTCACAGAGTAATGAAAATAAATACATTAATTGTTACTTAATAAAATCTTCCTTAAAGGCAAAAAATCTTTCAAGCCCATGTGCCCATGAGCAAAATAAGATATCAAAGGGGTTCTTGCTAGAAGGATAAGCCACCACTGTCTTCTAATCAGTTGTGTGCCTAGAGAACGGTATACATGAGTAGGGACTAGAGACCCCACAGTGTCTTGAGATGCACAAGCCCTCTCTAACCCTGTAATCAGATGGATGTCTCATGAGTCAAACAGTTGCCAAATGGCATGGAACCTAAGGAAGTCCTTCTACAAATTGAGAATCCATTATTGTAGTTTCAACCCTACAGAAACCAGCTACAGTTACAGGAGGAAACCTTATGCCCTAGGAATTCCATTTAAGTCCTAAGATGTTCTGAAGGGTCCGGGAGCCCTGCATCAGCTATGCATCTGGAGGAGATCCAGTGTTTTCTTATCCCTAATGTTTCACTGGGAATTGCCCCTGGCTGGCTGCCTGAGTCTCCATCCCATGCGACAGTCATGTTGTCCACATCCTTGCTTTGGTGTTAGTGTGCATCCTCATCATACTTTTTGGTCCCCATTTCTGTGACTTCTGAGGTTCTAATGATCTTGGTGCAGGAGAACCCATAGTTTTGGGCAGTGATCAAGCAGAGTGAATGAAACTTCTGCCCCTGACCCACCCAAAACTTGTTCCCCTCCTCTCTACAGTTCCAAGGTCAAGTTTCCCATGAGAGCAGTAAAGGAACTGAAGGTCACAAAATGCTGGCAATTCACCATGCCTTGGAGGGGTTCCCAGAAAGTAAAATGAAAATGAGATTGTTTTCACATAAGACCTCTGTATTTGGAGGACAGGATTCAAACAGTTTGAATGTGCAATTTCACTGTGCACTGAGGTAACCCCCACAAAGTCTTTTTTTTTTCAAAAGCCAAAATAATATCAAAAATACTTCCTGCAGAGAACTCTAACTAGGCAGAATTCTTTTTTGTCATCACTGGGTTGATGTTTTCAAGGATTCATTTCTCAAGATAAGCCTTATATAGTGCATTTGGCTGGAGCTCATGTGTACTTCTGTGGAATGATGGCTTTCGTCCATGGGGCCTACTTTGTGGTGATCTCATTAGGTTTCACAAGGTAAACAGCTGAAAACTTGTGGTTAGTATGTGAGCAGGCTTCAAGAGAAGAGAAAACCCAGGAGAGGTCGGCCAGAAGATGTTGCAGTGAATTGGCAGGTGGCAGGCTTCTCTCTGTGACCCAAGGAAAGCCAATACCCCTACGAATTCCAAGGAGATGTACTTTTAATTTCAAATACATGTATCCCACAAAATTTAGCTCTGCTTCCTAGCTAGGAATCCTAATCATAGGAAGAGCTAATGGCTAGACTTCCCAGAACGTGACTGTTCTCTACTCAAATTCATCTCATTTTGCTTTTCTTTGCAAAATGAAAATTCTCCATTTTCCATAAGAATAGTATTGTTATAGAATACAGTTGTGTTGATAAATTATAGTCCAACAAATTAAACTAAAATAGCCCAACAGAGGCATCCTAGGCCTGACATCATTGTTGTCTTTCTCTGTGGCTTTATGCCAATTTTTACACATCTTGGGGATGGCTTAGTTTCACATCTTTACTCATCTGCGTTCTAATTTTGGATAACCACAAACATTTATTGATGGGTTATCCACTCAGTTCAGCAACAATCATCTACTCTTTCCCAGAAGTGTGTTAGACACTGTCTTTGACATAGGATTAAATAATCTTGCCACTTACCAGAGATGAGAAGGTTTTAAATTTATCCAGTAGGCCAAACCACAGCTTCTTTAGAGTCCTCTATATTTGTGTGTATGTTAGTGTGTGTGTATGTGTGTGTCTGCCTGTGTGTATGTATCTGTGTGTGTATGTGTACTTTTAATCATTATACAGTACCAAGAAGATAATGGGTTCTCAGTAAATATTTGTTGGTGATACTAAACTAGTAATCAGCTAGGAATTTAATCAAGAAATTGATTTATAAAAAGAAAACTGGAATTGCTAGGGGAGACTAAAGAAAGAATCAGAAGTGTTAACCATTGGTGTAGAGGGAATAGGGCATCAAGGGTCTACTTGCTCTTCTGCCAACCCCCAACTGAATGGTACAGCACATAGGAGACCTCGGTTGTGTTTGATTCTGCTACTACACACACCAACAGGGCAACTCTGGGCAAGTCACTTCGGCTTTCGTGGCCTCAATTTTCTCATTTTCAAAATGGAGGCAGGGGATTGAGAGTATAACATCTCTAATGTCTTCTCTAGTTTTGATATTCTGTGTTCTATGAAAAACTAGAAAAGTTTACTTCAGAAAGTTCTTTACGGAAAATACAGAAATAATTTTAATTTATCTAGGGAGATCATTCCTATCTCTTGGGTAAATAAGGGGAATGAAAAAGCTGCTCAAGAGATCCCAGCTATGCCACCTTGAAGATGTTATAAATTGGTGAGTCTGGGCATTGATCTTTACTAGAGAAGAAGCCCACTTGGCTGGGAGAGTAAAGAAACCACATCTGAATTCTCTTGTCCAGCACTCAGCTTTGCCACGCCTGTGTGCCACTAATGCAAGCTCCAGCAGGCAGTCAGTCATGACTATCATTCTCTCTTTATAAATAAACGGAAGCCCTTAAAGGTGACGTGACTTGCCCAAGGTTACAGAAACATGGCAGTGAGTCAGATGGAACTGTGTGTGTTTGGAGGAGGAGGAGAAGATGACATTATAAACAAAAGGCAGAGAGTGAGGGACAGATCCACACCTCTTCTGAAGTTAAAAAAAAAAAAAACAAAACAAACAAAAAAAAAAAACAATGGTCACAGGCTACAGAAAAGCTTTGAGTCTGCTCTGAATCCTGAGATCACCCCTGTCTCCCTGCCTCTCCCTGAGCCACCCCAGGCACCCTGCCCAGGTTTACTCACCCAGGTTGTTGCTAACTGGGTGCCTGTGCTCGTGTCCCTTCTTGTAAGCTTCATAAAAGGCTATTTGTAATGAAGAGAGGGCATATCAAAGAAGGGAGACTGCATCCTCCAGGCCCCGAACCAAAAAGGCAGGTTTTTTTTTAAGAGGAAGTCTGGTTTCCCTATTAAAATCTGCAGAAATGAATGGTCCTCAAGATGACTAGCAGAATTATGACATTCTATTTCAAGCATTTTTAAAATTTTTTTTTACCTGAGGTTATTTTACTTCTGTTTGCTCTCCTTCTCCACATAAAAAGGAAAGAATAATGCTTGCTCACTATGATACTGTATGAGAGAAGGCAGCCCGGGCAGTACAACTCAAAGGAACCTACTAATTGCACCAAACAGCAAGGCACAGCTAGACATTTCAGTAAATAAAGTGTGATATCATCATGGCTCACACGGGTTTACCTTATCACCCAGACCCATGCCTAGGGAGTGCTAAGACCCTGAAGAACCACAATCACAAGTGATGGCAAAGAACCTCTGGTCCAAGAAGAAAAACGCTGAAAGAAATTGGACATCAATGATCTTATGTCTCAGTTGCATTTAGAGGCTGCATCACTTTGCTGCCTATTATTGTCCTCATTAAATATGAGAGAGAGAGAGAGAGAGAGAATTAATTAACTATCATCACCAGGGGATATCTGGTAATTTTCGAGGTACATGAAGTGGGCAGACGATGCCATAAATTCAGTAAGAACACACTGATTTCTTGGCGGAGTCTTCAAGTGACTTTCTGCTTTACTCCACAAAAATCTTACTGAGTATACCCACTTCTCTGTTTCTACTCTATTCCTAATATCTAACTAACTTCTTCTTAGGTAGTCTCTTGGGAAGAAGGATAGATAACACGTAACACAATATATAATGCTTAGTTGACTGTCACAACCGTATTAACTACACTCACTTTTTAGAAGCCACAAAACTAACAATCACCAAAAGTCACCCTTGGCTTGCCCCCCCACCAAATACATTCACTTAAGGTAGGCTAGGAAGAGGACAGGCTTATGATTCAACCATATAGTATCTCTTAACAAAGTCAGAGAATCAGAACAGCCCATGAGTCCAACAATGATTATCAATGTCAAACTTAACTCAAATACAGACCTCAATGCCTCATTTCATGCCCATCAAGTTAAAAAAAAAAAAAAAGAAACAGTGGGGAGAGGAGAGGGGGGAGAAAAGCTAAAAACAAAGAAATATGAACAATGATGACAAGGTGCTGAAACATGGAGACAATCTCACATAGTCCTAATGCTAACCACCAAGTACCAGCTGGCACCTTTACAAGTTCTCCAATCAGTGAGCACCATTGCTTCTTGAATTGAACTGAATTCCTATTATTGGACTGGATTCTCTAGCACTGCCAGCTTTCTAGCAGGAGAAAAAGAGTTTCAGAGCATGAGGTAAAATAGAACTCTGTTTTCCTACTTTCAAAAACTCATCTCATACACCTACCCACAGCCCTCACTCATTGATAGTCAAGGAAGTCAGAGTCCATGGGTCTCCCATCTGTGCCCGAGCACCTGTCTCACAGTGAAAAAGGGAAGAGGGGGCTTATCCAGTAGAGGCTTTCCAGAAGATGCAGAACTGTTTCTGATAATCCCATGCTTCACTGCCCACTAGGCCAAAAGAGAGGGAGGCAGCATTTTCAACAGAGGAGACTTTCATGCCATAAATCTTCAGGCATTTGTGGGCACCAAGTGTCTTGCTGTGACTGAGATGGAACTAAAATAATTTACAAGTTTGTGTGTGTCCATGTGTGTGTGTGCATGTCTCTGTGTGTGTGTGTGTCTGTGTGTGTGTGTTACGTGGAAAGAATTTTAATATGAGAAGGGCATTAAATCAGTTTTGCAACAAGAAAAATCCTTTGTCTGGACTATTTCTGGGTGTTGGTTACACAAAACCTAAATAGTTGTTTAATTTCTGGAATTAATTAGCAAATATCTGTTTGAAACACTAGTCTTAAAGACTTCTATTGATAGCATACTCTTTTCTCTAAAATTGCCACAACACATTTTAATCATTTTTAGAAAAGATACACTACAAGATCCTTCAGCATGTAAAAAATTCTTTCATGATGTCTAAACAAATCTCAGGCCTGGTTAATTATACTGAACTTCAGATGTCTTCAGGTAATTCTTAGCATGCTGAATTTTATACCCCATTACCAATACATCTTATTTTAGATGGTGTTATGAGTAAGATTAACCAATAAAATTCAGGTAAACTCATCACTGGATACAGCAGACTGCACATCATTTGGTTAGATTGTATGCTGAGTCTACTCTCCAAATGTATTTATTCTCCTATTCTGCAGACACATACTCTACACATGTCTGGTTTGGCTTAATATTTGGCTGTTCCCCTAAAGGGATTGGTTGAGGGTCACCATATTTTCTCTTTTAACCAGTATCTGATAAAACTCTAACTGGGATACTACTATTCTTCACATGCATTTATATCAAAAGCTATTTACTCCCACTTCCCCCAGGCCAAAGTCATAATAGCATGTTAGAATCAAATATTTTCCATTGTTCTTTTATATATATATATTTTTTATTATACTTTAAATTCTAGGGTACATGTGCACAACGTGCAGGTTTGTTACACATGTATACATGTGCCATGTTGGTGTGCTGCACCCATTAACTCGTCATTTACATTAGGTATATCTCCTAATGCTATCTCTCCCTCCTCCCCCCACCCCACAACAGGCCCCGGTGTGTGATGTTCCCCTTCCTGTGTCCAAGTGTTCTCATTGTTCAATTCCCACCTATGAGTGAGAAAATGCGGTGTTTGGTTTTTTGTCCTTGCGATAGTTTGCTGAGAATGATGGTTTCCAGCTTCATCCATGTCCCTACAAAGGATATGAACTCGTCCTTTTTTATGGCTGCATAGTATTCCATGGTGTATATGTGCCACATTTTCTTAATCCAGTCTAAAGTTGTTGGACATTTGGGTTGGTTCCAAGTCTTTGCTCTTGTGAGTAGTGCTGCAATAAACATACGTGTGCATGTGTCTTTATAGCAGCATGATTTATCAAATATTTTCCATTGTTCTAACATAGATCCAATAAGAAGACATTTATAGAGTGCCTAACATGTTTGACACCTTGCTAAGGGATATAGATTCAGAGATGAGTAGTTGACAGTTCTGCCCAAAGAAAGATCAACATGATCAACATCTTATAGAGAAAATGAACCAATAAAGGAGCCAACACAGTATCATATGTAGTCATAACTGAACACAAAGCAGAAAAGTTTCAGACGGGTGCTCCCCAACTACCAAAGGAGTTGGGGTCCAAGTGGTATTTTAAAGAAAAGAAAATTTGGATTCACAGTCTTCCTTTCTAAAAATCCAGGCTATGAAGAAAAAGCTACTTCCTTTTAGGAATTTATCTGAATATCCTAAGGAGGTGAAATTACAAGAGTAGAGACAGTTGTGGTAGCCATGGCTAAGGAAGTTTCGATCCCTGGAGAAAGAGGATAAGAGGAGAGTCTGGGGAGATCCTTTTAACTAAAAGGTAGGAAAAAGAATTCAAACTTTGCCCTGAATCACAGTCTCTGCCTAATTCACATCGTTTGGACTGGAGACTTAATTTAGAAAAATTCTGTGCAGTCCAGGGCTCGCATGCTCTCCCATACCCTAGGGACTTCTGCCTCGTGGACAAGCTTGTTATAAATCTGATTTCTACTCAGTTATGAATTGAACTTCATTTTTCCTGGGAGCAACTTTAAACAGGAATAGTGAACAAAGTAAAAATCTAGAGAAGTAGCAGTGAGATCTTCTGATGTCAGCAGCTGGCACCAGGTAGGAAGCTCAAGGTTAAAGAATAAACATGACCAACCCAGCCCCCATCCCAATAGCCTACATTAGCATCCAAATCCAACTCTCCAATACTACACATTGTAAGCAGAATATAAGTCAGAAGGGTCAGCTTAGTAGCTCTCAACCTAGCCTGGCTGGAAATCCTTCTTAAGTTGGCTTAGGTAAGCTTTTAGTGTATAAGTGAAAACTTTCATCATCTTAAGCAATTTGCCTGTTTCCTGAAGTAGGGCTAACAAGATGGTTGAATTTTCTGATTCTTTTAGAAACTCAGATCATAAATCACACTCTTAATGAACAATTTTCATATTGGTTTCATTTTTATCATCCATTGGAAGAATATCTATAAAAGTTAATTAGGATAGATTTGGCTACCTAAATATTTAAAACTTATTTACAAATGCTTAAACAAAGGTAAAAATAGAAATAGTGAACTGAGAAAGTACATTTGCAACATAAAAAACAGACGAAAGGTTACTGTTCCTAAAGAGTACTTATAAATCCTTACCAGCTAGAGGCAATAATAGCCCAGTAAAAAGTTGGGCAGAAAATGAACTGACAACTCACAAAAGAAGAAAGACTTATGATCTATAATGATATGAAGAAATGTTCAGCCACAGTAACAATGAAATAAAGGCAAATTGAAACAGTAAGGTAGCATTTCATTTTTATGAGATTGGCAATAATTGAGTAATATTAGATGTTAATGAGCATGTGGGGAGCAGACCCTTCCGCACATTGCTGCTGGTGGAAGTGTCAATTGCTACAACTTCTTTTTTAAGGACAGTTTGTCAAAACATATTTTAAAATGTTTTAACAAATATAACTTTGGATTTATTCACTTCCAGGACTTATTTTTAGAAAACAATAATAGCGCAGTGCATAAAAAGTTTCACACAGTACTTAAATATTTTTGTAAGGTTTGTTTATAACAGCAAATTTTGAAAACAACTGAAGTGCTCATCAGAGAGGACTTAGATATAAACACAAACATACGTGGATACTGTGCAGCCATTTCAAATGATGAGATCCATGTTGCAGTAGTAGCTCCGAGCTACCAGTAGTAGTTCAGTGGCCAATAGATCTGTGTTTAAATTTTAGCTCTATTCATTACTAGCTGTGTGAACTTGGGCAAGTCATTTGACCTCTGTAAGCCTCACTAATCTCATCTTAAAGAAACGAGGATAACACAACTTCCTATATCTTAACATCAAAGTGAATTATATGAAAGGATGAATGAAAAGCTCTTAGTATACCACCTGACACACAGTAAGGGCAGAATAACTGTGAACTATTGTTAGTGACAGCCTGTGGATTCAATCCTGCTATGTGAGGAAAATTAAGATGAAAATAGCACTGTCAGTTTCTGTGCAAGATGGCAAACTAGCTCCATGGCTTTTGATCCTCCCAAGACCTTATTAAAATAAATTTAAAACCAAAAGAATAAGCTCATAACAGAGAAGAAAGAAGGGGCTATCAATAAATTGCTGGAAGACAGAAAACAAATGGGACAGAGGAACAAAACACAGAGCCAAAATAGTTGCATCTGTAAAGCAATGAAGATACTATTTAAAAACCTAAATAAGAAAGTTCTTTTAGTGATTACAATTATTAGTCATAAAAATTAATAGACTGGAAAATTATGTTGAAGCTTTTTGAAATGTAGAGCAAAATGACATAGGTGGAAATGTGAAAAAACAGATATTAAATAATAACAGTTAAAATTAAGATCACCAACATATACCAAAAGCACTAGAATATTTGCCAGGCACTGATTTATATTAATTGCATGTGTTATTTCAATCCGTCTTACCAGCAATCCTATGAGGTAGCTAATGATATTATTCTCTCCTAATAGTTGGAGAGGTTGAAGCATTAAGAAATTAAAAAGGCCAGGTGTGGTGGCTTACACCTGTAATCCCAGCACTTTGGGAGGCCAAGGTGGGAGGATTACTTGCCAGAAGTTTGAGACCAGCCTGGGAAAACAGGCAAGACACCGTCTCTACAAAAAATTTTTTAAAAAATTAGCTGGGCATGGTGACACACCAGTAGTCCCAGCTACTCAGGAGGCTGAGACAGGAGAATTGCTTGAGCCCAGGAGTTTGAAGCTGCAGTGAGCTATGTTCACACCACTGCCCTCCGGCCTGGGCAACAGAGCAAGACCTTGAAAACAAAAACAAAAAAAGAAAGAAAGAAAAGAAAAGAAAAGAGAAAGAAAGAAGAAAGAAAAGAGAAGAGAAGAGGAAAAGAAAAGAAAATTTGCCCCAGGCCACTTGGCTAGTACTTGGGGTGTGCACACAGCCAGTGTAGCTCTGTGCTGAATTGTCTCTGTCACCTGAGTACCTCCAAACCTCTGCTGAGAGCACGAAGAAGCAGGAACAACATTTTTCAGAGTGCTTACCCCACATGGTTTCAGATTACAGCCTCAAGCCAGTATCAGTGACTGGAAAGGTATTAAATAAGAAAAGACTATTATTCTCTAAAGGCAGTTGCAGACAGATATATGGGCAAAAGTTGGATGTGAGGTTTGAAGCAGCTTAACATTTGAGCATCTAGAATCAAGCACTTTGGAGTTATGGACTGAGCGAGTCAGTGACAATTCAAGAAACTTTCACTCTTCCAGCCCTTCCAATGCTTATTCCTTCTGTTGAGACACTTCCTACTGAGAGAACACAGAAAGTCTTTTATTTCCCTGACGAACTCATATAGGTTCCAAATGCTGAGACCTAATCCTGGAAGTCCAATATCTAACTGACAGGTGTTTCAGAAATAGCACAGAAAACTGAAGGGAAGAAATTATCAAAAAGTAGAATCTTAGTGCTCAAAAGATACAAATCTTACATGAATAGGGTTCATGTCCAGCATAATGAATTAAAAAGTGAAATAGGCCAGCTGGGTACAGTGGCTCACACCTGTAATCCCAGTACTTTGGGAGGCCAAGTCCAGAGGATCGCTTGAAGCCAAGGGTTTAAGACCAACCTGGGCAACATAGCAAGACCCCTCCCCTACAAAAAACTTCTAAAAATTAGCTGGGTGTGGTGGCACATATATGTAGTCCTAGCTACTTGGGAGGCTGAGGAAGGAAGATAACTTGAGTTCTTCCAGGAGTTCAAGGTTACAGTGAACTATGATCTTGCCACTACACTCCAGCCTGGGTGACAGAGTGAGATCCTGTCTCTAAAAATTTTCTTTTTAATTTGAAAAAGGAAAAACAAATATGTAGGCAACTTTTTGGTATTTTAGAATTTTGAAGACTAAAAGGACATATATTTCAGAGAGGAGAAAAAAGTAACCTACAAGAAGTGCAAATTAACTGGTTCTCACTTCTCATCACCACCATATGATGCTAGAAGATACTGGGAAATGCCTTCAAAGTTAGGGAACGTTTCCACCTAGAATTCTATACCCAGCCAAACTATAAATCAAGACTTAGAGCAGAATATAGACCTTTTCTGGTAGTAAAGACCAAAATTTTAACTTCTGTGCAAAATATTTTAAACAAGGATGAAATTCTACTTCACTTGATAAACTTTCAGCAGAATGCAAGATGATATGTAATCATTTTAATACTATAGATTTATTCTTATGAGTATTAAAAATATGTAGCATAGCAAGCTTCCATAGCTATGTATATTATTTAGAAGAAAAGTATTACATATATTTAGGTATTAAAAATACATAATAGAATAGAGAGTAGGTGACTATGGCAAAATTGTGAAGACAGCACAAGAATGACTGAAATTTGGGAAACACCTTGCTAAAGTAAATGCCTTAAGGTATTATTTATTCCAAATATATCTACATTGGTAAATATATTTATAAATATATTTACAAAAATATTTGTAAAAGAAGGGACTTTCATGTAAAAGAAGGGACTTTAAGGACACTACAGAGCCAAAAGCAGAAACTCATCAACTGCAGCAATACCAGGACAGAGGAGCCCAGAGACTGTGATTTGTTGGCTCACCCATAAAGTTGGCCCAGCTTCCTTGACTTAGACTCATATTCATTGTTCTTCCCACCCCCAATCCCCAGTAGCCTCTGACTATGTTTCCCAGGAAGCCTCTCCCGCAGGGAAGGGAACATGAGGATACACTGAGCTGTGTGTTTGCCTACAAGTTCCACTTCTCATTATAAAGCAGTGTTTAGCAGTCTGACTCATGCATCAATACCTTTATTTTTACTTCCTCCCATTTTCTCTCTTATTCTTTTATCCTGTTGGGTTGTGTCTTTTTGTATAACTAATCTCAAATGTTATTTGGAGTGAGAAAGAGTTTAAACAAATATCACTAATGACCCTAACTTCACTTTCTTGTGAGGTGTGGCAGCCCCTGGACCCTGATTCCCTGTGGGCAACTGGATGCGCTGGAGCTTCTGGTCCTACAGAGCTGGGATTAACCCAGCTCTTTTGATATGTTGCTCAGGGTTCTTGGTTCCACAATCAGACTAACTCAAGCTGTAAGCAGAAAACAAATTTATTGAAAGGAGGTCAAATAGTTTACAAGAGAGCTAAGAATGCTGGTGAATGAGGCCTGGTGTATGGGAAAAAAACACAGGAAGCAAAATAGACCCAAGATGGCATGTGAAGTCTGTTTAAGAGGCTACCATTGGCATTGTCACCATGACCACTAGCTATGATTTCACCAGCCACACCTGACTCTACCCTCCATCAGAGGCACCAACCTTAATCTCTAAAGGTTCACTGGAAATTTGCATTACTCAGTGAAGAATCAAATCCTAGCCAGATGTTCCTAGTGGCCTGAGCTTCCGGGGAAGGAAATGTCTAACCCTTTGGGCTTGGGCTTTCTTTATTGGTATTTCCTGAAATAGGAGGGCAGGGCAGGCAAAATAGTCAAAAGTCCATTTCACTTGGTGACCCTGTGAGGCTCTACCAGAGCAGCCAGCCAACTCATGTCCCTGTTTATTGTCACCTCTTTTTTCTTTTTCTTTTTTTTCTTGAGACACTTGTTGCCCAGACTGGAGTACAGTGGCGCGATCTCGGCTCACTGCAACCTCCATCTCCTGGGTTCGAGCGATTCTCTTGCCTCAGCCTCCCAAATAGCTGGGATTACAGGCACACACCACCATACCCGGCTAATTTTTGTATTTTTAGTAAAGACGGGGTTTCACCATGTTGGTCAGGTGGGTCACAAACTCCTGACCTCAGGTGATCCACCCACCTCGGCCTCCCAAAGTGCTGGGATTACAGGCGTGAGTCACTGCACCCAGCCATCACCTCTTTTTTCTTGTCAAATTTAGCAGTTTGCAAGTCGGGATACTTATGCTACATTAGTTATATTTGTATAATATATATTTTTTACTTATTTCCAAGTCATACTCTAAACATGAGTTTCTCATTTACATTTTTAGAGTCTTTTTATGTGTACTTCTGAATAAACATGCATGAGGCTGAGAAGTCTTTCCTGTTAAATTCTACTGGGACATAAGTTTCACATTACCTATGAGCCTTTTTCATTGAAAAACAAAAATCCTTCCAGAACAAGAGAAGGCTAAAAAAAAAAAATAAGAAGAATAAAAATAAAAAATAAAACAGAGAACCATTTTGAGGATAAGTTCAAAGAGACTGAATGTTCCAATGTAATTAACCACCAACAATGTAAGATGCTTATTTCATGAATTCTTGAAAGAGATCTTAAACTATGATAGCACAGAAATCACTGAATTGCTTAACTCAAGAGTTAAATAGATGTCTCTGGTAAATTGGTACCAAAAAAAAAATCTGTGAGGAAACAAAGACATCCATTTTAGTGGCATGTGAAAGATGATGTAAGTATAAATAAAGAAATATCAACCGTTGGTTGATACTCTTTGCACTAAATTATATTCGTAAGCAAGATTTGTATGTTTTGTTGGATCTGACTTTTCACTACCCTGTTACAATAATATTTCTTTTGTTTGTTTTAGTCTCCTTTACATTTACAGTGTCCTGGAGGGTAGTGGTGTTAAATTTAATTTGTCAACCTACGTTTAATTTTACAAGAATCCAGATCAAACTGCTATATAAACAAGAATTGCCTTGCAGGAACTTCTTAGTGATTAGGCTGGAGAAGTCACAGCTGAACTAAAAAATATGCTGCCAGTAGTACTTTTTCATTTTCCCCCTTATAATTTTAATGGCCCAAATGAAAGAGCCTTTTTTCTTTAACAATAGTATCCTTGTTGAAAGTCCTTTAAAGAACTGTTCTACGACACTGAAACAGTCTAATTAAACCATTAATATAACAATGATGTCAAGAGCTGCTAAATTCAAAGAAGGCATTTCCATTTCATGGTAAATATTGAAGGTAATTTTTTTCTGGCATGTAGCATGAGTCCCAGTTTGGGAACTCTTGTCCATTACACGTTTCCTTGCAGAGAAATATCATTAATCTGTGATACTTACTACAATAGTGTATTATTTGCCTCAACAGAGGTAGTCATTGAAACTGCATATTATCAAGGCAGCTGGCCCATTAAGTTTTTACAAAGGATTAAGGGGTTATATGAGTACCCAACAGCTGCACCAGCTAAGATAAAACAAAGGTTCCCAAATCTTATGCCTATTAGTATATGGAATGAAATGATACATTCTTTATCCATGCAGTAGGATATTCATATTTAAAAAGAAAATTAAATTAGAAATAAAAGCTCATTCATTCAAATGCAAAGCATTGTGCGAACACAAATGAAGAAATGTAGAAAGAAATACAAAACATTTCCCCTTCTCTTGAGAAGCCTACAGAGTCTCAGTAGGCATGATTTAAAAGTTCAAAACATTAAATAAAATTAAAGATTTAAATAAAAGCCTGAGTCACCAAAGAAATTCTGCAAGTTAGTTCATGAATAACTGCTGAACAATACACATGGCTGCAATGCAAGTTTCAGAAGTGAGAACATTTCAGGGCCAGAGGTTAAAGGAGAAAGTTGACGTAATCAAGACCTTAAAGATTGGTCTGAAGTGTGTGTACGAAAGTTGGAAGTAATCTGAGAGATCATCTTCTACCCCAGTGTTTCCTAAACTTACCTGTTAAAAAGACTCACATATGAGAAATCTAAAAATAAAATTCCCCGGGGGCCGGATGCGATGGCTCACACCTGTAATCCCAGCCCTTTGGGAGGTCAAGGCGGGCAGATCTCTTGAGGCCAAGAGCTCAAGATCAGCCTGGGCAACATGGTGAAACCCCACCTCTACTAAAAATACAAAAATTAGCCGGGCATGGTGGTGCATGCCTATAATCCCAGCTACTCAGGAGGCTGAGGCATGAGAATCACTTGAACCTGTGAGGTGTAGGTTGCAGTGAGCCAATATCGCACCACTGCACTCCAGCCTGGGCGACAGAGTGTGAAACTCTGTCTCAAAAAAAAAAAAAAAAAAATTCGCCAGTTCTTTTCTCTGCCCTATTGAACCATATATGCCAGAGAAAGAGCCCCCAAACTGTGTTTTTTAAATGCTGCAGGTAATCATTTTCATCTGGAAGTTCTGGGAAAATTGTTCTAAGCCAACCTGTGATCTCAGCAAATAAAACACTAAACAAATACCAAATATAAAAAAGAAAAAAGCAGAAAGGAGACAATGGGGTGTGTGTGTGTGTGTGTGTGTGTGTGTGTGTGTGTGTGCAGACAGATAGTAACCACCAGGGAGTCCAGCAGGGAGGAAGATTTGCGCAGGAGCCAGGGCCAAAGGGCTATGGCCCAATGCCTTTCACATAATGAACACTCAAGAAATATCTTGCACTGACTCCATTAAAAATGAAGCAAAGAACAAAACGAGCTATAACTTTCAAGCATTTGATGACCTATTTATTACTTATTACCACCTATGTTCTACTCATTTTATAAAACCTCTCCTTAGAAACACAGCCCGTGAATCTTAAAGTCAATTGTGGATTGTGTAGCAAGACAGAGTCAAATCCCTCAGTGCCCAGGAAAAATTTAAATGCCAAGGAGGTAAAGAGACCTATGTTCTACTCATTTTATAAAACCTCTCCTTGGAGACACAGCCCATGAATCTTAAAGTCAATTGTGGATTGGGTAACAAGACAGAGTCAAATCCCTCAGTGCCTAGGAAAAATTTAAATGCCAAGGAGGTAAAGAGATTTTGCTGGGGGGAGGGGGGAGGGATAGCATTAGGAGATATACCTAATGCTAAATGACGAGTTAATGGGTGCAGCACACCAACATGGTACATGTATACATATGTAACAAACCTGCACCTTGTGCACATGTACCCTAAAACTTAAAGTATAATAATAATAAAAATTTTTTAAAAAAGAGAGATTTTGCTGCAATGAGCTAGAAAGTTGAAATTCAAGAAAAGGAGACTCTGAGCTGCATCTCAGAGAATCTATTCAGATGCTTATTAGATTGTGGTAGATTTTGCTAAGGCATGTGATAGAATGAATAGTTCACAAAATGATTTTAAACTGGCTTAGAACACCCTGAAGAAAATTGTTCAAAACTAACTCAAGCCCTGAGCAAACCACAGAAACATAAACTACCATATGGGGGATAATCTCACTGTGGCAGGGTGGAGCAAATGACTTCATGCATTTTTTCACCATCCCCCACCATCAGAGCTCTGGTTCTTAATGCTTCTCTCCGCATTTCTCTAGTCAGTGGAAGTTTCTAAGTGTGTGTGTGTGTGTGTGTGTCTGTGTCTGTGTGTGTGTGTGTGTGCATTTTAAGACACAAATGCCTGTACTCATATCCTACTAAACTCTAAAATTCTATCATTCGCTTTTCTCATAGGCTCTCTACTTTTTTAATGGAATTTGTGAAGTCCCTTAATAACAAGTTGATTTATAAAGCTTAAATAGAAATAATGTTTTCACATTAATATTTTATTACTTGACATTTTAGTACATGTAGTTTAAATGTCAGAATCAGAGTTTACTAAAAACATCAAGTTTTCATTCGCTTATTTTCTAACAAAAATATTCCAAATGCATCTATTTTGCTGTTAGTATATAAATGTCAGAATCAGAGTTTACTAGAAACATCAAGTTTTCATTCGGTTATTTTCTAACAAAAAAATTTCTTTTTTATTATTATTTTATTTTATTTTATTATTATTATACTATAAGTTTTAGGGTACATGTGCACAATGTGCAGGTTAGTTACATATGTATACATGCGCCATGCTGGTGTGCTGCACCCATTAACTCCTCATTTAGCATTAGGTATATCTCCTAATGCTATCCCTCCCCACTGCCCCCACCCCACAACAGTCCCCAGAGTGTGATGTTCCCCCTCCTGTGTCCATGTGTTCTCATTGTTCAATTCCCACCTATGAGTGAGAATATGCGGTGTTTGGTTTTTTGTTCTTGTGATAGTTTACTGAGAATCATGATTTCCAATTTCATCCATGTCCCTACAAAGGACATGAACTCATCATTTTTTTTGGCTGCATAGTATTCCATGGTGTATATGTGCCAAGTTTTCTTAATCCACTCTATCATTGTTGGACATTTGGGTTGGTTCCAAGTCTTTGCTATTGTGAATAGTGCCGCAATAAACGTATGTGTGCATGTGTCTTTATAGCAGCATGATTTATAGTCCTTTGGGTATATACCCAGTAATGGGATGGCTGGGTCAAATGGTATTTCTAGTTCTAGATCCCTGAGGAATCGCCACACTGACTTCCACAATGGTTGAACTAGTTTACAGTCCCACCAACAGTGTAAAAGTGTTCCTATTTCTCCACATCCTCTCCAGCACCTGTTGTTTCCTGACTTTTTAATGATTGCCATTCTAACTGGTGTGAGATGGTATCTCACTGTGGTTTTGATTTGCATGTCTCTGATGGCCAGTGATGGTGAGCATTTTTTCATGTGTTTTTTGGCTGCATAAATGTCTTCTTTTGAGAAGTGTCTGTTCATGTCCTTCGCCCACTTTTTGATGGGGTTGTTTGTTTTTTTCTTGTAAATTTGTTTGAGTTCATTGTAGATTCTGGATATTAGCCCTTTGTCAGATGAGTAGGTTGCGAAAACTTTCTCCCATTTTGTAGGTTGCCTGTTCACTCTGATGGTAGTTTCTTTTGCTGTGCAGAAGCTCTTTAGTTTAATTAGATCCCATTTGTGAATTTTGGCTTTTGTTGCCATTGCTTTTGGTGTTTTAGATATGAAGTCCTTGCCCATGCCTATGTCCTGAATGGTAATGCTTAGGTTTTCTTCTAGGGTGTTTATGGTTTTAGGTCTAACGTTTAAGTCTTTAATCCATCTTGAATTAATTTTTGTATATGGTGTAAGGAAGGGATCCAGTTTCAGCTTTCTACATAGGGCTAGCCAGTTTTCCCAGCACCATTTATTAAATAGGGAATCCTTTCCCCATTGCTTGTTTTTGTCAGGTTTGTCAAAGATCAGATAGTTATAGATATGCAGTGTTATTTCTGAGGGCTCTGTTTTGTGCCATTGATCTATATCTCTGTTTTGGTACCAGTACCATGCTGTTTTGGTTACTGTAGCCTTGTAGTATAGTTTGAAGTCAGGTAGCGTGATGCCTCCAGCTTTGTTCTTTTGGCTTAGGATTGACTTGGCGATGTGGGCTCTTTTTTGGTTCCATATGAAATTTAAAGTAGTTTTTTCCAATTCTGTGAAGAAAGTCATTGGTAGCTTGATGGGGATGGCACTGAATCTATAAATTACCTTGGCCAGTATGTCCATTTTCACGATATTGATTCTTCCTACCCATGAGCATGGAATGTTCTTCCATTTGTTTGTATCCTCTTTTATTTCATTGAGCAGTGGTTTGTAGCTCTCCTTGAAGAGGTCCTTCACATCCCTTGTAAGTTGGATTCCTAGGTATTTTATTCTCTTTGAAGCAATTGTGAATGGGAGTTCACTCATGATTTGGCTCTCTGTTTGTCTGTTATTGGTGTATAAGAATGCTTGTGATTTTTGTACATTGATTTTGTATCCTGAGACTTTGCTGAAGTTGCTTATCAGCTTAAGGAGATTTTGGGCTGAGACAATGGGGTTTTCTAGATATACAATCATGTCATCTGCAAACAGGGACAATTTGACTTCCTCTTTTCCTAATTGAATACCCTTTATTTCCTTCTCCTGCCTAATTGCCCTGGCCAGAACTTCTAACACTATGTTGAATAGGAGTGGTGAGAGAGGGCATCCCTGTCTTGTGCCAGTTTTCAAAGGGAATGCTTCCAGTTTTTGCCCATTCAGTATGATATTGGCTGTGGGTTTGTTATAGATAGCTCTTATTATTTTGAGATACTTCCCATCAATACCTAATTTATTGAGAGTTTTTAGCATGAAGGGTTGTTGAATTTTGTCAAAGGCCTTTTCTGCATCTATTGAGATAATCATGTGGTTTTTGTCTTTGGTTCTGTTTATATGCTGGATTACATTTATTGATTTGCATATATTGAACCAGACTTGCATCCCAGGGATGAAGCCCACTTGATCATGGTGGATAAGCTTTTTGATGTGCTGCTGGATTCGGTTTGCCAGTATTTTATTGAGGATTTTCGCATCAATGTTCATCAAGGATATTGGTCTAAAATTCTCTTTTTTGGTTGTGTCTCTGCCCGGCTTTGGTATCAGGATGATGCTGGCCTCATAAAATGAGTTAGGGAGGATTCCCTCTTTTTCTATTGATTGGAATAGTTTCAGAAGGAATGGTACCAGTTCCTCCTTGTACCTCTGGTAGAATTCAGCTGTGAATCCATCTGGTCCCGGACTCTTTTTGGTTGGTAAGCTATTGATTAGTGCCACAATTTCAGAGCCTGTTATTGGTCTATTCAGAGATTCAACTTCTTCCTGGTTTAGTCTTGGGAGGGTGTATGTGTCGAGGAATTTATCCATTTCTTCTAGATTTTCTAGTTTATTTGCGTAGAGGTGTTTGTAGTATTCTCTGATGGTAGTTTGTATTTCTGTGGGATCGGTGGTGATATCCCCTTTATCATTTTTTATTGCGTCTATTTGATTCTTCTCTCTTTTCTTCTTTATTAGTCTTGCTAGTGGTCTATCAATTTTGTTGATCCTTTCAAAAAACCAGCTCCTGGATTCATTAATTGTTTGAAGGGTTTTTTGTGTCTCTATTTCCTTCAGTTCCGCTCTGATTTTAGTTATTTCTTGCCTTCTGCTAGCTTTTGAATGTGTTTGCTCTTGCTTTTCTAGTTCTTTTAATTGTGATGTTAGGGTGTCAATTTTGGATCTTTCCTGCTTTCTCTTGTGGGCATTTAGTGCTATAAATTTCCCTCTACACACTGCTTTGAATGTGTCCCAGAGATTCTGGTATGTTGTGTCTTTGTTCTCATTGGTTTCAAAGAACATTTTTATTTCTGCCTTCATTTCATTATGTACCCACTAGTCATTCAGGAGCAGGTTGTTCAGTTTCCATGTAGTTGAGTGGTTTTGAGTGAGTTTCTTAATCCTGAGTTCTAGTTTGATTGCGCTGTGGTCTGAGAGACAGTTTGTTATAATTTCTGTTCTTTTACATTTGCTGAGGAGAGCTTTTTACTTCCAACTATGTGGTCAATTTTGGAATAGGTGTGGTGTGGTGCTGAAAAAAATGTATATTCTGTTGATTTGGGGTGGAGAGTTCAGTAGATGTCTATTAGGTCCGCTTGGTGCAGAGCTGAGTTCAATTCCTGGGTATCCTTGTTAACTTTCTGTCTCGTTGATCTGTCTAATGTTGACAGTGGGGTGTTAAAGTCTCCCATTATTATTGTGTGGGAGTCTAAGTCTCTTTGTAGGTCACTCAGGACTTGCTTTATGAATCTGGGTGCTCCTGTATTGGGTGCATATATATTTAGGATAGTTAGCTCTTCTCGTTGAATTGATCCCTTTACCATTATGTAATGGCCTTGTCTCTTTTGATCTTTGTTGGTTTAAAGTCTTTTATCAGAGACTAGGATTGCAACCCCTGCCTTTTTTTGTTTTCCATTTGCTTGGTAGATCTTCCTCCATCCTTTTATTTTGAGCCTATGTGTGTCTCTGCACGTGAGATGGATTTACTGCATACAGCACACTGATGGGTCTTGACTCTTTATCCAATTTGCCAGTCTGTGTCTTTTAATTGGAGCATTTAGTCCATTTACATTTAAAGTTAATATTGTTATGTGTGAATTTGATCCTGTCATTATGATGTTAGCTGGTTATTTTGCTCGTTAGTGGATGCAGTTTCTTCCTAGCCTCGATGGTCTTTACAATTTGGCATGATTTTGCAGTGGCTGGTACCTGTTGTTCCTTTCCATGTTTAGTGCTTCCTTCAGGAGCTCTTTTAGGGCAGGCCTGGTGGTGACAAAATCTCTCAGCATTTGCTTGTCTGTAAAGTATTTTATTTCTCCTTCACTTATGAAGCTTAGTTTGGCTGGATATGAAATTCTGGGTTGAAAATTCTTTTCTTTAAGAATGTTGAATATTGGCCCCCACTCTCTTCTGGCTTGTAGAGTTTCTGGCTAGAGATCCACTGTTAGTCTGATGGGCTTCCCTTTGTGGGTAACCTGACCTTTCTCTCTGGCTGCCCTTAACATTTTTTCCTTCATTTCAACTTTGGTGAATCTGACAATTAAGTGTCTTGGAGTTGCTCTTCTCGAGGAGTATCTTTGTGGAGTTCTCTGTATTTCCTTAATCTGAATGTTGGCCTGCCTTGCTAGACTGGGGAAGTTCTCCTGTATAATATCCTGCAGAGTGTTTTCCAACTTGGTTCCATTCTCCCTGTCACTTTCAGGTACACCAATCAGATGTAGATTTGGTCTTTTCACATAGTCTCATATTTCTGGGAGGCTTTGTTCGTTTCTTTTTATTCTTTTTTCTCTAAACTTCCCTTCTCGCTTCATTTCATTCATTTCATGAATGGAGCTTTCAGCTCCATCAGCTCCTTTAAGCACTTCTCTGTATTGGTTATTCTAGTTACACATTTGTCTAAATTTTTTTCAAAGTTTTCAACTTCTTCGCCTTTGGTTTGAATTTCCTCCTGTAGCTCGGAGTAGTTTGATCGTCTGAAGCCTTCTTCTCTCAACTGGTCAAAGTCATTCTCCATCCAGCTTTGTTCCGTTGCTGGTGAGGAGCTGCGTTCCTCTGGAGGAGGAGAGGCACTCTGCTTTTTAGAGTTTCCAGTTTTTCTGCTCTGTTTTTTCCCCATCTTTGTGGTTTTATCTACTTTTTGTCTTCGATGTTGGTGATGTACAGATGGGTTTTTGGTGTGGATGTCCTTTCTGTTTGTTAGTTTTCCTTCTAACAGACAGGTTAACAGCTGACAACAGGTCTAACAACAGACCTCAGCTGCAGGTCTGTTGGAGTTTGCTAGAAGTCCACTCCAGACACTGTTTGCCTCGGTATCTGCAGCGGTGGCTGCAGAAGAGTGAATTTTCGTGAACCGCGAATGCTGCTGTCTGATCGTTCCTCTGGAAGTTTTGTCTCAGAGGAGTACCCGGCCGTGTGAGGTGTCAGTCTGCCCCTACTGGGGGGTGCCTCCCAGTTAGGCTGCTCAGGGGTCAGGGGCCAGGGACCCACTTGAGGAGGCAGTCTGCCCGTTCTCAGATCTCCAGCTGCGTGCTGGGAGAACCACTGCTCTCTTCAAAGCTGTCAGACAGGGACATTTAACTCTGCAGAGGTTACTGCTGTCTTTTTGTTTGTCTGTGCCCTGCCCCTAGAGGTGGAGCCTATAGAGGCAGGCAGGCCTCCTTGAGCTGTGGTGGGCTCCACCCAGTTCGAGCTTCCCGCCTGCTTTGTTTACCTAAGCAACCCTGGGCAATGGTGGGTGCCCCTCCCCCAGCCTCGCTGCCACCTTGCAGTTTGATCTCAGACTGCTGTGCTAGCAATCAGCAAGACTCTGTGGGCATAGGACCCTCCGAGCCATGTGCGGGATATAATCTCCTGGTGCGCTGTTTTTTAAGCTCGTCGGAAAAGCGCAGTATTAGGGTGGGAGTGACCCGATTTTCCAGGTGCCATCTGTCACCCCTTTCTTTGACTAGGAAAGGGAACTGCCTGGTCCCTTGCACTTCCCGAGTGAGGCAATGCCTCGCCCTGCTTCAGCTGGTGCAGTGTGCGCGCACCCACTGACCTGCGCCCACTGTCTGGCACTCCCTAGTGAGATGAACCCGGTACCTCAGATGGAAATGCAGAAATCACCCATCTTCTGTGTGGCTCACGCTGGGAGCTGCAGACTGGAGCTGTTCCTATTCGGCCATCTTGGCTCGACCACAAAAAAATTTCAAGTGCATCTATTTTGCTGTTAATATAGCTTGAAGAACCCATGGCTTGACATGTTTCATAGGATTGCAGCCATGGGAGGGGTGAGTCATCAACCACGATAAACTCATGAAGATGGTTTTATAAGCTACTAGATGCGGCACAGACAGAGACAACAAGCTATGTTTTGCTAATGGGTCCTATCAATATGGGGCCCAGGCCATCTTTAGCCTATAAGCTTCATCCCAGAAACTAGGAGTCAGTCAGTAGAGTTTACTGTGATATTTTAAGGAAGAAAGGAGAAAAATGACTGCTCTTCAGAGCTGATTAGAGTAAAAATGTAATTATATATGTGCATAAATATCCTAGTGATATATCTTTTTTTTTTTTCAATGATTGTCTTAGTCCACTCAGGCTGTTGTAACAAAATACCATAAACTAGGTAGCTTATGAACAACAGAAACTTATTTCTCACCATTCTGGAGGCTGGAAAGGCCACAATTAAGACACCAGCAGATTTGGTATCAAGTGGGGATCCACTTTCTGGTTCGTAGATGGTGCCTTCTCACTGTGTCCTCACATGGTGGAAGGACAAACTAGCTCTCTGGGGTTTCTTTTGTAAGGGTACCAATCCTATTCATGAGAGTTTCAGCCTTACCCAAAGGCTCCTTCTCCTAATGCTGTCACATTGGTGATTAGGTTTCAATTTATGAATTTTGAGGAGACACCAACATTTAGACCACAACATTGAGATTTTATATATATTTACATGTATATATACACACACACATATGTATGTATGTATATCCCGTGTGTGTGTATGCATGCACAGTGAGGAATATATGTTTAGCATGTAAAGTTACTCTTTGCACCAAATGGTTTCAAGACAGCAAAATAATATAACACCTACTAAAGGCCAGGTAATTGGACATTATCCAAATCAGTCATCATGCAACCCTATAAGGTGGAAATTTTTATCCCCAATTTATAAGTGAGCAAACAAATCTCAGATTAAGTAATTTGTCTAAGGGCACACAGCTTACAAGAGATGACGTCAGATTTTGGATTTGAGTTTCTCTCTTTCCAAATTTTTTATTCTTAATCAATAGGCTATAATTGGGTGACAATCAAGAGTTCGTTGGGAATATTGTTGGTTCATAATAGCAACAATATGCAGTTTGTAGGACAAGAGGCTTTAAGGGCAGAGATCTAAATGTATCTGTCAAACAGAGAAAGCCATGTGAAGTTTCTGTGTCTTCATGCCTCTGTATTGGATTCAGGCTGTAGCCACAATACTTATGCAAAAGCATTTCAGGGGAGACATTGCTAGGCAATCTTCACTTCCACTAGGTCAGAGTTTAATGCACATAATACTTCTTGCCTTCATGTGCATGTTGCTAACCCATATTCCTGACTGATATTCTTTCAGTATGTCCACAATGAATTAAAGTTAAGACCAGAGAGCAATATAAAGTGCTGAGCAAAACTCTTTTGAAATTCACAAACATTGTCCATCAGCAGAAACCATGTTTACATTTTTAAAATTCCTATTTTACCTTACGTGGACTGTAAGATGGAATCCAAAGATCCCTCAAACCAAAACTTAGTTTCAATGCATCTTTGTTGAGATAAAAAAAATTGTCCTACTCCAAAGATACTAAATACAGGTCTCATCAATAACCATAGCTTCCATTTTCTGTCAAAGTCAAATAAAATTTTCTACTATTTTTCAATTAGGAAAAGCAGCATTTCAGATAAAAAACTAGGCTTTTGTAACAAACTAGCAAAGTTGGAGTTCTTTTTATTGAAATTTATGTTTACATGGTTATTAAAAGGTTTGTGTTGGACTGCGGGACTCATCTTACTCTGGCTTCTGGGGAGTGAACTAGAAGGCAGAAAACGTGTTCTGTTTTCTTGCTTCTGCGATGTGTATACAGTTTTTTGTTTGTTTTTTTTTTCCTGAGAGCCACGTGGGACTGGTGAGGCTGAGAAGCAAAATTTGAATCAGAGCTTAGATTAAAAAACTGAAGCAATAATTTTCTCCATTTTCAGTTTTAGTTGTTTTATCTTTTGTGATAAATTGTAGGTGAGAAGTTTGGGAGAGGGGCCAGGATGCTACTTAGTTCATTCATAGCACTGCTTGGAACCTTTAGAACTAAGTCGGCCAGGTGTGGTGGCTCACGCCTGTAATCCCAGCACTATGGGAGGCCGAGGCGGGTGGATCACGAGGTCAGGTGATTGAGACCATCCTGGCCAACATGGTGAAACCCCGTCTCTACTAAAAATACAAAAATTATCTGCGCGTGGTGGTGCGTGCTTGTAGTCCCAGCTACTAGGGAGGCTGAGGAAGGAGAATCACCTGAACCCCGGAGGTGGAGGTTGCAGTGAGCTAAGGTGGCACCACTGCACCCCAGCCTAGCGACAGAGTGAGACTCCATCTCAAAAAAAAAAAAAAAGAAAAAAAAAACTAAACACATTTGAATACTAATCCCAGCTTTGTGATCCTCCTATTCCACCTAGAACTACAGTGTTATTCAATTTTTTTGCTTCTGTCATGAAGATAATTTGAAGCTAATCATCCACAATGGGAAATGAGCAAGTGGTTCCAAAAGCAGAAGTGGGTATGGGTACACATGGGAGTGTATAAAGCTCAAAGTCTCCTTATACACGGCATTGATTCAGAAAGGAACTGACACTGTTGATGAAATTTATCACACAAGATGGGACGTGAACAAATCCTTCATCCTAAAAAGGCAGAAACTCAGAAGAGAATGACTAGGGAGAATGAGTCACTAGCAGCTGTTAAGAATCATAGTTAGATCTCTATTCCTGATTTAACTCTCTGCTTTATCTACCCCAGAGGCCAGTCGTTCTCAAACTTCAGCTGCATTCAGATCACTTCAAGGGCTTGTTAAAACAGGATTGCTGATCTACACACCCAGAATTTCTGATTCAGTACATGTGGGTGGGGCAAGAGAATTTTTAGCTCTAACAAGTTCCCAGGTGATGCTGGTCGGGGATACCACACCATAAGACCCACTGCTTTAGGCAATACCGGTTTCAGAATTGAGCCACAGAGGCCATGACTGGTTTATTTACCTGGAAAACCAGCCCAACATTTTTTTTTAATAGCAGAAAAAGCATACAAATTTATTTAATGTGTATACATAAGAAGAATTACAGAGTAATTACCCCCAGCCTGACATTTCCTTAAAATAGGTGCTTGTATGTTCACCTAAAAGGGGCACTGCTAAAAGAGAGGATGAGGGGTCAGAGGAACACATTTTATCCAAAAAGGGATGCCCCCCCAATCCCATCCGCCACATTCAGCTGAGAACCAGACCAGCGTCTTAGCTATTAGTTCATTGCATGGGTTTTGGTGCCAGACTAGACTTAGATTTGAGATCCAAGTCTACTACCTAAGGTGATAAACTTAAGTCAGTCACTTACTTTTCTAAACTGCAGTACTGGAAGGATAACACAATTGATCTCAGAGGACTGTTGTGAAGTTTAAAGAAGATAATGTTTAGGAAGCTTTAACACAATAGCTCATGTATAGTAAGGCCTCAATAAATGCTAACTATATGTATTATTTAATTATATAACTAGCATTACCATATTATTATTATATAGCCAATATGTGTAATGTTTTGACACTGTCAATAAATTTTGAGGTGTTTATCCCATTTTCAGATATTGGAAACTAAGGCACAGAAGGGTTAAGTACCTTGCCCAAGGGCATCCTAGGGAGCGCTCTGAAGTTATGCCTTGTGATGCCACAATTATCATCATTCTAATCACAGGCCTCTAAGTGTGATCTGATCCAGACCTTCCACCCAGCCCTCCCAAGAACCTGGCCACACTCGTCAGGATTAAAGGAGGAGGTATTATTTCTTCAAGCCCTCCTGGAGTCTCTCTTGGCCTTTTTTGGCTCACATACTGCTGTACGTAGTTTGTGTCTGAAATGGAAAATTTCTGTAACACAATACCCAGCTCTGATCCCCACAGACTCTCAAATAATCTTTCTCTTTTTTTTCTTTTGGTTTGGGTTAAAATATGACTTCATGTGCAAAAAAGAAGCCTCATTTCCCAGCACTCTCAGCAGATTCATAAACATTGCAGACTCAAAGCCCTCTGGTTCCTAAGAGTTCCAAAGAATTAATTCTCCTTTTTTGAAAAAGGAGAGCAATGACTAAGAAGTGAGAAGAGAAATGGAAAGATTAAAACTAGCTGCCTGTTTGGTGCAGGGTATATAGCTCTGAGAGCCCACCCTCTTCTGCACCTGCAAGAATCCTTGCATGTCTCCCAGCACTTCTACAGGCAGCCCCAAGGAAAGGCAGGGAGCCATAGCTGCACTGAGCTTTATGATCCTGCCTGAAAGTGAGTATGTTAGGAAACTGGACAATGCAAATCAAGGATTTTAGGTATTTGATTCATTGACTCCCTAGCATTCTTCTCCCCTGGAGAGTCAACTCTTCACACACTGTTTATGCTGTGTGAACAATACAGTGAATTTCCCTTGAGTGAGTTATTTCTATGACAAGTTACTCTAACATAATAGCGAACTGCAAACTGCACAGGGCTTTGGAGCCCAACTGTTTGACTTTCATTTCCACCTCTACCACTTTCTAGCTGGGTGACCTAGGGCAATTTACTCACACTCTTCATGTTTTAGTTCGCTCATCTGTAAGTGGGACTTGTCATCAACTGTACATTGTGAGATTTTCCTAGGAATAAATTACTTAATAAATTATCAAGTGCTTAGGGCAGTTCCTGATACATAGTAAGCCCCATATGTCTTGCTATTACTATTTATTTTTATTATTATTGTTACTACAACTACTACTCTACTGCAAGGAAAAGAGCAGTGCTATAATCTGAATGTTTGTATCCCCAGAAATTCATGTTTTGAGATCCTAGGTGATGGTATTAGGTTGTAGTATTAGGAGGTGATTCGATCACGAGGACAAAGCCCTTGTGATTAGGATTAGTGCCCTCATAAAAGAGACCCCAGAGCAGGCCAGCCCCTTCTACCACATGATGACACAGTGAGAAGGCACCATTCGTGAACCAGGAAACAGTCCCTCACCAGACACTGAATCTGTTGGTGCCTTGATCTTAGACTTCCCAGTTCCTAGAACTGTGAGGAATGAATTCTGTTTTTTCTAAGCTACCCAGTCTATGATAAATTGTTAAAGCAGCCCGAACAGACGAAGACAAGCAGTTATGGCTATGTTTGCTCAAGAAAATATAATGCCAAAATAGAAAGGAAGCAGTTTGGCCTTCTGGTAATGGTATAACTCTGGATTCAGACAGACCTGCACATGACCTTTGACACCGCTACTCAAGTTGTGTGACCTTTGACAAGCTATGGAACCTCTTTAAATCCACTTTCCCGTTTATAAAATGGAGATAGTAACATTTACCTCATAGGGCTACAGGGAAGATCTGATGAAGTAATGTTTGGGAAGTTCTCAACTGTTGGTCAGCAGCCCAGGAATGGTAGTTATTGTGTGGCAAACTGGTCACATGAACAAAGAAATCCATTAAGTAAGTTTCTCCTAAAAGCACTTACAACCACCCTACTTGATACAACTGACTAAAACAATCCCAACATCTGAGATTCTTACCAAATATACACAGACAGAGTACATGGTAAACTAGCACGGTCCTTTGTATATTTTTCTGTCTCCTGTGTTAAACATGGATTGTTGTTAGGTTGATAAATTGCCTATCACCCCTATTCCCAACCTCCCCTTCTTTATCAGTCACACTTTTGTCCCAGCATATACATGTTGATGTGGTGAGGTTTTGCCAGATTTCATAAAGGGAACTATGATAAAAAAAAATACCCCACTGATCTTCAAGTTTCAATTTTCAGATTATATGAAATTTGTGTGATGAAATAAAGGTTCTTGAGGAATCACAGGTAGGGCACCAGCATCATTCAATTCCAGGGGGCACTGTTTCCATCATACTGTATTAAAGCTAGGCTCCAAGGGCGCCTTTAATGGAGAACACAATAGGATGGTTGCCTCCTGGAGTTGTGCAACAGAATAGCTCTGATCTCAAAGTGCAGGAAACAAGGTCCACTGACACAGACTTGGACTCTAACCTCTCTTCTTTTTGATGAGTCAGACTCTGTCTTCCAAAAGTTAATTTATACTTGCTGAGTGAGAACTTGCTAATACCCAAGCGACATCACCATGAAGAGGAATTGTAGAATCACAGATCTGAGAGTTGAAAGACCAGCACTGGTCATCGGGTCCACCCTCTCCAGTGCCCTAGGGGAACATGCCAGTGCAGTTCCAGTTTGCCTTTGTTAATAGGGCCAAAAAAAGTCTGAGGCTTGGCTTCCAAGGAGTATTAGAGTTCAACAAATTCTCATTCTCAATAGGCAGGCGTGAAACACTCTTAACCCTTGGCTCACTCCACCAGCACATGTGTTTGAAGCCCCTTAGTCTTCACTAACGCACTTTCTAAAGAAGTAGAAGGAAGTTGTGATATCAGCACTGAAGGGTGGTGAGAAAAAAATGGATGGACCCAAACACCAATGGAAGAAGATCATGGAAAGTATTGACTCCAGAACACTAACAAGTGACTGTGCTTTTTCCTTTTATACTTTCCCCTTCTGCCACCCCCACAGGCTTCTTACACAATGTATCATACAGCACTTTAAAGCTGAAAGCCATCCACAAAATTATCTTGTCCTAAGGCACCCAGTTTTCAGATGAGAAAATGAGTCTCAGATGTCAGGCAGTGCAAAGCATCCAGGAAAGATAATCGATCCAAAAATCACTTACATTTTTAGCTGACTTAAAACGGAGAGAGAAATGTATTCAGGTCAGAGCAAGTGGCATTTTTAACTCCATTACATAAATATAGAAGCTAATGCTCAAAATAAAATGGTGATGTAAACTTGGTTCATAAACTTCTCTGCTGGGTTAGACAGTCTATGGTGACATCAGGGCTTGAAGTGAAGATTGGAACTAGGTTATATCCAGAAGTTCCCTGAGAAGGGAGGCTGAGAGGTGAGTGAAAAAATATGTTCCCATTATTTGAAACTTAAGGTGGAAAAGAAGCCAACCTCTAATCAATAATGTAGATTTACTTTAACATTTCATTGTTGCCATTTCTTCTTTTATATGCACACACACACACATACACATACACACATACTGCAAATCAGAAGAATAGAAATCTGAAGTCAAAACACCAGGATTTTTAATTTACTACCTGTGTCATCTTTCTCAGTTTCACATTGTCTTTTCCATAAATTAAAATTTATTATAGTGTCTTTCTTACAGCTTTGTTGTATAGATCAAATAAGATAATGAAGTGTACCTGCTTTGTAAATCATGAAGCAGTAATTTTTAAATACCTTTTTTCAAGAACCTTCTTAAGAATCTGATTAAAGGCCAGGCATGATGTCTTATGCCTGTGATCCCAGCACTTTGGGAGGCCAAGGCAGGTGGATCACTTGAGGCCAGGAGTTCAAGACTAGCCTGGGCAACATGGTAAAACTCCGTCTCTACAACAACAACAAAAAAATTAGCCGGGCATGGTGGTATGCACCTGTAATCCCAGCTACTCAGGAGGCTGAGGCAGAAAAATCGTTTGAACCCAGAAGGCAGAGGTTGCAGTGGAACCCAGGTTATGCCACTGCACTCCATCGTGGGCGACAGAGTGAGACTCTGTCTCAAAAAAAAAAAAAAAAGAATCTGATGAAATCTAAGAAACCTTACCAAAATTTTTACACGTGCATAAAAAGAGTTTTGCATGTAATTTCATAGGGTTTTCAGACATTCTGAAGACACCAATTTAACACCTGCTTGGATAGTGCTTACCAAATGTAGAATATTCCAGCCTGGACAACACAGTATTTTTACAACATGGGATAAATTAAGATGAGTCATTTATTTATTTGATAAACGTTTACTGGACCCTTACTAGGTAGTGCGGGCTGCAGAGGCACTGATATCCTTGTCTTTCAAGAGTTAGCAATCCAGGTTGTGCGCAGTGGCTCATGCCTGTAATCCCAACACTCTGGGAGGCCAAGGCAGGTGAAACACCTGAGATCAGGAGTTCAAGACCAGCCTGGCCAACATAGTGAAACCCCATCTTTACTAAAAATACAAAATTACCAGGTGTGGTGGCACGTGCCTGTAATCCCAGCTACTTGGGAGGCTGAGGCAGGAGAATCGCTGGAACGTGAGACGCAGAGGTTGCAGTGAGCCGAGATTGTGCCATTGCATTCCAGCCTGGGCAACAGAGCCTGACTTCATCTCAAAAAAAAAAAAAAAAAAAAAAAGCAGTCCAAAAACAGTATTAAAGCAAAGGAGTCTCTTTACATGCATTATATCAACTGAGAAAGTCACCTTGCTATGGCATCTGTCCCCAGAGCTCCAGTGTCTGGTTACTCTGTTCAGATGGAGGGTAGTCTGGGTGTCTCTGATTTGAGACAGAGAACCTGCATACAGAAAAGTCAAGGGACTTTTCCAGTGGACTTGGTACACAGAAGGATTTGGGTACAGATGAGCAGAGAGAAGCTGTATTCAACTTTGGCTCCTCATAATCTCCTGTCTTGAACCCTTCATGTCAGTGAAAAGACATCTGTAAACATCTGTCGTTCTTCCACATTTCATTAAGTATGCTTCTTGTAGATTGTTGACACCAAACTAGTGAATCAAATATCTGATGACATAACTTAGAATTGGAAACAGGCATTTTCACTATAAGCAGAAGTTTCTAAAAAATTCCTGCCATGTAGGGTTCAAATCATTTCACCACTTTCTAGCTTTGGGAAGCACACACAAAAAATGTATTTTTATTATCTGAAAATCAGGATGATAATCATGACTTCCACATTTAGCTATGAAATTAAATAATTCCTCTGAAGTACTTAAAACTGTACCTGGCATATAGTGAAAGCTCAATAAATGATGATTATTATAACTGTCATTGTTCTCATTCTCAACAGCTATCTCTTACCCTTGTAGGTATTCTTACCCTTGTAGGAAGCCCATTGGTTTTACTGGCAATGGAAAATATGTTTTGTTGTAGATGCTATTTCCTAAAATATTATGATTTTTTAAATGTGGCTACTAAATTTGTCTATAGAGATGTTAATTTTTGTCTTGACTTAGGTTTGATTTTCCAAGTTCCTGCTTGGGTTGTATATGAATAGGGTTATCTAGAGGAAGCAGGTAGAAATTGTTAAGAGCTGGTAGGATGTGATAAAGGTTGAGATTTGGAAGTTAAATTTGAAAAAACAGAATCAGAGAGAGGGATGATTGATCCTGATTAGGATTGTCTAGAAGAAAATGAAGAAAAGGTGAGAGTTGATAGCCACAAATAGGGGAGTTTCCCCTATTAGAAAGTACCCAGGAAAGCTATTGTTTGCCCTGGCCATTGATATTCAGGCAAACTACCCAATTTCGTTTTAGGTGACTTTGATAGAAACTGGATTGCAAGAAGAAGATAAAATTTCTTCATGAACCAGAATGAGGAAGTGGTGGTATACTCAGAAGAGAACTAAGGGATTCAAACAAAAAATCCTGTTGAGTCCACCTGGATTTGATGGTGGGGTTGCCTACCTATAGTTTGTAACAAATGTTTTTCACGTTTAAGTGAGAATATTATTCTCTGTAAACAGCAGACTACTATTATGATGGGTGTGTAGAGGAGAAAAATGTAAGAGGACAACTGGTGAGAGGTGTAGTGCTAAAACTATGGCCTGCAGAGGAGCTCTTTTCTATTTGCAGACCTAGCCCCAACCCATGAATGAAAACAATAGAAATGATCTGCTATAAGATTTCAGGGAGTTTAGGGGAGCTCCGGAGAGCTGTATGTCCACACATCAGCCAGCCAGTCCGTCCCTCACCCACACCCTCGGATCCTGCCACAAATATTTGAATCACTGCCATAGCAATGTTCATGGACCCATGCCAAACAAAGGTCCATACGACTGCCTGGGATTTAAATGTCTTCCTGTGTAATCTCATCACCCAAGTCCACCCACGTACTTGGAGTTTGCTCTGCCCTGCCAGCTTCTTTTGCATTGTCTAGCTGGACCTACATTCAGAGGTCCTTGGAGACAATGCTTGGATTCATGTCTGGAATGCTTCAGCATACCATTGAACCCACTCCCACTTCATCATTGCCTGGGGAAGAGATTCACAAGTGCCCAAGGAGCCCACTGGTTGCCAATGAGCAATTTCTCGAGCCTTTAATTATGGGCCAATGAAAACAATGCCTTTAGTGAACTGCTGCCTCCCTTTCACCTCTGACCCATGGTCAGACACGTGACTGTGAGTGTTGCCAGATGGAAATTGTTAGTGAAGAACCACATTTAACAGAACTTTTATTTATCAACTGAGAGCAGCACTCATCAGTTATCCTGTGGGCTTGAGCTGTGTTTAATATATAAGTAACCTCAATATTGTATGGGCAACACTATGGGTTTGGATGAGGATTGGCCTATGAAAGAAGAATTTGTCCCCTCCAAGTTCCCTTATCAAGCACTAGGAGCATGAAGAGTATGGAAAAACCAGTCCAAATTATTAGGTAATAATGTTCTGGGAGGCAGCCCAAAGTCCAAGTAAATATTCTCACTTGTGTCCAAACCCTTGCTTGGCAGCTCTGTCAGACACTGTCTTTTCCCCATATTCTACCATCCTAGAGAGTAAAAGACAAACTCTTACCTCAAAAACCCCTGCCAACCAAGTATTCATTATCTGTCTTTCCCTCATCTGAACAGTTTGTAGCTCAGATCAGGTGTTTGTTGGAGTCTGATTACTCTATTTTCAAATAATACAGCATACGACTACAGTGCTGATAGCAAGTTTAAGAAGGTTCAACCTAAGGGAAGAGTGATGTTAGGGAACTGGAGTTCCTCAATTCCAACATTTTCCAGGTCTAAAAGTGCACTTTGTAGAAAAAACAAGTGCTTACATTCTTAGCTGTCTGGATGTGCAATATTATCTACAACCTACAGCCTTAGAAACTTTTCCTTTGAACTCGTGTTTCGTTCCATCTCTAAACTGTATGATCTTTAGCTGCTCTATTCAGTAAGTATTTGGGCAGATGGATGCAAATTGATGAAACACATATGTTTAAGACAGAGATTAAGAATGCTGCTGGGTTAAATATATCTGTGTAGTGATTTCCATAAGTATCTTAGCTGTTCAGACAACATAGATAAATTAACCCATAGAATCCATTGTTGAATTTTAGTTACTTTACTTTTTAGCGTCTCAGATAATTTTACCAAATTTATGTCACTTTCCAGTATTTCTGTAAAATATTTTAGAGAAAAAGCAGGATCTTCAATTCATTAATGGAAAACTGATGTAATGAGAAAAACAGGCCAGAGCCACACAGCTGAGAGTCATTGGTTGCATCTAGAAGCCCATGTTTCCCTTGTAGAAGGTGCTTCCTCTGGGAAGGGTGCTTATTACGTCATCAATGTATTTTTTCCAGATACCAGGCTCTTTTTTGGGATATGGGAACTCAGCCTGGGGAAACATTTACTATCCCTAAGCAAGTACTTAGATCTTTGTAAGAAAGCTCATTATTTTTTTTCTCCTACTTTTCTGATGTGTGTATTTCCCTTTCCTTAGAGACTACCAATTAGTAAGATTGCAAATTTAGTTTGGCATCTAATTTATTTGTTACTATTTTTAATGCAAATGTTAAGTGGGCTAGCCTCTGAGAATCTGTGATTTTTATGCTGTTGTTCCCCAGACACAACAATTCTCTTGTCTAAGTTAGTGCAACACCTACACAAACACAAAATATGCCAGGTTATAAGACTACAGACACGCACTTGGGAAAATGCTGTGTAGTGTATAAATTACCATAACTTGTGTTATTATAGGAATCTGTGAGAGAATTCATATCACTTTACCCATTTCATAAATGGAAAAACTTACTCAGAGATATGAAATGACTTCTCCAATATTACACAGTTCCCACCTCACAGAGGTAGAACTGGTCACCAAAAGTAAAAATCTTACTTCTCAGTTGAAGATTTTGCCAGGATATGCCGTAAGACTCTTCTTAGAAGATGAGCAAAGGGAGACAAGAATAAAAATCCTAGTCCCAGAGGGCTGGTCAAGGATCTGACCACCTGCAGAGAAGAATGACCCCAGAACTAAACAGTGATTGGTACGAAGCCAGTCAGCTGTAGCAAAGCAGCCAGGATGAGGCAGCTTGAGGAGAGATGTGGAGCCCAGCCGCCTCATGGCATGCAGGGGTTTCTCCCAAGGCTCTGCACACACCATTGTGCAGCTGCCCCTTTCTTTAATGTTAGTTCTCATGAAAGTTCCAGTGCAGATGAAACTGTCAGCATCTCAGCAATCATGGGTTTTGAGAAAGAAGAAGCGGTGCCTAGCTAAATGTATTTGTTTTCTAGGGCTGCCATTACAAAGTACCACAAATGGGTGGCTTACACAACATAATTTCGATTTCAAAATGTCAGCAGCGTTGGCTCCTTCTGAGGGCTGTTTGGGAGAATCTCTTCTATGCCTGTCTTAGCTTCTGGTGGTTTTCTGTTACACTTTGGCTTTCCTTGTCTTGTAAATGCATCACCCCATCACTGCCTTCATCTTTTTTTTTTTTCTTTGAGACAGAGTCTTGCTCACTTGCCCAGGCTGGAGTGCAGTGGTGCCATCTCGGTTCACTGCAACCTCCCCTTCCTGGGTTCAAGTGATTCTCGTGCCTCAGCCTCCTGACTACAGGTGTGTGCCACCACGCCCAGCTAATTTTTTGTATTTTTAGTAGAGATGGGGTTTCACCACGTGGGCCAGACTGGTCTCGAACTCCTGGCCTCAAGTAGTCCGCCTGCCTCAGCCTCCCAAAGTTCTGGGATACAGGCATGAGCCACTGCACCTGGCCACTGCCTTCATCTTTATATGGCATTCTTCTGACATACACATATGTGCCTGTGTCCAAATTTCTCCTTTGTGTAAGGATGCCAGTTATACTGGATTAGAGTCTACCCTCATGACTTTAACTTGATCACCTGCAAAGACCCTGTTCCCAAAAAAGATCACATTCACAGGTACTGGAGGTTAGGACTTCAACATCTTTTGGGGGGACACAATTCACCCAACACAAAAGAGTAAATGTTTCTTCTTAAATGGAATCTCCTAATTCAAAAATAGTCATTCTTCACATGCTTATTTTAGTGTTACTTACCTCAAAACATAAGGATTAACTGTCTTTTTTATAAAGTTCAATTTTTTCTTGTTAGGTTTTTAAATTTTTTTATATTTTGACAAATAACCCTTTGAATTTGGTATAAAATACCTTCTGCTCCTCAAAAAAAAGACTAATGCTGCATTGAAATGGAAGGCTGCAATCATTATGAGAATTTATTACTCCTTCTTACTTGAACTGTGAACTTTCATTCACATCACTGAGAACAAATTATATACTTAAAATGGCTCAAAACCTATTGTCTTTTTCTTACTGTTACTATTTTTCCAGAGGAGACCCTGTTCAGAGGAAGTTATTTTCCAATGTGCCCTTGGAAAAGTTCTACAAGTAGTATTTTCAAAAGGACTTAATTTAATAATTCTATTTTTTAAATAAATTATATTTAGACTATATTAACAGAAAGATTTTTAAAGTGGGGTTGGGGAGAAGGGAAGGAGTAAAAAGAAGGAAAAGAAGAGGAAGAAGGCTAAACCTATGAAGGGGAGTAACCATATAAATGACTAAGGCTACAGGTTTTTGTTTGGTTTAACCCCAAAGCTGGAGGGCTTTTTAAAGCTCTCTCCACTCTCTGGTCCCTGAACTCAGAAATGCCTAGATCAGCCCTGCCTGGCTAGATTCTGGGAATAACATTTTTCTTGTAGAGGAAATTGTACCAGGGACCTAGCCAAGTCTAAATTATCTTTTTGGGTTTGCATTGGCATTTTTCTTGGTTCAAATTCACAAGTAAAGGTTGCCGCAAGAGAATATCCAGGGTCGTTTTCTTTACCGAAGGGCTTAGCTATACCTATAGAGCTTATCTGTTTGCCTTGACTGTCCATGGACCTCAGGGAAAGACATGATTTCATAAACACCTCATAGAGCCCATCCCTGCACACTTTTTTTAACAGGCCCCACAGGCCTGCACCCCTGAAGGAGGGTTGGTGTGTATGAGGAATGCAATTTGGATTTTCTTCACAGAGACGTGAGAATTCCTAAGTTGAGGCCAACAACTCCTCACCTATCCATTTCCACTCATGTGCAAATCATATATTTCTGATTCTCAGCACTCCTTTCTTGAGTTTAAGTATAGAAGCAAACAACTTCAGTAAACAGATAGGTAAGAAGTTTTATGCTCTAAGGATTGAAATTGTAAAGGTCTAAGAACCAGTCCTTATTGAAACAGACAAACAGGAATCTCAGTGCTCTGATAGCATCGCTCGAAGTGCAGTCTGAGAACCACTTTTAGCAGAATTATCAGAAAAGCGTATTCATTAAAGTTAACAAGGTTTCCCAGGCTCTGCTCCAAACCTGGAGCAGAAGTTCTTGGAGTGAGAACTCATGAATCTCATTTTTAACCATTTCCCAGGTGCCTTCAATTCACATTAAAGTATGAGAGCTATTGCATGACCCAAATGTATGAGAAGACAGCCAAGGGTTGTGAATATGGATCCCAACATAGGCTTGAGGGGGTCCCTTAAAGACTAATAAAATCGGTGATTTGTCACACAAGCTTTAGAGAAAGGTGAATTTTAGATAGGGTTTTTCCTGACTTCTGATAGCTGTAGCAAAATATGTTTCCACGATCTTATGCTCTCTCAAGCACTTTGCATTCATCCCTGACTTTGAGTTACCCAGATCTATTTACCTGAATTTCTCCTGAGACAGAGACAACGACTTCGTATCTTTCTGCCTTGATATATCCCTTGACTGGCAGAGTGCCTGTATGAGTAGGCACTTAATAAACTTTTGTTGATTAAATAAATAAACATAGCTGCTTTACTCATCAGGAACTTAGCAAGAAAAGAGTTTATGCTTATTCTCAGTAAACTATTATGATGTACTATAACATAGGTTTAATATGAGGCCAGGTCTTATTGGATCTTTATTTCTAATATCTCAAAACATTAGTTTCTTCTCAAATACTACCATGTCACTTCTTGTGTTGAAAACTTATTTATGCACTCTCTTCCCACCACTTACTGGGAAAGCTGCCGTAACAGCAGGTACCAGGAAAAAGCCAAACTGGCCTAAATAAAGAGAAATTTTCAAATGACATTTAGTTCATCTGTATTCAGTATTAAGGTTTCTTCTTCACTTAGCTGAGCTCTATAAACACCTGTCAGTGGCACTATGAGATACAGCCTTTAGAATATTGCTGCTTCATTCACACAGTGGACTGTAGGGAGGAGAAAGCCAGTGCCAGGGAGGGCTCCTTAGTTATTGAGACCTCACCTTCCCACCTCTGTTGTGTGCTCTTGGGAGCTCTAGGTAGGGGTCTCACTCAAGTAAGGCTGTGAGAGGTATCTGGGTGATGGATGTGCTTCAGGAATGCATTTCACAGCAGATGTTTTTCCAGACTTGCTGTTAGGGTGCAGTTTCCTCCTTCAGGGAGGGTTTAGTGGCTCAGGAAATTAATAAAGTCAGACAGAAAAAAAATTGATCAAAGTCCTGGTGCTAATGTATGCTCTATCTCCTGGAAGTTAATGGAGATCAGACAGCAAAATGCTAGGGATGCGAGCCCCGAGTGGCTTGGCGCATCTGCATTTAGAAGCACTGGCTGAAGAAGCATCACTGCTAGAAATGTAAGACATGCAGAGTCCTGGGAAAGGGCACCACTGGGGCTTGGAGTGGTTTTCATGGTTTTTTTCTGTTTTCATCTTTCAAAGGGAAAAATTGCTGAAATAAAGCTGACTTGAAATCATTTCAGGCATGTGTGTATCCTGACTAGCACATTCTTTGTCATGTTAACTTCTTTTGATTTCAAAGAACACTGTCAATTTACTAGGCCCCAAATTCGTGGTGTTTTTAATTTAAACAGAGGGTTGCCAAACCTATCCCTAAGAGAAATATTTTCATGATCCAGCTCTTTTGTCAACTCCACAGCTCGGGTGTGGTTTCATTCCCCAGTTCAGCATCCCTCTGTGCTGTTGAGAAACCCAAGACAATGTCGGGGAAACATGAAAATACTCTCGATGGATTGGATTCTGCCTGAATCTCATCAGAAGGATGTGCCATAAGGAGTGAGTTGGAGAAACAAGGGAACCGAATTAAGATTTATATTTAATAGCACAATGTGTGGTATAAAGAAAATATGAGAGTCTTATAAGAATTCCTAATAATGAGATAATAATCATAGCTATCAATCAGTGAACAGGGGAGTCAATTGCAGAGCACTTCTCTTGTGGCTCTACAGATATCTCATGTCATCCTCCAAACAACCTTATGAGTAGATACTATCATCATCACCATCATTTATACATGGAACCAAAGAGCAGAGAGATCAAAAAGAGATGACTCGGACTATCATTTTGCTAGATGCAGGGTTGGTCCACACCCTTAGAAAACAAACATCGAGAACCCAGGTCTAATCTATTCAGTTGAGATTACTTCCCCCACCGATTAAACAGATGAGTAGTCATGGAAGAAAATCACATAGAAGAGCATGTAGATGATACTTTAGAAAAACTGGTTAGTCAAGAAGTAAGAGTGGGAGGATGCAGAGCACGTATGCTGCAGGTGTGATGCTAAATTTGATATAGCCCAAAGCATTCTTCTAGCAGAAAGGGTGTTCAGGAAGGGGTTTGGAAGTAATTACACAATAATCAATTCAGATTTTTGGTCATCCTTCCTAGACCTTTTCCTAATTGTTCCATTTTGTAATGTCATTCGAGTCATGTGCATAGAATCTGGTTTGTTCTGAAGGTTAAATATAAAAGAAACTAGAATACTCAGGAAATGTAATTATAAAACTAGAGATAAAATTTTGGCTTAAAGTTTGACCCAGAGAATAATTATTTTAGATATGCGTTCCCCTAGTGAATAAAGTAGGAGAATGTTTACATTTTTCTACAATTGAACACCTGGGAACCCATTGATATCTTACTGCTAAATTAGTGAGAGCTCAGAATTTGCACTGAGTTTATGGAAATGGGCATTTCTTTCTAAAATAAGTTTTAAAAGTATGCTTCATTGCTTTGCTATAAAACTGGCCCTGAAGTGTTCTGACAGCTGCTGGTGAAAGCTTTGGAACGTATTTAGCTCTTTTTCAGAGATATTGACCTCCTCACAGCAATTCCAAAGGCAAGAGATTCTTAAGCATAGTGGGACAATACAGAGCAAGCTTCTGGGCTGATGCTTATGAATAACTAGACTGAGAGCCCCTCATAACTGCTATTTAGGAAGGCAGTCATGTAAGAATCAGTCTTATTCAAATGTGGACCTTTAGAGGAATTACCTATAGGATTAGAGTATAAGTGGATCTGAGAAATAATCCCCTTTATCGTATAAACTCTCCTTGAGTCCCATTCCACATCTCTTTGTCAATCAAGTGGCACTAGGGGAAGGAAAGGGGATAGAAAGAGAAGATAGAAAAGCAAAATCTCTTTCTTTAGGACTGTGTATAGGGTGACATTTTAATATAAGAAATTCCCTTTCTATTAATGTAACCTATTTTCAAAGTATTTATAATTTATGGGATTTGATATCTATTTTAAATCAAATATTAATTTACTAACTGAGTGCACGTTCCTACATTGCACCTCTCACTCCAGACTAATACAGTTGGAATCTCCCTGCAGCATCCTGGAAAGTTTAGCTTCCTGAGGGCAAATCTTTTCCTGCCTAGATACTAAATCAACTACATCATATTCTAGAAAACTGGAAAATGTGAAGGAAGGGATTTGTAATAACTCATACACCTAGATGTAGAACTCCAAGAATCTAGGCCTGCATAAGAGTGCCAAGGAGTTACAGTTCCCCCTTGATGTTTCATATAAACTTCACCTTCCCTTTGTCATCAGGTAATTCAATAACGTGTACTTCCTTTAGATTTGGCAATCAGTCCTAAAACCAGTGGTATTTATTATGCTTTCTCCCTTCCAATCTTTCTCAGGTAGAGAAGATAGAAATACATTCTGTCCAAAGATGCTTAAGCTGAAGACACTTAAGTATATTTCCAAGGAAATAGAAAATAGATTCTTATCTCTAAGGAGCTTACAGTCAAGCCAAGAAAATTTGGAAAGTGTGTACGGTGAAGGGGCCAAAGAAATAAAGGCCACCAATCAGCATAAAAAAGAGAAGCCAGAAAGCTGAGAGCCAGTTACAGGCAATGACACAGGAGGCCCAGACAGAAGGGCTTTGATGAGGAGGCAGCATCATTTGCTGCAGGAAGTTCTAAGAAAATGAGTCTTCTACAAAGAAAGTGATTCTTACTAGAAAAAAAAATAACTAGGAATCAAGGCATCTTCTCAAGGACCAAGCAAAATATATTTTTTTCTCTCAAAATGTCAAAACAGATTACTAGTTTTTACTAATGAAACAGGTATCTATCTCCATTACACAACAGTAATAGGAGTTAATTATTAACATTGACCCAGTATGATCTTCTAAATAAGGATTATGCTTCTTTCTCCTATTTTCTTTCTTTTTTTCTCATAAGATAATCCAAAATACCACATAATATAATTTGAAGTTAATATTCAGCTCTAAAATTTAGGCTCAGAATTTATGGTATTTCTTTTTATCTTATTTTCTAACAAAGGGATATTTAGTACAGCATCTTAAATCAGACCAGTCCACTCTCAAATGTGAATATTTTTAGAAGAGCAAAAAGACTAAAGGCACTTTGGTTCCACATAACAAAACAGCTCTTTCATTCTGTGTTCATCTTTATGTGATTTCTTTCTGTTATGTGCCACATTTTTTTTCTTCCAAAAGATACTCACTTGTGGTAACCCCATATGCATCATATTTGCAACTTGTTGTTTGATGCCATCTGTTTAATACAATAAAAAAGAATTAGCAGTCCTATCACATGAGCTGAATTTCATCTGATTCCTCTTCAAAGAAATAGGAGGCACTATTCTAATGGGCAAAAATAATGAGTGCTAAATCCTTCAACTAGTTTTAGATGTAAAACACCTGTTTTACCCCAGTATAGATGTTACATATTCTTCTACATCATTACCCTCCCTTTTTTTTAAGCTAAACGGACTGGCTTCTGGCAAATCCAGACCATTTAACAAACTCCAGCAGATATGTTTTATAAGCGTAGGAGCTGACTATATTGTGGAGAGCTCCGGATTTACATTTCATCGCACAATCAACCTACTGCCCCTTGGGCACTCATACAACCTCTCTGTAGGTCTTCATTTTGAAAATAGGGATACTGTTATGGGTTATGTTTCCCCAAATTCATGTGTAGAGTCATAACCACCAAGACGTCAGAATGTGACCTTATTTGGAGGTAGGTCTTTACAAAGGTAATCAAGTTAACATGAGGTCATTGGGTAGGTCTCCTCTACTATGATTTATGTCCTTATCATAGGGAAATGTGGACACAAGCACATGAAGAGAACACCATGTGAACATAAAGATGGCCATCTACGAGCCAAGGAGAGAAGCATGGAATGGATGCTTCCCTCATAGCCTTCAGAAGAAACCAACTTTGCCAACACCTTGATTTCAGACTTCTAGCCTCCAAAACTGTGAGACAATAAATTTCTGTTGTTTAAGCCACCCAGTGTGTAGTATTTTGTTATGGGAGCCCTAGCAAACTAACAAGATGCATTATGAATCCCCCGCATTAGGCTGCATTAAGGATTGCAAAAATATGTAAAATGTTCAACCCACCCTCAGAGCCGTAACTGCCCTTTCTAGAAAAATGTACTTGACCATAGTTTTAGTGAACTTGGAAGGCAACTCGTGCTCTCATGTAAAATGTGCTTCAACTCTCATTACAGAGTCCATAGCCTTAGAGTATCTTGCTCAGAACATCTCTACTTTCTACCCAGGGCTCAAGTCAGGACAATTTGGTCCCAAGAAACCACAGTGAAATGTGAATCCCTAAAAAAAACATGGCAAGTGTTGTGTGGATATACATCAACAGAAACTGAAACTGAGGGATCACACTTTCTCCCCAGTTCTCTTCTGTCATCTAATCCACTCTCTTCCACCTAAAATTTTCCTTTGCTCACACAGAGTTCCTTACTGATTCCCTTTAGCATCTATGTGGTTCATTAGGCCACTCAGGCAGCCTTTCTTTGGCTACTTTCTCAATAGTGGCTCTCAAAATTTTAGCAGCATCAGAATCACCTGGAGGGTATGTAAAACTCAGGTTTCTGGGCCCTACCTTCGGAGTTTCTGACTCGGTAGGTCTGGAGAAAAAACTAACAAGTTCCCATGTGATGTTGATGCTGCTGGTCCAGGGACCACCTTTAAGAAGCACTGTTCTATAGTATGACATTTCTGCTTCAGTTTTCATGGATTACTTATTATAACCTTTCAGGTTCCCAAAATCTATATATTTTTTTCTTTTTCAACTTTTATTATAGAATCTGGGGTACATGTGCAGGTTTGTTGCAAGGATATATTGTGTGATACTGAGATTTGGGGTATGATTGAACCTGTCACCCAGGTACTAAGCGTAGTACCCAATAGATAGTTTTTCAGCCCTTGCCCCCCTCCTCCCTCTAGTAGTCCCCAGTATCTATTGCTCCCATCTTTATGTCCATGTGTACCCAATGTTGAGCTCTCACTTGTGGGAACATAACTGTATTTAGTTTTCTGTTTCTGCATTCTGTTTCTCCTGTTCTCTTAGGATAATGGCCTCCAGCTGTATCCATGTTGCTGCAAAAGGCATAATTTCATTCTTTTTTATGGCTGCATAGTATATTCCATGGTGTATATGTACTACATTTTCTTTTTAGCCTGGGCACCCACAGTGGATTGGGCACTGGGCCCTTGATGGGCACCTGGGTTCATTCCACATTTTTGCTCTTGTGAATGGCGTTAAGATGAACATACAGGTGCATATGTTCTTGTGGCAGAATGCAAAAATCTATACTCTTAAGAGGACTCTGACCTCCATCCTCTTTTTGCCTTTGCTACACAGGTCTCTGGCCATCCTCTATATGGAAATACTTAGGGTAAGTAGTCAATCAGCCATGGCCAATGAAGGGTTGGGTCATACACCCAACACTTGGCTATTTATCACCCCACACATTCAGATTTTTAGGAAGAGGAGAGTCGAGGACTCTGACATGTGTCTATTCACAAAATGTGAGCCAAACATTCATTTACAAGTCAATTATTTGTCACAGTAAGTTCTCAGATGTTCACTTCATTCTGTACATTATTAGAAAGGCTAAAGTATAGCTCTTCTGTGGTTTGGAATGCCCCCACCAAAACTCATGCTGGAATTTAATTGCCATTGCAACCACATTGAGAGGTGACCTTAAAGAGAAGGTTCGGCAATAAAAGTGAAGCTGTTATTGCAGGAGGGGATTTGCTAACGCAGGAGTGGGCTCCTGATTTAAAAGAAGAAGAAGAAAAGAAGAAGAAGAAGAAGAAGAAGAGGAAGAGGAAGAGGAAGAGGAAGAGGAAGAAGAAGAAGAAGAAGAAGAAGAAGAAGAAGAAGAAGAAGAAGAAGAAGAAGAAGAAGAAGAAGAAGAAGAAGAAGAAGAAGAAGAAAAAGATTAGTTCGGCCCAACTTTCTGTTTCACATGCCTTGCTTTCTTTTCCATTATGAAATAACACAGCAATAAGACCCTCACTGGTGCCAGTGCCATGCTCTTAGACTTCTCAGCCTCCAGAACCATGAGCCAAAATAAATCTGTTTTCTTTATAAATGTTGGAGCCTGTGGTATTCCATTATAGCGACAGAAACCTGCTAAGACTAAGACAGCATCTCAGAACCATATGAGTTTTATGCTAATAGAAAAGCACATTTAGAATTCTAATTCATGTCATCTGGAACTCTCATATCAGAGATTATTCAGGTAAAATTATGATGGGTTATGGCAGACTTGCAGCTTTGATGTCCCCGTGGATAGACCCAAATGCATCAATAGCAGCAGAAGGAAAGACAGGATCTTATAACAGATGTTGATAGGTGTTTTCATATGTGAGTGCATTAACTGAATGTTTACAAAGGACTATCTGTGTGTCTTCACAAGTAGATTGCCTGTTCCTCTATAGCACACTGAATCTTGATTTTCCCCCAAATCAAGCATAGAGCTATACATATAGTAGATGATTAATAAATATTTAATCAACAAGTGAATGATCGTCATCCATTATGTTTGTGTAGTTACTTAGAATGTTTTCTTTTGCATTATCTTCCTCAACATTAAAATGTATGGAGTTTTCTCTAAAGTCATTTTTTAGCTTTTATATTTCAAGTTGACCTCATTATGGGCCAGTCATGGAGTGATGTCATAATCAAGAAAAACTAAATGCCTTAAAATTTTAAAAACATAACTTCTTTACTTATGTCTGATGAACTCTATTGACCATAGTGACTATTTCTTTAAAATCTCCTTATCTCTCTCCACCTGCTTTCCTTATGCTCTGGAGCTGCTCCCAAGCCTATTTTTAAACTCTTGAGAAAAGTTTTCCCTCAGCTCTAATCCACATGTCTCCCATCCTTCTTTATCCCTCTCCCTTTTCCCCAAATCCTGTATTACATTCTGTATCCACAGCCCTCCTGAGTCAGGATTGCCAGGAAAGCTTGAACTACTCATGTAATGCTCCAATACCAATACCAAACTTAATTTGGGGGCTTTTTATCAGCATCTCCCCAATAACAATGACTTCATCACAATAGCCTTATTCCTCCAGGATTCTTTGTTCTACCTTCTAAATAATTGTGTCAAGTTACAATTAATTTCTCCTTTGTGGATATCCACAACAAGAACAGGCTCACATAGATAACAGAAATGATCATTAGTTTTTCAAATATGATTTCATTTAAAAGCAAGAATTTTCTTCCGCCTTCTGCTATGCAGATGCATTCCTTTCTCCCCACACTCTCAACTCTCAAATTCTTAAGCATAGTAAGTACAGTTTGGGGGAAAGGTGTTTTTTAATCTAGAAAAGAATCCGGAGAACTTTGCAAGATTTTCTCAAGTGGTTCCTATACTCCCTTTAGTGCAGATTAAATACAGTCCTCTAAATGATGAGATGGCAGCTGTAAACAGAAGCAGTATTGCCGTGGCACAAAACTACCTCAGTCATAGGGCCAGAATGCAACCTGCCTATTTTGAATTTGGTCAAGCAAGGAAAGAATGCCTTATCTCTATTTCCCTCAGGCCAAGCTCTGTTTACTTATGTACTGTCTCAGGAATATGACAGGATCCAAGGCCAGGGTCAAGATATGGAGATAGGATGTAATAGAGAAAGACTAAGTGTGAAGCTAAACTTCATTATTTGCATCCAAATGATAAAAATAATAGTAGAATCTAGAGATGGGTAATGACTGCCCTTAAAATTGGTAGCAAATGTTCAGGTTTTTACTGGGAACAACCTTAGTTATACATGGAACTTCCTATTCTCAGTCCAATGGCCACTCTTGAAAAGGACATTACGTTCCTGGCAATTAAGTCAAACCTTAAGCTAGTCTCATAGTTCAGTGCTCTCAGTTCCAAAATATAAAGCGAGGATAGTAAAAAAGGAGAGATGCTCTGGCCTACCATGAGCCCCTCAAAATTACCACTCTTTGAGCTCAAAAGCTCAAGCTTGAGCTTTTACACTCAATCAATTTGTTAAGTTTTTGTTCTTACTATTCCCTCGGTCCAGAATGCTCTCTACTCTCCCCATAAGCTTGGCAAATTCTTTCTTCTCTGTTTTGGTTTCAGTTTAAACATCACTTATGCCAGAGATCCTTCCCTGGCCCTTCCTATTCCCCTTTAAACTGGGTGAGACTCCTGCTAGAGCTTCTTTCTGTAGTACCAAGTACTGACCCCACTGGGTACTTATCAGGCACAGCTTAGGAATTGTCTGTCTTTCTTCTTAACAATAAATTCCATGAAGGCAACAACCCTCTCTACTTTTCTCATCATTTTGAACAAGTGCTTAGCACATATGAGGTGATAAATAGAGCTTTATTTTTGTTCTCAGGCTATTCAGAGAGAAAAAAGTTTTGAAATATTTTTAGACATAGTGTCTTCTTTTTTAGGATTCTCTATATATACATTTTATATTATTGCATAGCTTGAATTAGTCTTGCATACTAACCTTATATCACATATAATTTTGTCCTACTTCCAGTTTTTCCTTTTTCTTCTTAGTTCCTATCTGTTTTCCCCTCCTCTGTCCCCAGCTGCTATTCCAGGACAGCACTTTCTAAAATTCCATAGTTCTCTGTGCTTCAAAATTTTGAGAATTCTTGCTCAACATGACTATTTCTAGAAACTGCTTGCAGCAGTTCCAAAGTCCATGGCTTCAGCATCAAGGTCATGGGAAAATCTTTACTGTTCAGAGAGAGATTTCTAGAGCCCTCCAGTGAATATGTACAAATCTTCTACGGGGCAATAGCAGAAGAGCCAACACGTGATAACCTTTGCTTATAATATTCTTTCTGAAATGGGTAGCCTCAACTGGCAATTTACATCTAAAATATCCACTTTGTTTTAGAATTAAGCTCTATTTATCTTAGTAGTGGCACGTTCTTTAAAATAAAAGAATTATTTTTCAAGACTGAGGCTTGGAGAAAAAAATAAAATAAAATAATTGAAAAAACACTACTAGGGAAAAAGAGAAACATGAGCAAGGTAAAGAAATTAAAACAAGACAAAACAAAAACTCATCACCTTTAAATGTGTTCAAATCTCCAGGTCCAGATTATTCAGAACAAACTTGCAGATCAATGAGGGAGCAAGCACCCAGGGAGAGAAACAGGTTGAAGATAAACATTAATAACTATAAAGGTACTTGTATTCCCGAGACAGAAAATTGACCTTCTAATTTAGAGATTGATCAGCTTGCTGTTGATCACTAGCAAAATTCTAGGATAAATATTAAAAGCCAATTTGTGAACATTTGGGCCAGAAAAATCTTGCCTTAATCCCAAAGGAGTTTTTTAAGATCAAGTTATGCCAAACTTGAAACACTACATCAGATGAATATCAAAGAGAAATTCAATTACAGTAAGGCTCTTGACAAAGTTTGTTATCTTTAAGAACCAGATGGTAAACTGAGGGCTACATAAAAATACAGTTGGGTGAATTCAGAGTCAATTGAATAAGTATATTAAGGGCAATTGTTTAGAGGATCCATGTCCTTTGAGAGGAATTCTCTCTCCGGAATGATCACCCTGCCTGGTGTCACTGATGATGATTTAGATGATATTTTCAGAACTGCCAAATAACCAAACTGGGAGGGAAAATACGTTGGTTAATAGGATCAGATCAAGATTGAGAAATATTCTAACAGGCAATAAATATCAGAGCCGAGAATTCCACAAATGCATGATTAAGGACATATGTCCGAACAGGAATTTCTCTTAATAAAGTATTATATAGGTTGACTTACAAAAATCAGGAAACACAAACAAGCAAACAGAAAAAACTGTAAATGTGATAGTCATTAGGACTGTCTGCAAAAATTGTTCTTCTGAGCTCATTGGAAGCTTGCATTTCTTTGTTCCTTTGAAGTGAGGCATGAGATTTTCTTTGAACAACAAAATACCAGAAGTGTCATGCAGTGTGTGCAAGTTGCCTCATCCTTTTTTCCTGCCTCAGTGGTAGTGGAAGCTTCTGGAGCCATCTGTCTGTGTCTGTGAGTGGGTGTGATCAGTAGGCCCCTCTCTCATAAACCGTGCTGATAAGCAGCATAAGCAAGAACTAATTTTTGATTGTGTTTAGTCACTGGGATTTGGGGATTATTTGTTCAGTATAATCCAACCTATTCTGAGTGATGAAACTAGTATTTCAGAACATAAAGATAAGAAAAAGTGTGTTTGTGCTGTGTTAATTCCAAGACTTTTAGCACACATATGCAATATACACATAAATTATAAAAATGTCATGTATATTGTAACATACTTGTTTACTTCATTATATTGTGAAGTAAGTATATTTCTAAATCAGTTTTTTAACTAAATAATAGTAATGGTCCATTACTTGAACATGTCATACCTAACCAATTCCCTATTGTAAAAACTTTATTTTTTCTATTTTGATATTATAAGTAGTGCTATGATAAGACTCTTTGCACACATTTTTAATATTTCACTTAGAATAAATTAGGAAAAGTGATATTTTTGAGAACAAATTAATTGCTTTCTTAAGCTTTGATCATATATTTCCAAATTATACTAAATAAGTAATAAAAATGTATAGTTCCATCAGCTGTGTGTGAGAAAATCTGTTTTTCCAAGTATTTGTCTGCATAGAATATTGGCTATTAATTTCATTTTTAGCAGTTTAATTTTGCCAGCAACTTTGGCATCTAGCTTGTTTGAACATTTCATCACATGTTTGTGAGCCATTTTATTTCTTCATTTGTGACTCACTTATTCATGCTCTTTATTCATTGTTCTACTGATATTAGTCTATTTCAGTTGATTCTCAAGGGCTCTTGAGATATTAAGTCTGTTAACCCCTACATGTATTTTGCAAGCATATTTCTGTTTTCTGTTTATTTTTTGATATTTTTATTATTCTTCCACTTTGGAGCTTTAAATTTTAGTTGGCAAAATATAGCAGTCTGTCTTATGTGACTTATATCCTTGAAGGATACATTTGGAATTCTCAAATCTCCAAGTAAAATTAGCATTTTCAAATATAATATTTTCCTCTAGTTCTTTATTTTGTTTTTACACATACATTTTTAATCCATCTAGAATTTATTTCTGAATATTAAATATGACAGGATTCTTCCCCTCCCACCCAAAAATACCTAGTGTTTTTAACTAATCTTAAACTCAACAAGAAGCATTAGAGAGGCAAACACACACATTAATGCAATCTTAAACTTCTTTAACAAAATCTAGGACACACCAAGAAGGAAGTCATAATTCTACTACTCTTCATCTGTTAGACCACTTCTAAAATTCAATTAGGACATTGATAAATAGGAGGATAGTCAGAGAAGGGCAACCAGAATGGTGGTGGTTCAGGAAACCATATCTTTTGAAGAAGAATTCAAAAAATGTTTTGCTCGGGAAGAGATTTATATTGACATGAAAATTGTATTCATAATTAGGAAGGATTGGCATGAAAATGTGGTAGATTCATTCTGTGTAGTTCTAGATATTGGCATTTGGCACATTAAAATTTATAGCAAATCTTACTTAAATAAAAGGAAGAATTTTATATTCAAAAATGAGGTACAGTTATCCCTCAGTATCTATGGAGGATTGGTTCTAGGACCTCTCATGGATACCAAAATCCACAGATGCTCAAGTCTCTGATATAAAATGGCATAGTATTTGCACTGGACCTATGGACATTCTCTTTTAAATCATCCCTAGATTACTTCTAATACCTAATACACTGTAAATGCAATGTAAATAGTCGTTATGCTGTATCGTTTAAGGATAATGACAAGAAAAAAAGTCAATACGTGCTTAGCACAGATGCAGTTTTTTTCCCCAAATATTTTTCATTCATGGTTGGTTGAATCCATTGATGCAGAACCCACAGATACAGAGGACTGACTATACTGACATCCTACTGCTGTAGGAATTCAAACAATTACTAAATGCCATTCAAGTTTGTACAGGAGATCCTTGCTTGGGTTGGGATGTTAAACTGATGACCTCTAAGGCCTCTTCCAAAGTCTAAGATTTTATGATTCTGGATTGTTTGACCTAGCTGAAGAAAATGACCTAGTAAATAACTATTGTTACTTTCAAAAATTTAAGTCTGAGTTCTGAAAAAGGCTTAAAGTGGGAGGATAAGACAGAGCATCGGCAACTTAGGGGATTGGCAGACAAGCCCAGGCCCTCCCACCCAATGATAAGCAGTAGAATCTTAGGCAGATCACTTATCTCACCCGGGCTACAGTTTGTCATTCTAAAATGAGAGAGTTGAACTAAAATATCATTACCAGATGATCTAAGAGTCCCCTCAAAGCCTAAGATCCTATAATTCTATGTTTAATAAATAGGTATAATAAATGACATAGTCAGGTTTTCAAATAGAAACTCCTATGCCTATTTTAATAAACTCTGGCTGTCTCAGTGACTTGTCCTATTGAGAGCCTCAGATGCAAAAACCAGAGGTTAAATCCAAGGTTCACACATTTGTCATTCATCAAAAAAAAAGTTTAAGAACTTATTTTGCATGGGGCGCAATGCTAGGTACTATTGATTCAAGGGCAATTAAAGTGAAGACTGTTGTACTGTCAAAGATCTCACAGTTTAGTGGTGATGACAGCCTAGTAGACCAACAATTATGCTACTACATAACAATTGTGTTGGATGTCTTTAACTGCCATAGTGTCAGAGACTGACAGCCTACTTGGCCTTTAGATATCTCAAATATACCCCAAGAGACTCTAGCTTATAATTTCTATCCTCATGCTTTTGCGTTACTGAAGGTGAATGTGTTCCCTGTTTAAAAAGTTTAATAATTTGCCATTTGGGAGTATTTACTGTGTGCTCTATAGCATGCTATTTAATCAGAATTTCTTTAGAGAACAGTTAACTTTAAATCAAATGGAACTTATAAGTGAGATATTCTCCTTTATCTTTGGATATTTTTTTGCACTTGGGTTTCAAATGCTGAAAATGAATGTTCTCTCCATCATAACATTCACAGACCCTTTTCCTGACTTTTCATGGTGTGTGACTGTGGCCTGACACTTGCTACAGATGAGAACCCTTTCAAGCTAGAATTGGAGGGCTCAATCTACTTCTACCATTTTCAAAGACATGGTTGGTAGCTTGGGCTACTCTAGGCTTTCTCTTCTGTGTTCTCTGGGGCTCTGCTTCTGACCTGCCTTTTTCCTCTTTTTCCTTCTGGTCCACTTCACCTCAAAGAGGACACATGGGAGATAGGGGAGGCATTCCACAGCCACGGCCAAGAAGAAAGGACCACCCCGGGGTCGAGTCTCTGGCAGCGTACCCAATCTATTCTGGGGTGAATCCAACCTGATTGCATGTTTCTCTAAAATAGATCACCAAGTTGAAGATACACCAATTTTTTTCTACAGTTTTTAAATAAACTTAGACTTTGTAGTCCGCCAAAATAAACATTAGAGAATAAAGCAGTAAATTTTTCAGTAAATATATTAGAAATAGAGGGTAAGAAATCCTCCAGTCTGGCAAAGACTGGAATGGGAGCATGAATTGGAAACAGGTCAAGACTCCTGGCCATAAATAGTCTTCTCACTTTAACCAAGATGTTTGTCTCATGCATTCTGACCCAAGAAGGTTACTAGTTTCCAGGAGGAGAATTGGTGGGACTTTTCAGCCCTAAATGTGCTTAAAGGACAAAGGAAGGAAACTCAGTCACAGAAACGAGTGGATGGAAAAAACCATTATGCTATTTTTTTTTTAATGTCATTTCAAAGCAGTAATTTGGATAGATGTCATGTTGTTTCCTATGAATGCCATGGGGTTATATCTGGATGACTACCTTCCTATGACCAAAAACTAAGAGTGACATAGTGATAAATTCACCCAGGTCAGAAGTAGAGTCTGGGACTTTTGTGTGTCAGTCTGCTATTTAACACCAAGGCCTTTGTCCTCTAAAGGTAGAAAAGTCCAAGAGGAGAAAGCATGTGTCAATATTATTTTAAATGACATTAATTTGATATTCCCTAAATGAAAAGAAGATCTTTATAAAGACCCTTTGTCTCTTCTCCTGTTTACTTCTCCCATCTATCTACCTTTTATTCTTTCTCTCTAAAAAGAGCCTAAGATGATGCAGTAAGATTGAAATAGCTAAACCTACCACACAGGGATGCTTTAAAGCAAGCTTGTCCAACCTGAAGCCTGCAAGCCTCATGAGGCCCAGGACAGCTTTGAAAGCAGCCCAACACAATTCATAAACTTTCTTAAAACATTAGGAGATTTGTTTTGCAATTTTTTTTCAGCTCATCAGCTATCGTTAGTGTTAGTGTATTTTATGTGTGGCCCAAGACAATTCTTCTTCTTCCAATATGGCCTAGGGAAGACAAAAGATTACACACCCCTGCTTTAAAGAGTAAAAGAATAACTTACGGGAAAGCACCTATCAGACACATAGTAGGTGCTCAGTAAAGGAATAGCTCCATTTTCTTTCCTTGTTGGCAGAGGAAAAACATTGCAAGATCGTGGGTAGAGAAATGAAACGATGAGCGCTATATTATGTTCTTCTCCCTGTTGGAATCATATTGGTGAGAAAGGAATGCCAGGTTCACACATCAAATCCCTGAGTTTTACTTTTCCCAATCGTCACTGCAGGTATTTTTATCAAGGCGATGGAAAAAACAGTGCTCCCCACTCCTGGTCAATCAAAGAGGTCTCTGCTAAACAACAAATTATGCCTGTTGCTCAAGGTTCTATCAGATGCCTGGCATCAGATTAGGAGTTCCTTTGAAGAAAAGACTATAGACTCCAATAGAACTCCTTATTAGTCTGCTTTCTGAGAAGGTGTAATAATATGCTCTCTATGGGAACTACGTAGTCATTTGTTCAACCAACAATTAAGGAGGCACCACTCATAGTTGGTTACATAATTGGCAGATATCTTCCAGTCAGGATTATTTTAGAGGCCATAAAGAACAAAATGGTTTTGCTATAAGTACATTCTCCGTTTAAAAAAAGAAGAAAGATTTAACTGCTCTGACATATATACATGGGAAGCCATGTACTATAGTGAATGAGAGTGCAGATTTTGGATTCAAATGGTTCTCAGTTCAAATTTCTTTATTAATTTTGTGGACTTTGGAAAGTTATTTGACTTTTCTGAAATGCCATTTTCTCACCTGTAAAATAGCAATGGTAATAGCTTACTTTGCAGAGTTGTTCAGAATTACATGAGATAATAATATATATTATGTGCTTAGTTCATATGGTGTCTAACCCTATAAACAGCGACCAACAAATAGCAGTTACCGCCGTGCCAAAATTGGACAAGCTATCATCACCGGGGCTATGTGCCCTGAGTATTTTTGTTTGGCCCTTGTCTTTAGCCAACTGAGCAATACAAAACTGAGTTCCTGAGAAATCTTGGAAACAATGATTCTTTGGTTCTCACCACCCCCATATTGTGAAATCCATGATCTTCACATGGCAGATTCTATCCAACCAAAGCCCCTTCAGAATTTTGGAATGGAATTCTCATACCACAGCCAGTGCTATCATGACTCCATGGGCGTGAGGAGCCTGACTGGGGGCAGGGCGTTCAAATTGCCCTTGGATCTTATCAGCACCTCAGAAATGTTACAGCTAGTCAGCTACTAGGAAGTGGAGGCCTAGCCTCTTAATTTTGTTCCTGCTTAGAAATAGGCATACTCTGGGTTTTCATAACCCTGAAAATCTCATAGCATAGCCCTGAATATTCAGCTTCCCTTATTAGAAATAAAGACCACTCTCCATTTAGAGACTGGCCAAGAAAGAGACTCCTGCTGTTGTAGTAATATGGTTGCCCTTTGACCCCAGGAAGTTCATTGTGTCTCCTTTCTGACCACAAAAGTTTACTCCAACTCCTCAGGTAAATGTCTCTTCTCTGATAAGGTACCAAGCTCCAAAGATCTTGAAAGGTTTAATATATACCTTCCAGAACTTTTCATCCACACAACTAGTAGTCTCTTCATACTCTCTTCACAGCACTTGAGGCATTAGGAGTTGCTCAGTAGGTTGCTGAATTATTGCAACTCAGGAGCCAGACTATGACAGTGAACTGACATGTGTTTGTGGCCACCTAAGCACTGTGTTTTGACAAAGGAAAAGAACCTTTCGCAGATGCAAGAGAGACTTCTGTTTGATGAGGTGAGCGCAGTGCAAGGGAAGCTGCCTCTTTAGGATACTCTGGACGTAAAATGACATAAAATGAAGACAATCATAACAGAACAGCCTCCAACCTAAACAGTGTTCTGGTGCAATAGAATTTACTTTTCACTTTTAAAACTTTTTTAAAAATACATGATTATTGTAGACAAATATAGTAATATAGAGAAGTAAATTAAAAAATTAAACATTTTCAAGAAAACCACCAATATCTAGTATTAATGATATAAAATGTATCCTCCTAGTCTCTTTTTAATGTATGTATTCATTTTATAAAAATGGTGCCATGGTAAGCATTCTGATATGTAATCTGCTTTTCCCCTAGTACACTGTGAACCTTTTCCATAAATATTTCTCTGTAATATTATCTTCCCTAACTTTTGGTAATGTTTTATTATTGTGTCACAATGATTTAACCAGCTATGAATTATCAATATTTAGATAGCTTCCAGATTTTCAGAATTATAAAAATAGTTTGATGAGTTACACTGTAGGTGAATGTTTGTTCTTAACCAATATTCTTTTGTTATAATAAATTTCTATATATGGTATCTGCTGGGTGAAAGGCTATGTGCAAGACTGTGTTCACACGCCCTGCTATGAACTTTCCTATACAGGACCCCTGTGAGCAGATGCAATGGTTTGCTTCCTGTGAGTGGACTTTCTGGGTCTTAGGTAAATGACAAGATGATTCTGTTTTCCCATTTCAGTCCCAGTTTACACTTTCTTATCCAAGGACTCACAGGACTAACTCATTGTTAGTGCCCCCATTTTATTCTCAAAAGTATCTTTGTTGAGGCAGCATTGTATAGGCAATTTGTCACGGGGTAGATAAATGCTTACCTTTAAGAGATAATGCAAAACTGTTTTCCAGAGTTGTTGTACCAACTCAATCTCCCTGGTAGTGTATAAGCAATGCTGTGGATCTGTTGTCAGACTTTTTTGCTTTTAATGAAATGGTTATAAAATGCTATTTTATAGCCACATGTTAAATATACTTTATCTTTTTTTTACATTCTAAATTTCGTCAGTGATACATTATAATTGTACATATTTATGGGGTACATGTGATATTTTGATACATGCATACTATGTGTAATGATCAAATCAGGGTAATTAGGATATCCATTGCTTCAAAGATTTGTCATTTCTTTGTGTTGGGAACATTTGAAATCTTCTTTTCTAGCTACTTTGAAATATCCAATAAGTTATTGTTAACTATAGTCACCCTACTGTGTTCTCAAACACTAGAACTTATTCTTTCTATCTAACTATATTTTTGTACCCATTAACCATAACCTCTTCATCCCTTCCATCCCCTAACCAGCCTTCCCAGCCTCTGGTAACCATCATTCTCCTCTCTACTTCCATGAGATCAACTTTTTTAGCTTTCACATATGAGTAAAAACATACAATGTTTGTCTATATGCTCTACTAATGACTTTTATACTTTTACATGTTTTCATGATGTTGATTACTGTCTTTTTGCTTCCAGATGCAGGACTCCCTTCAGTATTTCTTGTAAGACCAGTCTAGTGGTGACAAATATCTTCAGTTTTTGCTTGCTTTGGAAATACTTTATTTCTCCCTCATTTCTGAAAGAATCATTTTATAATTCTGATATGTATATATATCCTTTCTTATATAAAAGAGAAAGCATGAGATAATGAATATGAGATTCACATTAGCTCAGATAGGAGGGAGGCATAGGGATGAAATGTGGAGAACTTACAATTAGCTATCAGTTATCATCAAGATCTGAGCACCAGGCATGGTGGCTCATGTCTTTAATCCCAGCACTTTGGGAGGCCAAGGTGGAAGAATCGCTTGAGCCCAGAAGTTCAAGACCAGCCTGGGCAACATAAGGAGACCTCCATCCCTACAAAAAATTTTAAAATTCGCCAAGTGTAGTGGCACACATCTGTGTTCCTAACTACTCAGGAGGCTGAGGTGGAAGGATCATTTGAGCCCAGGAATTTGAAGCTTTAGTGAGCCCTGATCACGCCACTACACTCCATCCGGGGTGACCAAACAAGACCCTGTCTCAAATTAAAAAAACAAAAACAAAAAGAAAAACTAAATAAACAAAAAGATATGAACATTCACTTTGGTTGGTATTTTCTAAGGATTTATCAGAAACAAATAAGCAAACAAATGCATGCCATGGGTATGTACTGAACCAAGATTATGATTAATTTATTTCTGTGTACAAGAAATCCAATGAAAAGAAGGAAGGATGTGAATATTTGAAGGTTATTTATAGCTGAGGGTAGGGAGACACAAGCACCCCTGTGGCCACCAACACTGGGACTACACTGATTCAGACCCAAAGCTAGCACAGCACTGGGTCTTACCCAAGGCCCATGGCGACCACTGCCTAGGATGTTCCCTCAAAGCCCAAGGGCTCTACAGTCAGCAGGTGCCAAATCCAGCCAGGCTTGTGGTCTTGCCTTCAGGGGGCAAGCTTCCCCCACCCAACCCAGGGCAGGTCCAGAATTGCTGTCTTTGAGCAAGGGCCCAGGATCAGGAACTTTAGGAATCTACCTGGCGCTCTATTCTACTGTGGCTAAGCTGGCTCCAAAGCCACAAGACAGTCATTCCTACTCTTCCCTCCCCTTTCCTCAAGCAGGGGAGACTCTTCCCATGGCCACCACTGCCCCAGGCTTGCAGAAAATACTGCTTGGCTACTACTGATGTTCACTTAAGGCCCAAGAGCTCCTCAGTCAGCTTATGGTGAACACTGTTAGATCTGGGTCTCTCCCTTCAGGGCAGTGGACTCCCCTCTGGTCCAGGGAGCCAAGGCCTGGAATTAGGAACCCTAAGAGCCCACTTGGTGCTCTACCCCACTGTGGCCGAGCTGATAACCAAGTGCAAGACAAAGCTCCCTTTACACTCTGCTCTCCTTTTTCCAAGCAGAAAGAGTCCCTCCCCATAGCCGCCACAGCTGGGAATGTGCTGGGTCTCACCTGAAGTCAGCATGGGACTAGGTCTCATCCAATGCCTGCAGCAAATACTGCCTGGCTACCACTGATGTTTATTCTAGGTCCAAGGACTCTTTGGTCAGCAGGTGATGAATCCTTCCGGAACTGGATTCTTCCCTCTAGGCAGTGGGCTCCCTTCTGTCCCAGGGTTTGTCTAGAAATGTCATCTGGGAGCTAGAACCTGGAATGGGGGCCTCAGGACTCTGCCTGGTGCTCTAACCTACTGTGGCTCAGCTGGTATCCAAGTTTCAAGATAAAGTCCTCTTTAGTCTCCCCTATCCTTCCTCAAGCAGAAGAAAGGAATCAGAGCTGAGAGCCGTGCTGCCTGGAGTTGGGGGAGGGGTAACTCAAGCACTACCTTGTCATCCCAGCTGGTGTCTCACTAGGTTGTGTGTACCCCAAGTCTACTGGCAAGTACAGCACTGGGACTTGCCAAGGAATTGCAGTCCTTGTGGCCTAGACTGCCTTTCAAGTTTATTTAGGACCCCAGACCACTTTAGTCCAGAGTGGCGATGCTTTCCAGAACCCAGTCGCTGGGATGCATGATTCCCCTCTGACTAGGGCTGGTCTAAATGCTCCCTCCATGGACACTTGCCGATTTCTGCCCTGCTTTACTTTCCACCGTGAAAGGCAGCACTGAGTTCCAATGCAAAGTCCCGCAGTCACTGCACCCTCTCTCCCCCAACATGCAGATTCTTTCTCTGGGCCATGTGGCTGCCGCTGCGGAATAGAGGAGGGGTGGTGTTGGCAATTCAAGACAGTCTTTCCTATCTTCTTCAGTGCCTCTTTCAGTGATATGAAGTTAAAACCATGTACTGTGATCACTCACCTGATTTTGGGGTCTTATAGATGCTTTCTTTTGTGGATAGTTGTTCAAATTTGGTGTTCCTACAGTGGGGACAATTGCTGGAGGGTGCTATTTGGCCATCTTGCTTCCTGAAGATTATTTGTAGATACCACTAGATCTGCCCTCAAGAAAGGTTAAACAATTCATATTGTCACAAAAATGTATAAGAGTATGGATTTCACTGTGTCCTAAATTGCTTTATAAGGCTAAAGTGATTGGATTGGATCCACCTGGGCCATGATACACACCTGAGCTGTGGAACTTCAGTCCCTGATACATGAATGGTAAGGCATTTGATCAACCCTTGCCATTCTCATCTTTGCTTGAGGCCTGCTCACTTTGGTGTGGTATTGGAGCTAGCATGCAAAGCAGGGCCTACAGCATGTAGCTGAGGGGTGGAACCATCTGGAATGCCTCTGCCACTGTTGTCTTTAATGGCTTTCAGATGTGAAGAGGATCACATGCTCTCCAGCTGTTTTTATGTTCACTCCAGGAGCATTGTCTCAAAATTTCCAAAATATTCTAAAATCGGGGGTATAGCTCAGTGGTTGAGCATTTGACTGCAAAATATTCTCAAATCTACCAGTTCTGCACCACTATCATCATGAGTGGTAACAACTAATGTCTAGTTTTTGTTTAAGGTGCCATAATTAAAAGGTATGTAAATGAAAGAAGTTCCTCAACCCTCAGAGTTGCACTTCTTTATTTTAAGAAATCAGATAGGTATTCTTAGGTCTCCACCCTTCAGTCATGGGAAACTGCATTTCAGTAATGTTTAAGAGCTCCTTTTCCTCCCAAAAATGATACAAGAGTGGAGATGGCCAAGGAGAGGATGTACCCTAACTGGAAATTTCAGTCGTCACCAAAGTGCACATTGTCCAAGACCTATGGTCCATTTGAATGCAGTTGCTTCTGTTCTCTCTGTGGTAAGCCTGAGCTGAGGATCTTTCATTAAGAGTCTCCACACAGTCCTTCACAATGCTGCCTCCATCAACAATCTTGCCATCTCCAGTGAGTCACATGGGAGCAGAACTAGGTCCCTACAATATTTATTTGAAAGTAAGTAGGCTTTTGATAAATAATCTCACTTCCATACATCTTGAAGTCTTGGGAAATCCCACTCTCTTTCCCACCCACACTGCCTCCTTTAATCCTTGGAGCTCCTCCTCCTTTTGGATAATCATTCAACATGCCTCAGTTTACCTAGTTTTCATAAGTAAAGACCTGGGTAGGTTTTTTTTGGTTTTTGTTTTTGAGACGGAGTCTTGCTCCGTCACCCAGGCTGGAGTGCAATGATGTGATCTAGGCTCACTGCAACCTCCGCTTCCCGGGATCAAGCGATTTTCCTGCCTCAGCCTCCCCAGCAGTTGGGATTATAGGTGTGTGCACCACCCCACCCATCTAATTTTTGTTTTGTTTGTTTATTTGTTTTGAGTCTCACTCTGTTGCCCAGGCTGGAGTGCAGTGGCGCGATCTCGGCTGACTGCAACCTCCGCCCTCTGAGTTCAAGCGACTCTCCTGCCTCAGCCTCCTGAGTAGCTGGGATTACAGGCGCCCGCCACCACGCCCGGGCTAATTTTGTGTATTTTTAGTAGAAACGAGGTTTCACCATGTCAGCCAGCCTGGTCTCGAACTCCTGACCTCAGGTGTCTGCCTGACTCGGCTTCCCAAAGTGCTGGGATTACAGGCATGAGCCACCACATCCAGCCAAGACCTGTTTTCTTTAGAGGGAGAGAGGAATAGAAAAACGCCTTTTCATTTTTACTAGATGTAGTGAAGACAAAGTAAATGAAACCTAAAAAGAAACAAACAAAATACCAGAAGTGTTAAGACACTGTCTTGTTGATTCTGCCCTCAAAATATGGCCAAAATCTCTCCACTTTTCTCCAGCTCCTTTGCTGTTACCTAGTTCAAGCTGCTATCATCCTGATGTTATCCCTTTCCTAATTCTGGTAATTCTCTATATCTCCTTAAACCAATCTCTGAATCCCCATTTGTTCGCTTCTAACAGATTCTCCACAGAATAGCCAGTAGGAGATTTTATTTTATTTTTTATTGTTTTTGAGACAGACTCTCACTCTGTTGTCCATGCTGAAGTGCAGTGGCATGATCTTGGCTCACTGCAACTTCTGCCTCCTGGATTCAAGCGATTTTTGTGCCTCAGTCACCTGAGTAGCTGGGATTACAGGCATGCATCTGGCTAATTTTTGGTATTTTTAGCTGAGACAGGGTCTTGCCATGTTAGCCAGGCAGTTCTAAAACTCCTGACCCGCCTTGACCCCGCAAAGGGCTGGGATTACAAGCATGAGCCACTGTGCCTGGCCCAAGAGGGAGATTTTAAAAACACAAATCAGATTGTGTAACATCCTCAAATAGTAAGATATACAATAATAAAATGTAAAATTCTTATCAAGATTTACAAGGCCTATAAGCCTTCTAGTGTTATTCCCTATTGCTCTTCTCTAGGTTATTGACATGACTGGTTTTGTTTGTTTTTAAACTTCCTCTAACCCTTTTCTAGCTCAGGATTAGTCTACCCTTTTACCTAAAATCTTCTTTTCCTGCCTACCTTCTGGTCATGCCTCATGTCTTAGCTAAATGTGATCTCCTCAAAGAAGGCTTTCATTGATTACATAATCTAAATGAGTGACCCTGCTTTAGTTTCTCATTATATTTACTGTCATTCTTAGCATTGCCACAATATGTCATTATCTATGTGTTGACGTGATTATTGACTCAATATCTGTTTCCCCCACTGACCACATATCACCAGTGCCTAATGAATAGCAGATGCTAAAGAAATTAACAAATGAAAAAGAAAGATGTGGAACTTTGAATGGTTTAAGTTCTATTTAGGCAGACACACACACACACATACACACACAGAGAGTAGTTATTGTGGGTTATAGACCATCTCACTTTCCTAATTCTTATCTCAGACACTGAATAACTAGAGGCCCAGCCATTGCCACAGAATTTTTCCTTCATATTCTTGTTGACTGCCTTACTTGAAAGCAATTCAATCCATGTGTAAGGATTCCGTAAGACAGTCTGTCATGAGACAAAGGCAAAAATCCCTTGGTTCTATTTTTGCTACCATCTGTGTCTTTTTAAACTCCTCCTATATGTGGAACTTTTTCATTGCTTTGTTTGACTTCTGTAAATCTGCTAAATATGTTTACAAGCAACTTTCACAACCCTTCTCCACCATCACTCCCACTTTGATGTCCTACCATTTTAGAACTGGATAGATATTTAAGATGCTCTTAACTTTGCAGAAAACAGAACAACCAAGCCTCAGAGAAATGAAGTGATTTGCCGAAAGCTACGCAATTGTGATTACTCAATTGTAGAGAAATAGGGTAGGGTGCAGTGGTTTGCGACTGTAATCACAGCCCTGTGGGAAGCCACTGTGGAAGGATCGCTTGAGCCCATGAGTTTGAGGCCAGCCTTGGCGATATAGTGAGACACCCATCTCTATAAAAACATAAGAACATTAGCTAAGTGTAATGGTGCATGCTAGTAGTCCCAGCTACCTGGGAGGCTGAGGTGGGAAGATCCTTTAAGCTCAGGAGGTTGAGGCTGCAGTGAGCCAAAATCATGCCACTGCACTCCATCCTGGGTGACACAGTGAGACCCTATCTCAAAAAATTAAAATTTGAAAAATTTGAAAAACAATTGTAGAGGAATAGAAAACAAGGTGAACTTCTAAGACCTTGGCCTTTATAATTTACTCCCAAATTTTCTATCTTAAAAAAAGAAGAAGAAAAAGAATCAGGGAACATTCTAAATCTGAGAGTGCTCTAATTTTTCAAAAGATGTTTAAAAAGTCAATTTTTACCATCATTCTAAAGAAAGCAAGGAAATAAGACCTAAAAATATTTAAAACTCAAATCATCTGTATAGGAGAATTTTGGTATGTTCTAGGCTTCCTTGTGTTTACTTTTCATACTGCTTTCTGTAATCAAGTAAGATTAAGTGAAAATTACCTGGGCCACAAAACTGCAATGAAATTATTAAAGCATTTATTTAAAATATTTTCAGTCAGGTGCAGTGTATCATACCTGTAATCCCAACACTTTGGGAGGCTGAGGCAGGAGGATCACTTGAGCCCAGGAGGCCAAGGCTGCAGTGAGCTATGATCATGCCACTGTCCTCAAGGCTGGGTGACAGGGCCGGAGCCTGTCTCTAATAAAAATAAAATAAAATAAAATAAAATAAAATGTTATTTTATCTTTAATCTGAACAATTCTAGGATCTGGCATCTTTGATGTTTCCAATACAATCAATTTCAAAATATATGCTGAATTTCTACTATGCAAAGGAGTGTTGTTTAGACCTCATATGAGGGCCAGGAAGGTGAGCTAACATGGAGACAGGCTGTATGAGTCCACTCTCATGCTGCTAATAAAGACATACCCAAGACTGGGTGATTTATGAAAGAAAGAGGTTTGATTGACTCACAGTTCAGCATGGCTAGGGAGGCCCTAGGAAACTTACAATCATGGCAGAAGGGGAAGCAAACACATCCTTCTTCACATGGTGGCAGCAAGGAGAAAAATAAGAGCCAAGTGAAGCAGGAAGCCCCTTATAAAACCATTGGACCTTGTGAGAACTCACTATCACAAGAATAGCATGGGGGAAACCACCCCCGTGATTCCATTACTTCCCACTGGGTCCCTCCCATGACACCTAGGGATTATGGGAACTAAAATTCAAGATGAGATTTGGGTGGGGACACAGCCAAATCATATCACAAGCATTAAGAAGCTGGTACTCTTATTATAATGGGAGAGGCCCACATAGCCAAAAAAATCACTCTGAAATCTATCATGGTGTCAGCACAATTTGAACACAGACTGCTGTAAATAAAAGAGGAATAGTAGTCTTTGAATTTAATACTAGAAAAAAGTATTAGAAAAGAAAATTAAATTCTACTTCAGTTCTTCACATTGGTGAGGTAGACAGCTTCAATTGGTCTTTAAAAATATAGACTGATTTTCTATAAATTATTTTTTTGAAAGCTAGAAATACTTTAGAAATATGTCATCCCAATCAGAAAAAAGAAATTCTAAAGGAAGGTGAGGGAGAAGAACAAACAAGTAAATGTGAAATTGTCTCAAAGACATCAGGTTGGGTACTGAATTAAGTTTTTCTTAAAATCAAATTATAAAGACTTCCAGCAATTTCACTGCTGGAAATTTATACTGTGAATATCTTCCTATGTGAAGATATCTATTGTGGTTTTCCATAATTTACAGAAACTGAAAACAATGTTATGTATTCATCAGAAAGGACTGCTTTATTTAACTGTGTTCAACACATGTCATAGAGTACTATGCACTCCTGAAAATGAATTAGGGAGATCTATAGATACCAATATGGGAGGAGGTCTAAAAAATATTACTAAGTAAAAGGCAAGGAAAATAACTATATAGAAATATAAATAGAATCCTATTTGTGCAATAACAAGAGTGTATAAATGTACTCCTCATAAAGCATTTCTAGGAGGATACTCGAGAAACTTTTTTTTTGAGACAGAGTCTTACTCTGTTACCCAGGCTTGAGTGTGGTGGCACAATCACGGCTCACTGCAGACTCAACCTCCCTGGGCTCAGGTAATCCTCCCACTTCAACCTTCTGAGTAGCTAGGACTACAGGCATGCACCACCATGCCCACCTAGTTTTTGCAATTTTCTGTAGAGATGGGGTTTTGCCATGTTTCCCCGGCTAGTGTTAAATTCGTGGGCTCAAGTTTCTGCCTGCCTCGGCTTCCCAAAGTGCTGGGATTACAGACGTGAGCCAACATGCCTGGCCAAGAAACTCTTATTGAGCATATCTTTGGAAAATGAGACTGGGAAATTACATGAAAAGAAATTTTTATTTTATACCCTCTGTGCCTTTTGATTATTTTAAAATTATGGAGAGGTATTACTTTTGTATTACTTTTTGTTTATTAAATTCCTATACTATTATGCATATATCATTTTAAAACTATAGTTCTTTTAAGTTAAGTTTACTTGGGCAAATGTCCTAATTTCTTTTCTCACTGTATATCTTTAGTTTCTATATTCCAGTGACTTTGTTGTGGACTATGTGTTTGCCTCAGATTTTCCCATCTCTAATAATGTCATGAACTGGCATTTCTGAACTTTCATTTTTACTATTGGACTCTTTAATCCTGCTTGTTTTAAGAAGCATTTTGCAAGTTACACGTTAACTAAGATGCAGTACCTGATTTAAAGGGGACATACAATGCAATGAGAGAGACAGAAACTATTTTTACTTCATAAAATCCAGTTTTATAAAAAGCTCTGTTAATAACACTGAGGGAGTGTGAGAACACAAAAGAAAGCTTACTAAATTTGGCTGGGGAAAGAATCAAGGAAGATTTCTAAGAAGTTATGCCAATTAAGATAAATCTTGAAAAGATGAATCAGCTGGTACAAGTATAATACATTGCCTTCATAGATCATTTTGCAAGACTTAGAATTAGTGAAATTTAGACATAGAAGAGACCTTAAATAATATTAAATGTAACATTCTCATTTTTAAAATAGAGAAATGTGACTTGTTAAACAACATGAGCTGTGGGGTCAAATTCAATGGCCAATACAGAGTAGACACTTAATAAATATTTGCTCCCTTCAGAACTGGCCACATAAATTACAGGGCCCAGTGGAAAATGAAATACAAGGCCCCTTGTTCAAAAGTTATTAAGAATTTCAAGACAGTCACAACAGAGTGTTAAAACAAGCATAGGCCCCTCTGAGCACAGGGCCACATTGAAATAACCCACAGTCCTGGGGTTCATGAAGCAGGCCTCCCTCCCTCCTCTAATCTAAGTTTCAAGGGGTAAGTAGACACAGAAACTAAACAAGAACTCAGGTCTCCTTTGGATACAAAGACCTCAAAATTTTAAAAGCTCATAAACAATCTGTTCACCCAATATTTTTAACTGAGGTGATATGAAGATCTCATATTTATCTTTATATAATAGTTAATAAATTTGTGCCTTTATTCATTCATGTCACAAATATGAATAAATGTGTCCCAAGAGCCTAGGACAAGGCTGGTTCATAATAAGTATTCAGTGAAGAGTAGGTGAAGGATGGATGACCAGATGAATGAGTGACTAAACAATAAGCTACAATTGAGTATTATTGCCCATAAAAAGAAATAAAATTTTGATACATGTAACACCATGAATGAACCTTGAAAATATTATGCTAAGTGAAAGGAGACAGACACAAGAGATCACATAACATATAATTACATTTATATGAAATGTGTGGAATAGTCAAGTCTATAGAGACAGAACATACATTAGTGGTTGCTGGGGACTGGGAGGAGGGAAGAGTAAGGAGTGACTGCTCATGGATATGGGTGTTTTGTTTTGTTTTGTTTTGTTTTGGAATGATGACAATGTTCTGGAATAAGATAGCAGTGATGGTTGCACAACTTTGTGAATGTAATCACAAATATCATCAAATTCTAGACTTTATAAAGGGTGGATATTATAGTATATGAATTCTATCTCAATTTTTAGAATGTAAAACAATAAATTAACCAGGATAGAAAGATTTAAGTAACTTGCTAAAAATTGATTTGTGTTACTTGTGATGATTATGCATCTAACATCAAAACTTTGGCTCCTAGTTCAGGCTTTCTCCAGTCTATCAAGCTACTGCACAGAAAACTGCAGAGTGCCACCAGCTATCTCTATGGCTCCATGGAGCACTGTGCTTACATACAAGAAACCTCTCTTGTACCAAAGTGTAAACACAGTGGTGGCTGCATTCTGCCTCCAGAGGATCTGGCCTACAGAGTGAAGAATAAAGGGGAGACAGAGCAAGGGGAGAGCACTTTCCAAGAGCTTCCTCATTTTCTCTGTGTTGTCCTAGACACCACCCACTAGCCTTGTATCTCAGGTCTTGGTTGAGAAACCAAAATAACTAATGACACTCCTATGATGCCTTGGCAGCATTCCCTGATAACTTAGAATATTTATTTCCTGTTTTCCCAACTCTCATTTATTTCCATGCTAGCATAGAGCAAGATGACGTGTAACCTCTTGTGAAATGCTTGATATTTGTCCCTTAGAAGAGACATTAGTACTATACATTTAGCAAATAGTAAAATAACAACACTCATAGCTTGTTCTTGTGAGTAATATGTGAAAGTTTTCTAAACTGTATTTTAGTTTTAACTTACATTCGTTACAGCAGAGTGAGGCAAGCATCATGCATTCTCTCTCTTTTAAAGAAAAAGCACTAAAACTTCCATTTTTTCACTTCTAGTTTATGATCCTCTCTTCTTCCTTACCATGAGAATCAATAAGGGTGGGTGGTGTGAACACATGTTTTTTGTCCTGTCAGGAAAAGTTAAAGGTTATGGTCCTGCTCCCAAATGATAGATAATTAATCATCTTTAAAATGGCAACCTGTCACTGGAAAAGGAAAAGCAGAAATATAAAATAAAGCAGATATATGATATCAGGTAGCAACAAGGATGTCACAGATTTAATGAGTATAGGGGATGTTGTACAAAAAGTTTTATACTAATCTCTAGAAACAAAAGAAAAAGCAGAAATGATCTATATGTTCATAGTCTATATGGCCATCTCTCTAATTTTGAAATCAGCAGTCATTCCTTGGTTGGCATCTGCTACTTGGGAGCAGAGGATGGAAGAACACAGCAAACAAAAGTTTCATCGTTAAGCTGTGAAGCAGAGGGAACAGGCAGCTAGCCAAAACTTATGTGGTTCTTCAAATTTCTGATGGGGATCAGAGTGCCTCTCCCTCACTGACAAATATGGAATGGAATGTAAGGTTGCTACTAACAGGGTTCTCTGCAATCCTGAGATTGGTTCTGTTCTAGCCAAAGCTCTTGGATTCCTGTAAACTCCAGTCCAGTTGAAACTTCCCGGGAGAATGTGCCCCCACCACCCCGTGCAGAACTCCTGGACATCTTAGTGACAGCCCCACCCCCACCACTAGTCTTCCCAGAATTCGAGCTGTGAGAACACATCAATTCCTGACTCAGGCATTTGAGTCAATTTTCAGTGAACTCAGGATAGTAGAATGGAACACCATCTCACCCACCAGCAATCCCTGGCTAGCACATGAGTGGGAGGAAATCATGGGCTTTGAAATCAAACAAACTCAGGTTCTTACATTCACTAATTACACTCAGAAACTGTGTATTCTTTGTAGAATTTGAAAGTGTTAACCTCATTGAGCGTTACTTCCCTCAGCTATAAAAAATGGATATAACAATTTTTTTCTCTGATGTTGCTTTAAAACAAAGTGAGATAAAGAATGAAAATTTCCAATTTACAAATATTTCTTAACAAAGCGTAGATTTGTTCCTTTCTATTCCAAAGCTAATGACTTCAGGTGAAATGGTATCTTGAGAGTGGGGGGCATTCTGAGGAATCAGTCTCAGACCAAATTCATGTAATCAGTTGAAAACGTCCTGTTTGATTAGTCCCTTTAAACTCTTTATGTGCCTTTCCTGTCCTCTAATTCAGTTTCTAAACTTTTGTTCAGTATCACATCCCTAAAGAAGCCTTTTTAGACATTTTTTCTGATCGTCCTCTCCTCCATGAGATTTAATGCCACAGAGACACCATTATGTTGTTTGTGAACTGTATATAGGTATATCTGTGCTTTATACATTAAAATAGTAAGAAAATGTTAAACCCCCCAAGAACCAATTTTCACCCTTTGGTGGACAATATTGTTCCTATTGAGAACACATGGTCTATAAACAAACAAAAAGTTAGAAGAATCTTTGAAGAGATAATCTTTTAAAGCCTGTGAAAGAAGACATTATTGAATTCTTCTGAAGAACAGAGTCTTCCCTTCATCATCTCTTAACTATTAGAGGTAGAAAACTTTGGCGAAGTTTTAACAATTTCTTGATTTCCTATGTTTAGCCAATGATGTTCAGGTCAACCTGTTAGAAATAAAGAAAGAAGCCTCAGATGCAAAAAAGTAAATGATGATGCTAGGCCCCAACCTACTGATGTATTGTTTTCTACGCAGAGTATAAGATATACTATCTGCAGCATAAGTACAGTAATAATGGAGCTAAACCTCAAAAAATTAGTCCCACATCACTTGACTAATAGGTTTCTACTTTACTCCATGTGGATGTCCAGATTTTGCCCAATTAAACTTTCATTTCTTATTTAAAATTACAGCTAATACTTACCATTGAAATTTTGGGGGGAAAACTTTGCTAAACTGCAGTGTTTATTTGACTTTTTAAATAACTGTGATGCTGAACAGTAAGAATTAATTTGCACACAGGGCTTCTAAAAAGTGGGCCACTTCTTATTTTGAGAAAAACTTCAAAATTATGTAATAAATTTCACTGAGAAATAAAATATTGACATAAATAACAATAGAACAATATCAAGTTTTTGGTAAAATAAAAAGTTATTCATGTGAAAAATAAAATAATAGAACAATACTAGGTGCTGGGGAGGATGTGGAGCAACCAGAAGTCTTATACACTGCTAGCAAGAATGTAGAATTTGAAAGTGTCAACCTCAGTCACTTTGGAGAACAGTTTGACAATTTCTTAACACGTTAAACATACGTGTGCCTTGTTACCCAACAAGTCTACTCCTAGATATAGGAATTTACCCAAGAGAGATGAAACATAAGTCCACAAAAGACTTGTACATAAATGTTTATAGCAGCTTTGTTCATTATAGCCAAGAACAAATTATGATATATCCATACAAGCTAATACTACTCAACAATAAAAAAAATTACTGGGGCCGGGCGCTGTGGCTCAAGCCTGTAATCCCAGCACTTTGGGAGGCTGAGGCGGGCAGATCACGAGGTCAGGAGCTCGAGACCATCCTGGCTAACATGGTGAAACCCCGTCTTTACTAAAAATACAAAAAAATTAGCTGGGCATGGTGGCGCATGCCTGTAGTCCCAGCTACTCGGGAGGCTGAGGCAGGAGAATGGCACGAACCTGGGAGGCGGAGCTTGCAGTGAGCCGAGATTGCGCCGCTGCACTCCAGCCTGGGCGACAGAGCAACACTCCGTCTCAAAAAAAAAGAAAAAAAATTACTGGATAAATGCAACAACATGGATGGGTCTCATAAACAGCAAGCTTAGTGAAAGAAGCCAGACACAAAAGTATACATACTGTCTGATTCCATTTTTATGGAATGCTAGTAAAGACAAATCTAATCTATAGTGACAGAAAGCAGGTCAGTGGTGCCTGGGGCCAGGGGTGGTGAGTGGGAGTGTTGACTGGGAAGGACACAGGGAAATTTTGGGATGATGGAAATGTTTATATCTTGATTGTGATGGTGGTTGCATAGATGTATGCAAAAAAAAAAAAAAGAAGAAGAAAAAAGAAAAGATACAAGAAGTCAAGAAAGAAGCCAGTCACAGAAGACTACATTTTGTATTATATAAAATTCCATTTATATGAAATTTCTAGAAAAGGCAAAACAATAGAGACAGAGAATTGGTCAAGAGTTATCAATTGGATACTTAAATGGGTACATAAAAAAACAGGTCAAAATGTTGTTAAAGATTCAACAATTCAAGTTATCTGCTGTGAAAATGCCATAAAGAGTTAGTATCTCTAGAATCATTATAGCAGTCATCTTCTAGTGCAAGTCCCAGTACCATTTTTAACAGCCTTATTGAGGAATAATTTGCATATCATAAAATTCTCCCATTGTAAGTGTACAATTATAGAATTTTTGATGACTATATATGATTATGCAACCAGCACCACAGTCCAGTTTAAAACATACCCATCACACCAGAAAGTTCCCTCACACCTGTGGCAGTCAATCCCCTCTCCCACCCCAGCCAACCACCGAACCAATTCTCTGTCTCTATAGTTTTGCCTTTTCTAGAAATTTCATATAAATGGAATTTTATATAATACAAAATGTAGTCTTCTGTGACTGGCTTCTTTCTTGCCTTCTTGAATCTTTTCTTTTTTTTTCTTCTTTTTTTTTTCTTTTTTTTGAGACGGAGTCTCACTCTGTCACCCAGGCTGGAGTGCAGTGGCTCAATCTTGGCTCACTGCAACCTCTGCTTCCCGGGTTCAAGCAATTCTCGTGCCTTCAGCCTCTCAAGTAACTGGGACTATAGGCACGAGCCAGCACACCTGGCTAATTTTTGTATTTTTAGTAGAGACAGGGTTTCACCACACTGGCCAGGCTGGTCTTGAACTCCTGACCTCAGGTGATCCGCCTGCCTCGGCCTCCCAGAGTGCTGGGATTACAGGCATGAGCCACTGCACCTAGCCCTTCTTTTTTTTTTTAATAACTTTTTTTTTGAAATGGGGTTTCACTGTGTTGTCCAGGCTGGTCTTGAACTTCTTCCTAGGCTCAAGCACCCTTCCTGCCTTGGCCTCCTAAAGTGCTGGGATTACAAGCATAAGCCACCATGCCCAGCCCCTTTTTGTTTTCTTAAGATGAAGAAGTTCTAGTTATGGGACTTGTAAGAGACATTAGTTGCAGGTCCAGAGCACACATTTGCCGATTCTCAGTCCAGGACTTAGCTGTGACACCATGCTATTGTCAGGATACAGTATACTAGATACAGGATACTAGAATAGGAAAAAAATAAACCTGGTTTAGGGGATCAGAATGGCTATTTCTAGCCATCCAACTCAACTTATCTGAGATTCAATTTTCCCTTATATACAATGAGGATAATAATGTCTAATGCATAGCTCTGTTGTGAGGAATAAATTAAGTGTACAGAGTACCAAACATAGAGACAGGCAAACATTAGGAATTTAATAAATGATAATTGCTGACTAGAAAATCACTTAAAGTACAAATGTTCATCTTGAGACAAAGAACATAAAGAGGGAAAGTCATAAATGTTGGAAACTGAAGATTAGGGTTTAAACATTGACTTATTTAAATCTCAAAAGAAGCATGAATCCCTGCCAGGCATAGTGGCACACACCTGTAATCCCAGCAACTCTGGGAAGCCAAGTTGGGAGGATTGCTTGGGGCCAGGAGTTTGCCCAGGAGGCCTGGGCCACATAGGAAGACCCCATCTCTACAAAAAAATAAAAATTTAAAAAAAATAGCCAGGCGCGTGATTTTTTTAATTTACACGCCTGTAGTCCTGTAGTCCCACTTGTAGTCCTGACTACTCAGGAAGCTGAGGCTGAAGGATTGCTCAAGCCTAGGAATTCAAGGCTGCAGTGAGCTATGATGGACCCACTGCACTACAGCCTGGGCGACAGAGTGAGACCCTGTCTCAAAAAAGGAGAAGAAGAAGGAGAAGGAGAAGAGAATAAGGAGAAGGAAGAGGAATAGGAAGAGGAGGAGAATGAATCTCACAGATTTAAGACAGTGCCAGCTAAATTGGGAATTATTTGCTAAATGTAGTTAACTGAACATTGCTTTATTTCTTTGATAAGAGGACCATTTTATAAATAAGCTGGGTGTTTTTTTTTTTTTTTTTTGCCTAATTTTATGAGTGACTCAATAGTTCTCAGGCCTGGCTGCACATTAGAGTCACCTGGGGAGTGTTAAAAATTACCAATGCCTGGGACCCAGCCCAGAAATTCTGATTTCATCGGTCTGGAAAGGGGCTGGGGCATTGGTGATTTTAAAGTTTCTCCTGGCAATATTAATGTAAAACCATTGTAAAGAACTCACAGCAGCATTAACAGTTTGATTCTCTGGGTCTTAGGGAATGTGTTCAAAATTGTGGGGTGAACTGTCTTTAGAGTATGCCACTCTGACATCTTAGAAAGAGACAAACCACAGAGACTAGCTGTACCCACCCAGATGTTCTATCCACAGATGATCTTTTCTTATTTTTCTACATGGTGTTGTATGTTTGTGCAATCAAACATAAGGGCTTTGCATGAATGACATTAGCTATGTCTGCTCGGAAAAAGGAGGTTGCCCTTCACCTCCACATCCTGTGCTGCCACTTTTCTTTTGAGTCCTCGGTCAGAGCTGGGTGTTTAAACATATATTCTGGGTTTTTTTTTTTTTCATCTTTTATTTTGGATTCAGAGGGTACACATGCAGGTTTGTTACATGGGTATACTGCGTGGTGCTGGGGTCTGGGACATGGATGATCCTGTCACTCAGGTAGTGCAGAAAGAGTAAACATGTATTCTTAAGCAATACATGTATATCTCATGAGTCACAGCTTCAAGAAGACAAATACAATCTGCATGGACTGGTGCTCTAATTAAAAACTCTAAAGACTCAGGAGGCCTGGATAAGTCTCCTGCCCTCTTTGGTCTTCAAATATTTAATTTGTACAATTAATGGATTTCCTTTTATAACCCTAAGGTATTTTCCAGTTACTATGATTCACTGGTTGTAATTCTCATAACTAATATAATAAAGAGCAAATTCTTTATATAGCATCCATTTAGAACTCTACTACTAGTACTAAACAATTCCTAAAATAAGGGTTTATATCTCTGTTAAAGTCATTAGTACATACACATAAATAATATCTTGGTCTTTGACTAGTATATTTATTTACCAAGAAATGCAATGGCTTAATCTATACTTTCCAGAAGGAACTGACTGCTGTCATCGAGGAGGAATAGTCACATAAATAAATTATTGTTCTTCACACATAGTACTCACAAAACCTTAGTTAATTGATTATTCAATTATGATATTGTGAAACTGTAACATGACATTAATCATTACCTGGTGAAATGATCATGGGCCTTTGTGTGATGCTGCGGCTTCCTGGGAAACTCACTAATGTATTCACATAAACCAGATGTGCCAGAAGAAAGCTCTTGCTGTGGAATTGATGGAGAGTTTGTTTAAAGAAAGGAAAACAACTCTAAATAGTAAAATAAATATTTTCTTCTGCCTTTGGGTGACCTTATGCTCAACCTCTTCCCTTATGAGAATGCTGTCTCCAAGCCTGTGGTTCTATGGCATGTCAGTAATCTGAAAAGTCTATCTGAAGTCCAGCAGTGGGCCACTGCCCAGCCTCACAAGCCTGATTTCCTCTTCTTTTCTCCACAAACACCCACATACTTATTAGCTCCCTCAGTTCTTAAAATGGATTCTTTTTATCTAATGCCAACTTATCACTGTATATCAGGTCTTTGACCCTGAAATATCTTTAGTAAGTTTGCTTTTCTTTGTTGCTAAGGCAAAGCCTGGCAGATTTACCTATCATCAAGAAGCTCTGATTTGTGGTGGTGCTAAGTTTGGAAGAAATATGAATCAATGAAATAACTTACCTGAAGTAAGAGTCACTTTAAATTAAGTTTATCAGCCCAGTCACTTGTAAAGGTTTGAAGACAATAGTCATGATGTAATAAAAGAGTATGCAAACTCAAGAGTTTAGATACACCTCAAGCATATAATAGAGTAACAAATTTCAGTTATGCAAGATGAAGACGTTCTAGAGTTCTGTTGTACAACCTATAGTTAGGAATTCTCCCTCCTCAGCCTCCCAAGTAGCTGGGACTACAGGCATGCATCACTGCACCCAGGTAATTTTTTAAAACTTTTTTGTGGAGATGAGCTCTCATTATGTTGTCCAGGCTGGTTTAAGAGCGTTAGTGCATCATGTTATGGTTAACAATCCTAAGGAAACACCAGTAGGGCATCACTCTAACACTGCCATGGAGCTATCTGAAAGAAGCTAGAGGCTATTAAGCCAAATGCAAGGTGACACACACAGAGGCCATACACACTAACCACAACCTGAGAGCACCTGAGATAGGAAATATGTGTTCCAGGAAGGGGCCTATCTGGGACCATATTACCGTGTGTTTTCATGTCCATTTCTGAAACTAGGCCTACTCTGCATGACTATCTTAATCTCCTCAGGCTGCCATAACAAATACTATAGACTGGGCGGCTTAAACAACAGAAGTTTATTTCTCACAATTCTGGAAGCTGGAAAGTTCAAGCTCAGGGTGCCAGCATGCTCAATTTCCGGTGGGAGCCCTCTTCCTGGCTTGCAGACAGCCCCCACTTTGTTGTGTGCTCACATGATCTTTCCTTGGTGCATGTATGTGAAGAGAGGGCTCTGTCTGTCGTCTCCTTTTAAGACCACTAATCCTATCAGATTAGGACCCCATTCTTATGACCTCATTTAACCTTAATTACCTCCTAAAAGTTCTCTTTAAATACAGTCATATTGAGGGTTAGGGCTTCAACATATAAATTTTCCAAGGACGCTATTCCGTCCATAGCAATGATATAGCAACCCACACAGACTATCCCTAAATGTAGAAATCAGTGTTACTCTTCAAAGCAACACATTTTTAAAAATATGTCTTCCAAATGCCTTATTTTTGACAACGGAATCCTTTGTCCAAAATAAATTTTACAAAGATCCTCAGTATATAATATAATAAATAAATACACTGGACAGTAAGTTTGGGAAATGTGTTTGATCTGTGTAGGGATGTACAGTTGTATCTGCACTAAACTAGCTCTGCAAGAGGATACAGAAGAGATTTCAAAGAGCTGTCATCCTAGGTAAATGGCCCAGATACATGCTCCATGAACCCCCTCAGGGAAACATCTTTGCTATTAAACAGGATAATCTGTAAGCAGAGCCAAAAAGGACTTTGGATGCAAGAAGAGACCAGGGGATGTCTCATCCTGAGTCATCAGGATATTTCTCAGGAGGATTTAAGTAACTGGTCTTACAGTTAAAGCCTCCTATAAAAATGTACTCCATTTAGCATTTAACTAATAAAACCAAGTACCTACAAAACTAGAAGCTTTATCCCATTAAGGAACCTTTCAGGACTTGGTGTTTGCATGAAACAGAAAGTAATCATTGCTATAGGAGAGTCCAAGTCTCTTCATGAAATCATTTTAAAAAATGTATTCTACTGTGGTCAGGAGAACTCTTGCATTATGCATATTTTGCTACCAATTAGTCTTGGTGAAGAAATGGCCCAGTTTTCTCACTGGCAAATTAAAGGGTAGATTAGGCCAGTGAGTGTCAAGCTTTAATGTACAAAAGAAATCGTTAGGCAGTTTATTTATTATTAATAATATGCAGGTTTTTAACCTGTAGGCCCCACAAAAATTTTGATTCACTTGCTCTGTGACAAGATTCAGGAATCTTAATTATTTACTGGCACCCTATTGATTGTGATACAGGTAATCAATAGATTCCTCACTACACACACACATACACACACACGAAAAAATGAAATGATGATCTTTAAACTCTTTCTGTCTTTCAGATACTATAATTCTGTTTTTAAGGTTCATATAAGCAAAGCAGGATATTAGGCCTACATTCCTGACCTATCTGCCAAAGAATTATTAAAAACAAACATCTTTTGCTCACTCTAAGCACACTGGATGATGCCATTATGATAAAGTCCAGGAGAGAGAAAGAGATGAAATCATGATGTCTAAACTATATTCATTTTTGTGACCTTCATCCTATATAAGCTGCTTTCCACCTTAACTGTGCATGTTCAAAACATTGCCCCAAGGTGAGAGAAAATTGCTTGGAATGTTCCTTCATCAACATCTGCTCTCTTTCTTCTGGCCCTGCTATCAACCCCGTCTCTGTGAAATCTCAGAACCTGAATTCCAGTATTTAGATTAAAGAAAAGGGGCTTCTCTGCTGTCTCTTATCTCTGATTCCATTTCCAAGGCCATTAATATATTTCAGGCAGACAGATTTTTGTTTTACAGACTATTTCTTTTTCTAGGATGTTCCCAGTCATTTAGAACATCATCCATATATCCAGGCCATCTTTCTGTGATCACCATTTGTTTTCAGTTGATACAAATGGAGTTTAAGACAGTTTCCTTGAAGGCAGGAATGCTGTGTGTGAATTGTGACTCTATGAAAAGTTACAGTGAACACAAAAGCTAACACTTTGTAAGAACAGTACTCTGCAAGGGGAAATGGAGAGGACAGTATAAACATATGATGTCTGAATTAGCAAATGAAACATAAGTTTATGTGATGATCCAATGGAAGGACCAGGTAACTGAATGTTTTCATGGAGTTTCTCAACTTTGGAAGGAATCAGTGAATGAGGAGGAATTAATGACCTCATTGGGAGATTTTCAGCTGGCTTCTTCTACACTATGAGACCATCTCCAGGCTTAGGATGAGTTTGCTTAGTATGATCATCCTAGGACAGTCCCTTTGCTGCCTGGTTTTATCCCAACTGTTCAAAGCAGCTTCATTAAGATTTTTTCCCTGAGAGAACTCAGATTGGAGCTTCATCAAATACCACTAGCCTTTGACTTTCTGCAGAGAAAGTTAATGAATATAGCTTGGAGCCAGACAAATTAATTTTTTACATTTTCTGTTTATTTTTAACTCTTGTTTCAAAAGGGTAGAGAGAGTGGAGACATAACAATCAAGCTTTTACAGCCAAAATCCAGGGGTGAGGTCATGTGGTCCTAGAAAGGAAGTGTGGGGAAAACATTACAAACATTGGCAGGATGCTTCCCCCATAGCATTATCACATTGCTTTGTGACTGGTATTTAATAGCTATCCTTTCTCAGACTAGAAGCTCCGCTAAAGAAGAGACCAAGGCTTCAATAATCAAAATCTAGCAGAGTGCTTTAGCACATAATGGTAGTTTGTAGCATGTTTAACTTAAAAGACTCCAGCTGAATGGACACTTCCCATTCAAGTATAAAAAAACTGTAGGAGGAGTTGGGCAGATGTTAGTAAAAGGATACAAAGTTTCAGCTTGGGGAAACAAGTTCAAGAGAGCTGTTGTATAATGTGATTACTATAGTTAATAACAATGTATTGTACTTTTGTATACTACATATGACATTTTTATTTGTCCATTAAAATAAATAAATAAATAAATCCATGTACAATATATTTTGGAGGCTTAGATATTTTTTTTAAAAGGGAAAGGATATTTTTAGTATATTTAGTTTCCCCCTCTTTTGGTCTTTAGTTAATCCTTAACATGTAAAATAATTGACAGGTGAAATTTTTGTGGCTTAAGGCTAAAGCAAACCTACCAGCCTTTGGGCTTTTATGACAAATTTTCCCTCCTATCAGAATAAATGTAATAGTAAATGTTATAACTGAAAGTCTAAAACAGCGTGTTACACAACATTCAAAATTATACAAATCTTTGGAATTCTTAGTGGAAAAATGACTAAAAGGAAAGGAAAATGGAAGAGTGCCAAAAATTGCTAATAATTATAAACCAATTGGAAAAACTACAAAGTATATTTAAGGCTGCAATCTGGTTCAGACTTTCTCTTCTTTGCCACCAGTTCTTGAGCTGAGTGAAGAAGTAATGTATTTGGATGCATACAATTCATTGTGTGATATTTAGGCCACTTAATTAGAGCAAACACATAGTTTTATCAAAAAACTGGGGATGCTTTTGTGAGTGAAAAGGGGCACTAAAGAAGGCCTGTTTCAAACAACCCAAGATATGTGGTTGCTGTGCTCTTCATCCACTTAAGGGGCTTCTTTTTATTCTATGTCATTTGTTCAAAATGCTCAATATTTGCTAAGAGGGAGATCTTAATTCAACTCCCACAGTGTGCCAGGTAGAGGTGAACATAAGTCTCCTTCAAATACCCAATTGCAGCTGAGCTGTAAGGACATGGTCCAAAACAGTGTATTCCAAAACGTGGGATACACCACTGTGATAGTTAATACTGAGTGGATTGAAGGATACAAAGTACTGATCTTGGGTGTGTCTGTGAGGGTGTTGCCAAAAGAGATTAACATTTGAGTCAGGCTAGGGAAGGCAGACCCACCCTTGATCTGGGTGGGCACAATCTAATCAGCTGCCAGTGCAGCTAGAATATAAGCAGGAAAAAAAAATGTGAAAAAGAAAGACTAACAGCCTCCCAGCCTACATCTTTCTCCCATGCTGGTTGCTTGCTGCTCTTGAACATCAGACTCCAGGTTCTTCAGTTTTGGGACTCGGACTGGCTCTCCTTGCTCCTGAACTTGAAGACAGCCTATTGTGAGACTTTGTGATCATGTAAGTTAATACTTAATAAACTCTCCTTTATATATGAGCAGTTCTTAAAATAAGATTGGAAAACAGATTTTCTTATTGTACCCCATGATGTTAAGTTTTCTACATAGATGTCTGCATGGTTCATGTAGTGTTATTAACAGAATACCTGAAATGAAGTATTTATTTAAAAAAAAAAAAAAAGCAGAGAGGTGGGGGTTGGCTTATGATTCTAGTGGCTGGAAAATTTGAGACTGGGCATTTGCATCTGGTGAGGGCTTCAGGCTGTCCTCATGGCAGAAAGCAAAATGGGGAGCTTACAAGCACAAAGAGAGGGAAACCCGAGGAACATCCTGGCTTTATAACAACCCACTCTCTCAGAAACAAATCCATTTTTGAGAGAACTAGTCCAGTCTTACAAAAGTGATAATATGGTTTGGCTGTGTCCCCACCCAAATCTCATCTTGAATTATAACTTCCACAGTTCCCACGTAGTGTGGGAGGAACCTGGTGGGAGGTGATTGAATTATGGGTGCGGGTGTTTCCTGCGCTGTTCTTGTGATAGTGAATGAGTCTCACGAGAGCTGGTGGTTTTAAAAATGGGAGTTTCTATGCACAAGCTCTCTCTTTGCCTGCTGCCATCCATGTAAGATATGACGTGCTCCTCCTTGCCTTTCACCTTCCACCATGATTGTGAGGCCTCCCCATCCATGTGGAACTGTAAGTCCAATAAACCACTTTCTTTGGTAAATTGCCCAGTCTCAGGTATGTCTTTGTCAGCAGCATGAAAATGGACTAATACAGTATATTGGTACCAGTAGAGTGGGGCACTGCTGAGAAGATACCCAGAAATATGGAAGTGAGTTTGGAATTGGGTAACAGGCAGAAGTGGAACAGTTTGGAGGGCTCAGAATAAGACAGGAAAATGTGGGAAAGTTTGGAACTCCCTAGAGACTTACTGAATGACTTTGACAAAGTGCTGATAATGATATGGATAATAAAGTCCAGGCTGAGGTGGTCTCAGATGAAGATGAGGAATTTGTTGGAAACTAGAGCAAAGATGATTCTTGCTTTGTTTTAGCAAAGAGGCTGGTGACATTTTGCACCTTCCCTAGAGATTTGTGGAACTTTCAACTTGAGAGAGATTATTTAGGGTATCTGGCCGAAGAAATTTCTAAGCAGCAAAGCATTCAAGGGGTGACTTGGGTGCTGTTAGAGGCATTCAGTTTTATAAGGGAAGCAGAGCATAAAAGTTCAGAAAATTTGCAGCCTGACAACACTATAGAAAAGAAAATCCCATTTGCTGAGGAGAAATTCAAGCTGGCTGCAGAAATGTACATAATTAATGAGGAGTCAAATAATCCCCAAGACAATGGGGACAATGTCTCCAGGGCATGTCGAGGTCTTTACAACAGCTTCCTGGAGGCCTAGGAGGAAAAAGCAGTTTTGTGGGTTGGGCCCAGGGTCCCATGCTGTATGCAGCCTAGGGACTTGGTGCCCAGCTGCTCCATATGTGCCTGAAAGGAGCCAACATAGAGCTTGGGCCATGGCTTCAGAGGGTGTAAGCCCCAAGCCTTAGCAGCTTCCACATGGTGTTGAGCCTGCGAGTGAACAGAAATCAAGAATTGAGGCTTTAGAACTTCCCCCTAGATTTCAGAAGATGTATGAAAACACTTGGATGCCCATGCAGAAGTTTGCTGCCAGGGTGGGGCCCTCATGGAGAACCTCCACTAGGGCAGTGCAGAAGGGAAATTTGGGGTCAGAGCCCCTACACAGAGTCCCTACTGAGGCACTGCCTAGTGGAGCTGTGAGAAGAGGGCTACCATCCTGCAGACCCCAGAATGGTAGATCCACTGACAGCTTGAACTGTTCACCTGGAAAAGCCACAGACACTCAATGACAGCCCGTAAAGGGAGCTGGGAGGGAGGCTGTACCCTGCAAAGCCATAGGGGCAGAGCTTCCCAAGACTATGGGAACCTACCTCTTGCATCAGCGTGACCTGGATGTAAGACATAGAGTGAAAGGAGATTATTTTGGAGCTTTAAGATTTGACTGCCCCACTGGATTTTGGTCTTGCATGGGGCCTGGAGCCCTTTGTTTTGGCAAATTTCTCCCATTTGGAATGGCTGTATTTACCTGATGCCTGTACTCCCCATTATATCTAGGAAGTAATTAACTTGCTTTTGAATTTACAGGCTCATAGGCAGAAGGGACTTGCCTTGTCTCAGATTAGATGTCGGACTGTGAACTTTTGAGTTAATGCTGAAATGAGTTAAGACTTTGGGGGACTGTTGGGAATGCATGATTGGTTTTGAAATGTGAGGACATGAGATTTGAGAGGGGCCAACAGTGGAATGATATGACTTGGCTGTGTCCCCACCAAAATCTCATCTTGAATTGTAACTCCCACAATTTCCACATGTTGTGGGAACAACCCAGTGGGAGGTGATTGAATTATGGGGGTGAGTCTTTCCTGCAGTGTTCTCATGATAATGAATGAGTCTCACAAGATCTAATAGTTTCAAAAGTGGGAGTTTCCCTGCACAAGCTCTCTTTTTGCCTGACACCATCCATGCAAGACATGACATGCTCCTCCTTGTCTTTCACCTTCCACCATGATTGTGAGGCCTCCCCAGCCATGTGGAACTGTAAGTCCAATAAACCTATTTCTTTTGTAAATTACCCAGTCTCAGGCATGTCTTTATCAGCAATGTGAAAACGGACTAATACAAGCGATTACCAGAAGAACAGCACCGAGCTATTCATGAGGGATCCACCCACTAGCCAAACACCTCTCACTATGCCCCACCTCCCAATACTGCAACTCTGGGGATCAAATTTCAACATGAGCTTTGGTGGGAATAAACAAACAGTATCCAAACCACAGCAACATCTTATGTTGCTTTATGCACAAGAAGAGAAGTTTATTTAATGTTTCTTGCATATAAGACGTGAATGAGGATCCATACCAGCTGACTTAAAGGTATAAAGGAGAAAGAATAGGATTGGCACAGTGCTGGTCTTTATCATTTCTTAGTAATAGAAGAAAATCATTAGAAAGGTCACTTTCTGAGGATGTCACCTTTAAATCCTTTACACTACCATCTTTTTATTCTTTACTTTTCAAATTAAGGCACAAGAACAACTTGTATCCCTTAACCAAAATTATTTTCCCATATTTTCTAGCATTTTGTTAGACCTTTCCAAACTCTTATCTCATAGCCAATTGTACTTAGGACCGTGGTTCCCCAGGTAGACATAGCCCAGCGTATGAAAATAGGCTCAGAATATCTAGAGTGCTGGAGACCATGACTTCTCAGATTCTGTAAACACACTAATAATACCACAGTTTAGCTGACTGAGTTATAAGCATCAAATCAGACTGAGCAGAAATGAAAGTGAGTTTTGTTTACTTTACTGGCAATATGTCTCTTGTGGGAGAAGATAGGCTGGTAATATTAATATATTATTGAAATTAATAAGTACAAGACAAGCTAACATTTGTAGCTCATTTGGCCTTTATTTGTTCTTTGATGAGCTATGGTGCCTTATTTTATTCGTTTATGCTTTTCTCATTTTTGTTCACTAATGTTCATCTCTGAGATTGATCTCTTGTGAAAAAAGGCCTTTGATATAAGGTTATAGTTTCTATTAAATGTAAGCTGACTCATAGGGATAGGTTTTGAGAAGCCAGTCTTGCTTAAAAAGAAATTTTTTAAAAAACTGGTGTGTGTGTGTGTGTGTGTGTGTGTGTGTGTCTGCATGTGTTACTATTTAGTAAAGTATCAAAGAGAAATGTAGTGGCCTTGGAAATGGAGAGATGATAGACCTTGTTTGAGATGAAGGAAGTGGAATCCTCTTAGAAGCCATGTATTTAATAAATGGTACAACCTATCTAAACTCAGCACAAATATGTTCACAAAATTGGTCACATTTTTGTTACTTACTTGACCCTCTTCCCTAACATGGGCTATTAGTACTAAGCCCAGTTTCTGCCTTTGGTACAAAGTCTCAAATCTTCTACTTAACTGTATTGTTCAAGAACTCTAGGAACTGACTTTTTTCCCAGTAGGCTAGTCCTGCTTCCACTCTCTAAGTTAAGAGTCTGATTGGATGACTAGTGCCATATTTCCACAATGCCATACACTGTCACAGCTGAAGATGGGTCTTACAAATTCTAAAAGCTCTTTGCAGTCATGGCCTTGCTAGCTAGAGCCTTACTAGCACCAGAGTGAAAGACAAAAATAGGGCTTTAAAATTTCAGCTCTCTTATGCCATTTTCCACAAGGCTGACACCAGTCCAGATCTGCTGAATTCTAAAAAAATTCTGCCATTGGCTCCATGCTGGGCCATAATAATCACTGAACCCCTTGAACCTTGGTCACTATACTAGATGCCTCCTCTCCTCAAGGTTGGTTTCATTCCATGAGTTTTGTTACTTTTCCCTTCCAATGCACCTTCCAAATTTCATGTCCACCTGTCCTAGTCAATTTAGGCTGCCAAAACAAAATGTCATCAATTGGGTGGCTTAAACAACAGAAATGCATTTTCTCACAGTTTTGGAGCCTAGAAATCCGAGATTAGAATGCCAGCATGGTCAGGATCTGGTAAGGACACTCTTCCTGGCTTGTAGATGGCTGCCTTCTCACTGTGTTCTCATATTCAGAGAGAATGTGTGTGCAAGTTCTCAGGTGTCTATTCTTATGAGGGCACTCTTTTCATCATGAGGTCTACCATTGTGGCTTCATTTAAACCTACTTATCTCCCAAATGCCCATCTCTGACTGGGGGTTAGGGCTTCCACGTATAAATGGGGTGGGGGGTGGCTGTGGGGCAAAATTCAGTCCATAGCACCATCCTAGTTTACAACGACAAATCTTCGAGACTTCAAACATGTAGAATTGTAACCAATATTTTGTCAAGGGAATCCATAAAAAGCCAAGGTAGATAACCCATCTGAATTCAATGCCACTTAGTCTTTTTCAAGTCTAATCATCTGAAATAGAAGACCTTTCTGCATCTTTAATTCATGGCAAAGCCAGAGATATCTGACTACACTGATTACTTCCCACCTGGGGGACAATGAGTACAGGAGAGCTTCATTTCAAGTTCTAGGCATTCTTCTTTTCTTTTTGAGAGAATTTGTACAACAGAGAATTTTGAGAAGCTGGATAAAATGCCCAAAAAACCAAAGTGGGTGTCCTAGAAATATCATGAGTACATTCTCTATGGATATACTATGCTTCCTCTCAGAAAACAAACCCACTATTATCTCAACCCCAGTGTCGTTTGTCCTTCAGAAGATACCTTGCTTATTTGTCCTTTAGAATATACAATGACTTATTCTAATTTTCTTTTATCTGTTTACCCCAAAGACAAACAAATACCAATGGAATCTGAGAGTTTAATTGTCAAGATGCATCCACATTTATCAAATAAATTACTGAGTTTGAAACCAAACAAGGTTGACAAGTCCTCATTTAGTAACCGCATCTGGCATGGTATGAAATGTCTTGCAGGCTTTCGTGGTAATGAAGCTTTGAAGAAAAGTAGTGTTCACATAGGAAGTCTAACCAAAAGGAAACTTGGATTAAGGTCAAACCATCCTTGCCCTAGTGGCTTGAGGTTGTTCCTCTTTGTTTTTCTTGAGCTCTCTAGAGAGGGTCTGACCATATTCTTCCGCCCCTAACTACCACATGTAGAATCACAGCATTGGCAGGGGACTTGGTGGTCAGCTAATCTAAACCTTTATTTGAGTCACAAATTCCTCCACTGTTGTAATGATTGACAGAGATGGTCTAGAGTACAAATGAATGTCTGCATACTCTGAGTCGAAATAGTTCAAAGTTAAAAACGAAGTTAAAATGGTTAAAGAAATGTTTTTTTCTTCCAAAATTGATTTTAAAAAATACCTTGATAACCTCTTGGAAAACAAAATTGAAGTTTAGAATTCTCAGACCCCTTGGCATTCTACTCTAGTGGAACTATATACTATAGTGGAAACACTATAGTGATGCAAGGAAAGCTAGTCCTGGCTCAGACTGAAAGTCCTCTCTTTTCAATCTCTTTTGTGATCCATTCTACACTATATTTACTGTGTCTCATATGTGTTGTGTCTCACACTAGCCCACAACTATAAGTTCAATCCACATAACTTACAACCAGTGGCCCCATGGCCACCTCTCAGATCTAAATGTATGTACCTTTGAGAGAGCAGATCTTCACAGGCCCTGAACAAGGAAGTTGGGCATGGAATTTCCAGACCTGGATTCTCCAGTTTGTGGTCAAGAAGGAGGAGGAAGAAGAGGAGTAAAGCAAAGAAGATAGGGCCAGAGGGGCATGGCCGGAATGAGGCTCTATAAATGTGAGAACTATGGCACATATCCCGTTGCCCAAGTATAAGGACAGTACTATAGTTTATCAACACCAGGAGTTGTCAGGATATTAACACACTTCAGAATTAAAATAGCAGCATATCACTAGAACAAATTCCAGAGTCAAGCAAGATTTTGCCTTCAGACTTCAGCAGCCAAAATGTGCTAGTTGGGAGAGTGCAATTCCAGAACCGAGGTTTAGTTCCAAGAGCCCCTGAAGTTCTCCTCTCCTGGAGACTTCAGGAAAAGTCTCCTTTTAGGTCTTATGTGGGTTCCATGTCAGGGTCCCCAGTGATTCTGAGTATCCAGTGTAAGTCTTAGCTGAATCGGGCCTGCTTTCAGCAACTGTCCCAAGATGAAACCCAAAGAAATATATGTCCCACTGCCATGATAGATTTTGAATGTCTTTTCTGGTCAGACCAGGCTCATTGTTCTTCTAAGACCCAAGACACTGCGCCAGAGAGCCTAAATCCATGCTGTGGAGAATATGTGATGCGTCTGTATTAGTCAAGGTTCCCCAGAGAAACACAACCAATGGATGAGAGACAGAAGTGGGAGAGACAGACAGAGAGAGATTTATTTTAAGGAATTGACTCACATGATTATGGAGACTAGCAAATTCAAAATCTGGAGGGTAGGTCAGCAGTCTGGAGACCAGGGAAGGTTTGATGCTGTAGCTCGAGGCCAAAGGTAGTATGCTGATAGAATTTTTTCTTTTTGAAGGGAAATTAGTCTTTTTTCTCTTAAGGCCTCCAACTGATGGGATGAGGCCCATCCACAATATGGAGGTAAACTGCTTTATTTAAAGGTTGCTCATTTAAATATTAATCTTAAAAAAATACCTTCACAGCCACATTAGACTAGCATTTGACCAAATATCTGGGTACCATGATGTAGTCAAGGTGACACACAAAATTAACCATCACCAGCTCCATGACAGCTAATTTGTTCTTGAACACAACAGCAGGTGATGCTACTAAAAATAAGACGTTGTTTGCCACGTGCTATTACATTTTGTAAAGTTCTATTTGAACATGTTCCTCTTACTACCTACCCAGGAAAATACCAGTAACCTAGGGGAGGCCCAGCAGGCTCTAATGGTCTAATGGTCTGAAACTTCAGGCTTTATTTTCATTCCAGGCTGCTGGCAGGCAAAAATGTTTAGTATTGAAAAGATATATAACCTCTGTGGGGTAGCAGCTTTACTAGGCATGACCACATTTCTACAGGAAGAGTTTGAATTTCAGTTTTCAGGAAACCCTATATTTGGCAAATTTGGGTGATATGTCAAGCCCCATAAATAAAAGCAGGCCAGGTTATATATAATTATACTGATTACCTTTCCAGTCCACTTTTTGATGCCAGAACCTGAGGTAGTATATTTAGGTATTAGTTTCTCACATGTTGCTCTCCTCTATTTCCTTCATACTTTGCATCAGAAAAAAAAAATGTTTCTTTCTCTCTGTCTCTCTATCTTTATGTATGTGTGTGTGTGTGTGTGTGTGTATATATATATATATAATGGTACACTGAAAACAACTTGTTCTGCCAATATTCGAACAACTGTTTTCCTTGTGAAAATGAAAGGCAGGTGTAGAAGAGATACCTCTTAGACTCCTCTCAATTCCAAAAATGTCAAGGAAAGTCAGGAACTTTCAGTGAACATATAAAGTAGCCTCAACTGTCAGAATTGAAAATCTCCTTGAGCAGTCTTTAGACCACCACACATTTCTAGTATTTGCTTGCCCCATCTTAAAGGATGGGAATTTTCTGTATTACAGTGAAAATTCAATGTCTAAAATCAAAATCAGATACAGCACCTTTCCTATGAGCTCTGGTAAACATTGGCAAGTTGCAGAAGATAAAGCCTGACGTCAAAGGAAATTAAGCTAACAACGTGAGCTCTTCTCTTATTCCAATCTTACCTCCTTGGTCCAAATTCCCTGCTTGGGACCAATACCAAAAGCCACCAGAACTTTTCTTTCCTTTATTTACTGATCACATACTATATAATTAATACAGCTCTATAAATCATGAAAGTCCTTGTCTTGGAAGAACTCTCTGTTTAGCCCTCGGAAAAAAAAATATGCACATAATTATAACATGTCTGGTTAAGTAACAGATTTATGCAGCAATAGCATGGGGACAAAGGAAGGGCATTGGAGGCACTAGGCAACATGCTTTCCTGGAAGGAGCTTCAGTGATGATGTCTGTATCACATGGTCAAAGGAGCAGCAGCAGTGCCATTAGCAGCACATAGTACCACCAAGGTGATGCTGGAGTACTCAACCAGGACAGCTTCCAAGTGGTTGCAAGCCAGGAGGCCTAAGGGACCAGGAGGAAGTGGGAGTTGGGAAATACCTTGATCATCTCCTCCATTTTGAGCCAAAGTTCTTGACTTAATGGAGCTGCAATTTCAACAGTTCCCCCTAATGAGAGCTGGGATGTGGAATAGGTGTTCAATAATTTGCATATACCCCAAGCTAGCATGCCTGAGAAAATACTTATTCTGTTATTTTCAGAGACTTCCAGATAATACCCCATTTCAATGAATTCAACTTAGAAGTTTCAAAAAAGTTGCACCATATCGTAGTGCTTGAAGGAAGGTATTTATCACTGAATTGTAGATTCATATTTGTAGATGACAAGTTTTTAAGGAAAACAATGCCCCTAATCACTGATCTCAAGAGTCCTCTTAGAATAGTCAGTGGGTCAACGGAGTGGAATCTGCATGACATTCCTCTCACTAGCCCTTAGGTTTCTACACTGACCAAATAGTTTACCAGACTTTCACAAACCTAGCAAAGTCTTATCTATTCACATCTACATATAGATAAATTCACAGCAAACTTAAATGACAGACAATTGTACAATCACGATCAGTATGTGTTAACTTTTTTTGATCTTTCAAATAACTTGGTCATTATATAATGAAGAAATGTATGCTGGGTTCACATACCACTGAGAGCTATAAAGAAAATATGTCTTGTTTTCCCTGTGACTGGCCTGACGTTCCTCACCAGCCCCCTTGCCTGCATAGCACTGCAGTATGTGTGTATGTGTGAGGAGATGGTGGAGGGGGTACAGACCTAGTTTAATCCACTAGTCGTATCTGTCTCTTTAGGTAACTTAGTTTCATCTGGGATTACTCATAAAAAGTTTCAGAGCCTCCTTTCCTCTATTAAGAGTGAGCAAGAAGTTCTGACACAAAATGTGCTTAAGAGCAGGGCAGTCAGTCACAGGATTATTGCTCTATTACTTCTCTGTCTGCAGATAACTTGAAACCATCCTCTCTCCTTGCTTTGAAAAGCAATAAAATTCTTAGCCATACCCTCTGATCTTCCAACCCACTTGCTGGTCGGTTCTTTTCTCTCTGTCTTCTCCCTATAAACAGGTTTTTTATCTGCCTCATTTGGTAGCTTCGACTGCCAAATCTTACTCCGTATGAATTTCACAGTGGTTTTCTTCCTTACTGCATAGGCCTACTCCTCCCAGGAACTCTGGAGTGGCTGTTAATGGTGGCCTAAAGCATCCATTTTCCTTTCTTCCTTTCCAACAGAATGGAAGATATCCACCCCTTTCTGGCCAGGTATCTACTTCTTTCTGACTCAGCCCACAACCTCAATAGCCTGACTAGCCAAAGAGTTATCTAATAACTTTTCCCACTGTTGGTTCTGGAGTGAACGTGTGACCCAAATCAACTAAAGGTCTCCAGAGGAAACGTTTCCTTATGCTTGAGGGACCTTTCAGGAAGCAAGTCTTTCCTACACCAGAAGTGGAAGTAAAAGCATGTAGCCCTGATTGCAGCTGGCAGCTGTGGGAAACTGTCCTCAGAATGAAGCCTGTGTTCAGCAGAACCTAGAGCTGAAAAGCATCTGAGTCCATGAACCTGAAGCCCAGTGAATCTATGATGTATAGTTACACGAGTCGATGGTTTTCAACATGGCTTAAGCTAATTTGACAAACTTGTGGCTGAAAGTATTCTAACAGACGCAAACTTCGTTGGACATTTTAAAGTATGTACTCTGTGGAAAAGCAACTGATAATTGCCTTTTTTAGTTATAGGTGCATGAATAATTCACTCTGCCTGAGTGTTCTTGAAAAATGTGGAAAAATTGTTCCTTATATATCCACTTGTAGACCCTTTACCTTTCTATATTATCTCTTAATGGCCTCATCTGCTCACGTAAATAACTTAAAATTTAATCTCTACATTTAAAGGAAGACTATTTCATGGTAAACCCCTGAGAAGAAATTTTTGTGCTTTTAGCATGCTCACCATTTACAGGTAAGAAGACAAAAATACTGAGAAGAAAAAGATTTGCTCAAACCTACAAATTTCCATAATCTAGGTAATTGTCACAAGTACAAATCACTGTAGGACAATTGAGCAAACATACAAAAGGTTGTGACTTTGACAAGCTGGATCCAGATTCTTAACTTTGCCAGTACAATTCTACTTTGGTGATATATGAAGATTATTACACTATCAAAAAGAGAGGTCCTTGGGGAGACTGTAAGCTATTAGTTTCAAAAGATTCTCATCTTCTTGAAGACAGATGTAGGAAAATCATATTGACCATGCTTACAGTAGAGTAAAAAAAATAGCCATTCTACATTGAAGGAACATACAAATCACATTTCCTCTTTTGTGTGACGTAATCTCCCTCTGTTACCCAGGCTGGGGTGCAGTAGCACCATCTCGGCTCATGGGAGCCTCTGCCTGATGGGTTCAAGCTGTTCTCGTGCCTCAGCCTCCTGAGTAGCTGGGATTACAGGCGTGCACCACCATGTCTGGCTAAATTTTGTATTTTTAGTAGAGACAAGATTCTGCCATGTTGGCCAGACTGGTTTCAAACTCCTGGACTCAAGTGATCTGCCCACCTTGGCCTCCCAAAGTGCTGGGATTGCCGGGGTGAGCCACCTCACCATGCCTGCCCACACTTCCTCTTTTAAATAACCCTTTAAGTGCTGCATCTTTATGAAGGTTTTTTTAATTTGAATCTTCTTAATTTTTGGCTCACAAACCTTTATAAGAGAGCTAGAAAAGAAAAATAAGGTTGAAATAAAATCAATTGGTTGTTCTGTGGTTATTTTAAGAAGTGTAATTTAAGTTTCATTTAAGAAAGTTTTCTGTAATAAAATTTGGATTATTTTATTTTTGTCATTTTTCCTTATTACATTTATTATTATTAATATTATTATTAGGCCGAGCATGGTGGCTCATGCTTGTAATGCCAGCACTTTGAGAGGCTGAAGTGGGAGGATCACCTGAGGTCAGGAGTTCGAGACCCACCTGGCCAACATGGTGAAACCCCATCTCTACTAAAAATAAAAATAAAAAGAATTAGCTAGGCATGGTGGCACGTGTTTGTATTCTCAGCTACTAGGGAGGCTGAGGCAGGAGAATTGCTTGAATCTGAGAGATGGAGGTTGCAGTGAGCCAAGAGCATGCCACTGCACTCCAGCCTGGGCAACAGAGCAAGGCTTTGTCTCAAGAAAAAAAAAATTTAATTCAAATATAATTTTAAATAAGACCTTGAAAATATACCAATCAAGTAAAATTGCTTCAATAGGGTATTTGCTGGGGGATTTCCAATTATTCAAGGGGATAAAGCTGGCACATTGGTGAGAAGACCACCCACATACTCTTTACATCTAGAAAGTGTAGTTTTCTTAGGTACGTGGGCAATCCTAAACACTTGTGCCAGATTTCCTTTCCTTGCCAAAGCACTGAAGAATCTTGGCAGCTAAACAAAGAATTGAACCCTACATTTTCTATCAGGTAAGTAGAGTTCTGGCTAGATGAAAGCATGATAACAGTAAAACAAAGAGGAAATCCTTAATACCCAACAGTAATGCCGCAGTTTTGCTCCACGGCCAGGGTAGGAATGCAGGATCTTTGGCAATTCTGCCAGGGGAGGTGTAGTCATGTGGTGGTGGCGTGGGAGTGGGTGCAGGGAGTGGTTTGATCAGCTGAACCAGAGCCGTCTGAGAGAAGGTTCTATGGCTCTCTTCTTCTGGGAGCAGCCTGCCTCTAGGAGGCTGCTCATTATTTAGGATGAGTAGTAAGGGAGAAATTACTGCCTCTGCTGATGATGATGATGGAAATGACGTGATGATTTAGAAAAAGAAAATGATGATGGCCGACATTTATTGAGTTCTTGCTATGAACTGCAGTTAAACGCAAATGCTTTTTGTGCATTAGCTCATGTCACAATGTCCAAGAGAAAAAAGGAAAGGAAAAACAAACAAAAAACAGAGGTGCTACTAAGTCACTTCCTTATAATTTCTCACCTAGAACAACCTGCAAACTAGTCTCTTTAGGCTTGTCCTGTTCAAATTGATCCTCCAACCTATCAAACTGACTTATTTAAGACAGAAATGTGACCACATCCTTCCTCTAACCTTTTAACCAGCTGTCTGTTGCCTACCAGGCAAAATCCAGGGCCCTTAGTATGGCTTTTAAGGAGAGCCTTTCAGAACTGAGCTCCTACTGCCTCTGCAGCCTAAGCTCTTACCACACCCGACTACCTTCTGGCCAAATCCCACTCTGTTATGACTCGGTTAAGGAAAGACCAGGCCGGGCGCGGTAGCTCACGCCTGTAATCCCAGCACTTTGGGAGGCCCAGGTGGGCGGATCACGAGGTCAGGAGATAGATACCATCCTAGCTAACACGGTGAAACCCCATCTCTACTAAAAATACAAAAAATTAGCCGGGTGTTGTGGCAGGCGCCTGTAGTCCCAGCTACTCGGGAGGCTGAGGCGGAGAATGGCGTCAACCCGGGAGGCGGAGCTTGCAGTGAGCCGAGATTGGAGATTGTGCCATTGCACGCCGGCCTGAGCGACAGAGCGAGACGAGAATCCGTCTCAAAAAAAAAAAAAAAAAAAAAAAAAGGAAAGACCAAAAACTGAGCAACTCGGTTCAGACTGTTTCTTCCTGGGAAGCTTCATGCTCACCCACTTGTTCAACTGCATTATAAATATGCTACACTGTGAGCTTCTGTAGGTAGAGTCTCAGGGCTTACTAGAGTGCTTGGCACAGTCTAAGGGCTCAGTACATATTTCCAAATGAAAACAATGAAAAGATAGACATGGAAGTCTGGCAGAAGGAGATAAAAATGTCACCTTCATTACTATAAAGCTGACAAAGGAGGGTATAGCTTACGTGCAGTGCAACAGAGGACTTCCTAAAACTGCATTCCAAAATTAGGTAGACTAACAGCTATTCACAGTGCACCTCCCCATAGGGGCCTGCCTCTGTAAACCAGACCACAAAGGAGCTCAGCCACTGTAGCTCCTGAGGTCAGCTAGCTCTCAACTACACAGAACCAGTGTATTTCCCAAATGCTCCCATGGAAGAGTTTCCCCTTCTCTTCTGGGGCAGAGTGAACCAACTGGGAGAGAAAGGCCAAGAGAGTTATAGCAACTGAAGTCCAACTGCTTTGTAAACACAGAGGCAGCTGAAGTTGCCCTGCCCCAGCCCCAATATCCTCCTGTGCACTGATTGATTTAGATGCTGGTAATGCTTCCTACCAGTGACAGGGAACTTCCAGTCTATCTGTCAATGGATCATCTTTTGATTTCCCCTATCTAATTTCCCCTGCTCAGGTAATCTATGAACACATATTGAATGACATACTTAATAAACATTTTATGAATATTTTTAAATAGTTTTGGCTTTTAAAAGACTGTGGCCAGGCACAGTGGTTCACGCCTGTAATCCCAGCACTTTGGGAGGTTGAGGCTGGCGGATCGTTTGAGCCCAGGAGTTCGAGACCAGACTGACAACACAGGGAGACCCTGTCTCTACAAAAATTAGCCGGGTGTGGTGGTGTGCACTGGTAGTTCCAGTTGCTCAGGAGGTGAATGTGGAAGAATCATTTGAGCCTGGAGGCAGAGGATGCAGTGACTAGCCAAGATTGCGCCACAGCACTCCAGCCTGGGCGACAGAGTGAGATCTGTCTCAAAAACAAAATGAACAAACAAACAAACAAACAAAAAAGATTATACCTTCCACTTGACTCAGTCAATTTAATGAAACCTAGAAAACATCTATTGAGTCCCTGCCAAATGCCACACACTGTGTAGTATAAATATGAAGACATCACAGTGGTCCTCTGGTATTAGCCAACCAGCCAAACCTACTGGATCTTTTCTCTTAGAGGAAAGGGAATATAGACGCTTGTTAGATCAAAAGGAACACATATAAATGTTGACAATGTTTTTTCTAATTTCCAAATGTTTTTCTGAGTAGCTAAGTGACTGTTCACCCAGAGTTTTAGACATTTCCCTTCTCCTATTGACAGCATTAATTAGAGCCAACACACTAAAATTCTAAAAAGTCATGGAAACCTCTGAAGGGCCATTTATCTTCCCACATCTCTCCCACATTGCCCCATCTCGCAAAGGCATGCAATTACTAAAGAGAAGAACTGGGTGAAAGAGTTGGATGGATTGTTCAAATCCATCACTATGACTGAAAAACAACTCAAACTAGCCAATGGATTGTTTCTCCTCCCTAAAGGAAGGTATCATGCTCACTCAACTCTCCCATCCTGGATTCCTGGTTCTTCCATTATTCTTTTGTTTAAAAAAAAAAAAAAAGTCCTAACATCTGATATTTCTTTTTCTTTTTCTTTTTCTTTTTTTTTGGTTTTTTTTTTTTTTTGAGATTGAGTCTTGCTATTACCAGGCTGGAGTACAGTGGTATGATCTCAGCTCACTGCAACCTCTGCCTCCTGGGTTCAAGCGATTCTCCTTCCTCAGCCTTCTGAGTAGCTGGGATTACAGGCACATGCCACCACGCCCAGCTAATTTTTGTAGTTTTAGTAGAGACGGGGTTTCACCATGTTGGTCAGGGTGGTCTCGAACTCCTGACCTGGTGATCCGCCCGCCTTGGCCTCCCAAAGTGCTGGGATTATAGGCATGAGCCACCGCGCCCGACCAACATCTGATATTTCTAAGAATTCTATTTTGTATATTATTTAACTAGGTTCTAGAAGACCACCCACAGTTTTTCACTAGATCCTAAACTCACAATACTTTTTTTTGTTTTTTTTATTTCATATCACCTTACATTTTCTTATCACCAAACTGACAGAACTATTCAAAACACACACACACACACACACACACACACACACACACACACACACAGCAAAACCAAGAATTCCTAAAAGATTTAGATTCAGAGTCTACTCTCAATTTCAACTTCTTAGCCAAGCCACTAAAGAGAAATTTGTAATTTTGTTTCTCCTATCCACTCACCAACTATAGTAAATGATGCATATAAAGCTACTAAAATTTGGAGCAGGCCTCCACTTTCTCTGCATTGTTCCTGACTGCCAGCAAAACAGCTTTTACTCTTTCCTCCTACTTCGAGGCCTCTATCAGATTAGTGGTGGCAGCATAAAGTAATTTCTAAAGGTACTTCCATTTTCACTTTGCAATTGCTTGGAAGCATATATTGCTTAATAAGCAGGGAAACTGAGGCTGGTATTTCTGCTTAGAAAGAAACGAGACTGACAAAATTAAAGCAATCTAAAATTCTTTATCTTACATGCGACATTTTTCTGTTAATTTATGAGATATCATATGGCTTGATAACAGTGATTTAAAAAAAAGAATATATGTGGCTTCATGGGTATGTATAAATCTTTTGTTCTGAAATACCATGAATAAGGAACATGGCAAAAAAAAAAAAAAAAAAAGGGCCGGGCGCGGTGGCTCACGCCTGTAATCCCAGCACTTTGGGAGGCCGAGGCGGGCGGATCACGAGGTCAGGAGATCGAGACCATCCCGGCTAAAACGGTGAAACCCCGTCTCTACTAAAAATACAAAAAATTAGCCGGGCGTAGTGGCGGGCGCCTGTAGTCCCAGCTACTTGGGAGGCTGAGGCAGGAGAATGGCGTGAACCCGGGAGGCGGAGCTTGCAGTGAGCCGAGATCCCGCCACTGCACTCCAGCCTGGGCGACAGAGCGAGACTCCGTCTCAAAAAAAAAAAAAAAAAAAAAAAAGGCAGCACATCCCAGAGTCTAAGCATATCATTGTCAGCATGAGGGGCGGTGGGATCTTAGGGGACTCATTATATTTCCACATTTTATTTTCTAGAAAGAAAGAAAAGAAGGAAAGAAAGAAAGAGAAAGAAAGAAAGAAAGAAAGAAAGAAAGAAAGAAAGAAAGAAAGAAAGAAAGAAAGAAAGAAAGAAAGAAAGAAAGGAAGGAAGGAAGAAAGAGAAAAGAGAGAGATAGAGAGAAAAGAAGGAAGAAAGAAAGGCATGAGCCATGACACTTTTTAAAAATCCCTACCTATACTTAATCAGAATCTACAGGAGATACGATAAATAAAAGAAAATTGTAGATAGTAGAATCATAAATATTTTAGGGACTTCTGCAAATCACTTTGCATATGCATTTTTTAAAATCTCAAATGTATTATTTATACTTATACAATATGCATTAAATATTGAAAAGGATTTCGAAAGAGACTTTCACGTATTAAAAAAATTCATCATTGGGCTTTGAAGATAATGTTTATTTAATAAAAACATCCAAGTGTTTCTTTGCCCAAAGCATTTTAAAGTAATGAAGAGAAAGTGGGTCTTCCCATGAGCACATTTGTAGGGACAGTAGGGGGGAGTTTGCAAAAATTTTCTTACAGTCATCAATTTAAACCCATCTGGAGAAGCAATCAGTAATTCTATAATAAAACACTGGCTCTACAACATACCACTATAATACCCCATGTGGGATCCATTTTTATAATGTGCTTACCCTATATTTAATATGTCTCAATACATAGTATTGTTCAAGACCAAGTTTGAATACCTGCTAATTTCACATGAGAAGAGGCAGACAGGGATATCTATCTGTATCTATCTAAACAGATAGATAATATAGATTATAGTTATAGGTATGGGTGATATAGATACGAATGCAGTGCAGATATAGATACATACCAACTTAAAAATGTAAATAAGTTTAAGGTGGGAATAGGCAAATTAATAAAGATTAGTTTCACAAGTAGGATGTTGTAGTACCTTCTGCCTCTCCTATTATGTTGAATCCAGGGTAAATTATTGGTCAGTCAGACAGATGTCCTAAGCTGGCCTTTAGGGTGAACAAGGCTGTGTCAGAGAGAGTTACTCCCTCCAATCCTAGGACCCAGCAGCAGTAAAAATGATCTGTGGTGCTGCTTCCCATGACACTGGCTCATGAGTTTTGCCTTTGACCCTCCAGTCTTAGCTGCAAGCTCTATTCATATCAACCACATCTTCTCTGAGCCCTACAAGAACCACAACCTGGAAAGCCTGCCCAGATACACCCTTGACTGCTGCCAGCAACTACCACAACTCTAACCACAATCCAACCCTTTGGTACAGCACCACTTCATACCAAATACAAGTTAATCTACATCTCTTTTTCTTTTTACAAGTTAATCTATATCTAATCAGTTTCTTTCCCCTGAATCCAACAATCTTTTCAACTTTACTGCTTCTGTTAATGGCATTGTTTGCTTTAATGGTATGAAATTTGCAAATATAATATGTTCTTATTTTTTAAAAAAACAAAAAACAAAAAAACAAAAAGATAAATTGTACCAATTAATCAAAGTAAATCTTGTAAGACCACTCCATTCCCACATCCTTCCATCCCCATTCCCCAGAGGAAAACAGCATTAATCTTAGTGTTGTTATTTTCCGACACTTAGGCTTTTTCCCGCTGTTAACAAAAATCATATGGCATTATATATATATAATGCCATTATATATGTAATATTATATATTATCTCTATATATATAGATACATATCAACTTAAAAATGTAAATAATGCCATTATACATATAATATATATAATAGAATTATACATATAATATATATAATAGAATTATACATATAATATATATAATAGAATTATACATATAATATATATAATAGAATTATACATATAATATATATAATAGAATTATACATATAATATATATAATAGAATTATACATATAATATATATAATAGAATTATACATATAATATATATAATAGAATTATACATATAATATATAATAGAATTATACATATAATATATATAATAGAATTATACATATAATATATATAATAGAATTATACATATAATATATATAATAGAATTATACATATAATATATATAATAGAATTATACATATAATATATATAATAGAATTATACATATAATATATATAATAGAATTATACATATAATATATATAATAGAATTATACATATAATATATATAATAGAATTATACATATAATATATATAATAGAATTATACATATAATATATATAATAGAATTATACATATAATATATATAATAGAATTATACATATAATATATATAATAGAATTATACATATAATATATATAATAGAATTATACATATAATATATATAATAGAATTATACATATAATATATATAATAGAATTATACATATAATATATATAATAGAATTATACATATAATATATATAATAGAATTATACATATAATATATATAATAGAATTATACATATAATATATATAATAGAATTATACATATAATATATATAATAGAATTATACATATAATATATATAATAGAATTATACATATAATATATATAATAGAATTATACATATAATATATATAATAGAATTATACATATAATATATATAATAGAATTATACATATAATATATATAATAGAATTATACATATAATATATATAATAGAATTATACATATAATATATATAATAGAATTATACATATAATATATATAATAGAATTATATATATAATATATATAATAGAATTATATATATAATATATATAATAGAATTATATATATAATATATATAATAGAATTATATATATAATATATATAATAGAATTATATATATAATATATATAATAGAATTATATATATAATATATAATAGAATTATATATATAATATATATAATAGAATTATATATATAATATATATAATAGAATTATATATATAATATATATAATAGAATTATATATATAATATATGTAATAGAATTATATATAATATATGTAATAGAATTATATATATAATATATGTAATAGAATTATATATATAATATATGTAATGGAATTATATATATAATATATGTAATGGAATTATATATATAATATATGTAATAGAATTATATATAATATATGTAATAGAATTATATATATAATATATGTAATAGAATTATATATAATATATGTAATAGAATTATATATACTATATATGTAATAGAATTATATATATTATATATGTAATAGAATTATATATATATTATATGTAATAGAATTATATATATTATATATGTAATAGAATTATATATATTATATATGTAATAGAATTATATATGTAATAGAATTATATATATATTATGTATATAATAGAATTATATATATAATTCTATTATATACATAATATATATAATTCTATTATATACATAATATATATAATTCTATTATATATATAATGGCATTATATATAATATATATATCAGATGACTATATATATAGTCATCTGATTTTTATATATATGTGTGTATATATATACACACATATAGCTTTACAACTTGCTCTTTTCACTTACAACTTATCATTCAGGTCAGTTTATCTAGATTTACCTCATTTTCATATCATTTGATTGTATGAACATATAGTAGTCTACTTAACCATGACCTTACTGATGGTATTATAGTTTCTCAACACTGTGTTATCACAAACAAGGATGCAGTAAATATCTCTGACATATAACTTTAAGTACTCTTGCCCTCATTTCTTTATAAGACAAATTTTTAGAAGTGAAATTGTTGAATCATAGGGGATCCTTTAATAAATGCTGCCAAATTATTGAGACCAATTTTGGACTTGCTTTTCTTATTTTAACTTTTTCCTTGGTAGACTCAAACCCAGCCAATCAAAGACTATGGAAATTTCCTTTGTAATATCATCCTGCAATTTATTCCTGACCTGATATCCCCTTGGCTATATTTTTAAGTCTTTTTTAGACCCTAACATTCTTGGACACTGACTTTAGCTTCGGAACTGGTTTTTATATATCCTTTCTACACATTATTGCCATAGTAATCTTCTCAAACCTTGCCTTATGCATATCACACCTTTGTAATTTTCCATGAGTCCCTAATGCCTAAAAAAGGAACCTTAACTATGCTTCAAGATCCCTCACAATCAGGCTACAATCCTTCTCATTTTGTCCCAAAATTTAAGAGAGAATGAGAGAGAGATTTACCATGAGCCTCTCATTCTTAGGCACTTGCACATGCCTTAAATATTTAATCCTTATATCAGTTTCAGAGTTTAATGATATTTTTATTACCATAAAAATATAGAAACTGATGGATTGGGGAAGAAACTTGCTTCCCATCACACAGCTGTAGCATCTAGAGCTGTGGTTTGTGTAGTATATCTGACTGCTAAGGTCATGTACTTAACTATCAAGCCATATTTCAACTCAATTTAGCAAATATTTATTCAACATATACTACATGCAAAGTACTTTATTAAGTGTTACAGAGATTTAAAAATGTGAAACGGATGGCACACAATTGACACTTAATAATGGTGCCTGCTTCCCCAGCAGCAGCTCCTTCCAGGTAGCTATACTTTATGCCATGTGACTCTGCCTCTGTCAATAGCTGGTGAAAATAATGGTAGGCACCTGTTCCCACTGTCGATTGCAGTGTAACAGACACCCCAAAACTCAGCGGCTTAAAACAATGACAGTATTTATGCTGCTCCAACTCTGCAATTTAGCTAAGGTTCAGAGAGAACATCTTGTCTCTGCTTCACTCAGCATCAGCTGGGGACACGAAAAGGATAGGACTAGGAATCATCTGAAATCTTACTCACTTGTCTGGAGGTTGGTGCTTGCTGTCAGCTGGGTCCTCAGCAGGAGCTGTCACCAGGAACACCTTACATAGTGACCCCATGTAGTCTTTCCTCTTCCTCACGACTCAGGGCCTAGGTTCCAAGGGCTAGCTTCTCCGAAGGGCCAGGAAGAAGTTGTCTGCCTTTTAGAGCTTAGCCTTGAAAAGCACATAGCATAGCATCACTTCCACTAGTATTTACAGGCCCATCCAGATCCAAGGGGAGAAATGTAGACCCCACCTCATGATGGAGGGCTGCCAATGTCACATGGTGGCATGAGCATGTAAGCCAGTGGGGCCATTTTTGTAATACAATCTGCCACAGCACCTACAGACATGCCAATGTCCTTTCAGAGAAAGATAATCCAACAACCAAATTCTTTTTCAATGATATGACTTAAGAACAACTTACAGAATAAAACAGCTGCTGGAGACTAATCTGAAAGGACAAAATGCAGAAAGAGAAGAAAGTGGCCATGATGAAGCATGTGTTCACTGAAGTTATGAGCCAAACGGAAGTCAGGAATAAGAAGCCCTGTTCACCTTTAAGTCCCCAACAGAGCACAGTGCCAAATGCATGGTAAGTGCTCACAGTTGTCATATGAAGAAATTCATGAATGCTGGAAAGAGGGAAAACAAAAGGAAGGGTAAGTTTGGAAAGGGAAGATGAGATTCTACAGAGATATGTTAAGTTTGAGAATCCAGTTCTAGCTCCTCACTGACGTGTCTAACAAGCAGTTAGGGATGTAGATCTGTAGCTCAGAAGAGAGAGCAAGCATTAGGGACAGGGCTTAGGAAGCCATGAACAAGGGAAGCTTTGGCTTTGAATAAGATTACCAAAGAATCTCGTATTAGTCCATTTTCACATGCTATAAAGAACCACCGGAGTCTGGGCAATTTATAAAGGAAAAAGATTTAATTGACTTACAGTTCCACATGGCTGAGGAGGCCTCAGGGACCTTACAATTGTGGCAAAAAGTGAAGGGGAAGCAAGGCACATCTTACATGGTGACAGGAGGTGAGGGGGACTGCCAAAAACTTTTAAACCATCAGACCTCATGAAAACTTACTATCAGGAGAACAGCAAGAGTGGACCACCCCGATGATCCAATCATCTCCCACCAGGTCCCTCCCTTGACACATGGGGATGACAATTCGAGATGAGATTTGGGTGGGACACAGAGCCAAACCATATCAAATCTACATTATTCAGGTGGAATAATGAAGTGGTTAACATTATAGACTTTGAATCTGAGAACCTGGATTTAGTGTCTGTAATACCTGCTTCACCACTTACTGTGAGTTTTCTTAGGTTTAGTTGTTTAATATCTCTGTACCTCAGTATCCTGTTATAACATTGTTATAGTAATGAAACTACCTCAGAGGGCTGTGTATTAAGGGGTATAATGCCTGCAAAGTGCTTAGAACACAGTCTGCATAGAGTAAGAAATCAGTGCACATTTGTTACCATAACTGTTATCGGTTTTTAAAAAATATCTAAAGTTTAGGAATGAACAGAGGAAGAGCCAGAGAATACTAGGCAGGAAGTTCTTACGCAACCTTGTACAATATTCCTTATAAAAGTTTGAAGTTACATTCATTCCTGAGTTGCCTAACATCAAACAGTTGATCTATTAATAAAGAGGGGGTGGCATGGAGAAGAGTGTGTTCTATATCAATCTCTCTCAAAGTCGTGCTCTTTGGGGTGCATAGTAATTTCTGTTGTGTCAAAAAAAGTGTGTGCTGTACTCAAATAAATCTGAGAAATGCTGGATTACACAAAATTAAGTAGATGTTTCCTCAGACCCTATACTAAATGCATATACTAATATGTCCCATGGCTTGCTAAGGAGGGGCTATAGAATGCATCATTTCCAAAACTCCTTAGTTTTTTTATGGGATCATTCTGTTAAACTGACATTCTGTGGGACACAATTTCTCAAAGCTAATCAAGGTTAGTATTAAGCTTACTACAGAAGACTTTCTTTGGAAACTTCTTACAAATACATATTACTGAACCTGGCCGGGCACGGTGGTTCACACCTGTAATTTCAGGACTGTGGAAGGCCAAGGCAGGAGGATAACTTGAAGCCAGGAGTTTGAGACCAGCCTGGTCAACATGGCAAAATCTCTTCTCTACTACAAATACAAAAATTAGCCAGGCATAGTGATGCACGCCTGTAATCTCAGCTACTCGGGAACTGCAGCATGAGAATCACTTGAACCCGGGAGGTGGAGGTTGCAGTAAGCTGAGATCGTCCCACCGCACTCCAGCCTGGGTGACAGAGGGAGACTCTGTCTCAAAAATAACAACAACAACAACAACAACAACAAACACACATTACTGAACCTACCAACACAGATTCTGATTCAGAAAGTCTAGAGTGCGGGTAAGGTACCTGTAATTTTATTTTTATTTATGTATTTGTTTGCATGTTTGTTTTAGAGACAGGTTCTCGCTATGTTGCCCAGGCTTGTCGCAAACTCCTGGGCTCAAGCAGTCTTCCCGCCTTTATCTCCTGATCGGCTGGGACTATAGGCACCTGCCACCACTCCTACCCAGGAACCTGTATGTTTAAAAAGTTCCTCAGTACGCTCTTGCCTCTGGCAACCTAGAAGAGGAATTTGACCCTGCCCACAATCCCTCTTTCCCTTTCCAAACTGTTCTCAGAAAAGCAGCTCTACAAGAATGATAGCAAATCCAATAATGTATCTGGGTTGATTTCCCAGAAATTCATCAAACCAGCACAGCATGGAAGTTACTTATATACCTATTATACTTTCAGAACCCTTCAGACAGTCAACATGGATGAAGGCTAATAATTTGATTACCATAAAAATATAACTAGGAAAAAATAGTTGTAGGCTTTACATATAAAGAAATTTGAACTACAGCCCCACAGAATTAGTGACAATCTGAATTTCCAACAGAACTTTGAGGCAGAGTCAGATTAGAATATTTTTTAAAACTTGCTTAGAATTAATATCTAACAAAATGAGGATAGTTGTGTTCTCGGTATTATCTGTTTAAAATTTAATCTAAGAATAGACTCTGAGATTTTCTTGAAGAGCAGTTAGTGCTGAGCATATACTGACCTAAGAACAGATACACTTCTAAATCTAATTTAGGAGAATCATTTTGGAAATAAGACAATTTTTTTCTTGTGAACATTCTATCTAGGAAGAATTCAGCAGAATGAATATTCATCATTTAACATATTTCTATTTTTATAGTCTGCTTCAAAACTTTTATAGTAAAAATAAGATAAAAGTATAGAATCACTTCCAGATTTCTCTACACACTCAAGCAATTATTCATTTTATATGTCTGGCAGGATGGGTTTGATTGTGGTCACCCTCTTTGTCTCTTCCATTACCCCTGGTACTGAGAGGGTGCAAGTGAGGATAAATTAGCCAAGAGGCCACCCACACTGAGCTCTTCCAGACTGAAACAAACAAACAAACAAACAAAAACATTAGAGTCAGAAAAACTAAATATAACACATGTTCCTAGATTGCATTCTATAAAGAATATTATTGGGATAATTAACTAACTTGAACAGAGTTTGTGAATTTAATGTTAGTGTCAATGACAATGTCCTGATTTTGATTCTTGTGTATTGGTTATCTGAAAAATGCCCTTCTTGGAAGAGTTACACATTATTCAACAGTGATGCGCTCTCTGTTCACAATGTACTCTCAAGTAGCTCCAGAAAAAAAATGTTCTTTGTGCTATTCTTGCAGCTTTTAACATTTGAAGTTATTTTAAAATTAACATTATCTTTAGCATTTTAAAAAGATAAAGTTGATTTTATGGCCTGTGAGTTTATCATTGATTTTCTCAGATTCTCTGGGTAAACTATATCAACTGTAAATAGTTTTATTTCTTCTTTTCCATTTCCTGTGAATCGATTTTTTTCTTTTTTAATTGTGTTGGTTATAATCTCTAGGAAAAAAATGTTCAATAGATGGAGAGAGAGTAAGCATCCTTACCTTTTTGTAATCTCAGTGGAAATACCTCTAGTATTTTCTGACTAAACATAACACCGGCTTTAGGACCGAGGTATAGAAAAATATGCATTATCATTTCTCAGCCTTATGGCTAAGATCAAGTGTAGAAAATATGCCTCAATTTCTATTTTCTTGAGTGTTTTTATCAGGAATAGGAATTGAGTTTTGTTTAAAAGCCCCCCACCCCCGCTTTTTTTTTTTTTTTTTTTTTTTTGCGCCAAGTGTGGTGGCTCATGCCTGTAATCCCAGCACTTCGGGAGGCTGAGGCAGCAGAATTGCTTGAGACAAGGAGTTTAAGACCAACCTAGGCAAAATAGTGAGGCCCCATTTCTAACAAATCAAAATAAAAATATTAGCCAGGTAGAGTGGTACATGCCTGTAGTCCTACCTGCTTGGAAGACTGAGGCAGAAGAATTGCTTGAGCCCAGGAGGTTGAGGCTGCAATGAGCTATGATTGCACCACTGCACTCCAGCCTGGGTGACAGTGAGACCCTGTCTCCAAAAAAAATTTGTTTAATAAAATAAAATTAAAAGAATTTTAAAAAGCCTTTTCCCCAACTGAGGATAATATACAATTAATCTTCTTATATCTACTAATATAGTATTTAAATTAATAGATTTCCTCATATTGAATCATCCTTGCATTCCAGAAATAAATCCTACCTGGTCATGGTATATTTTCTTAATGTGGTGTTTGGATTCTGTTTTCTAATATTTACTCTAGCATTTTTGCATTGATATTGGATAATGGCTTGTAGTCTTGTTTACACATTAGAGTCATTTTCCTCCATACCACTTTTAGGAGAACAGTTTCCATGAAAGGGAGCTTGATGATAACAGAAAAGATAAAGAGACAATCTAACACAGAAATAGACCTGTCTTAGGGCCACATAAATTAAGGGGAGGTTGCTGACTCCTCTCTTACTGACTAGGTGACCTTAGAGAAGTTATTCCTCCTCTTCTGCCCTCAATTTTCTTGCCTATCAATTAGACGAACCTACTCAAAAGATTGTGTGAGAATAAAATGACAAGATGTCTATACAGACTTCAGTACAATGCCTGACACAATGTAAGCTCACGTAAACACTGGTATACCCTATTTTATTAAAAAGAACTACTTTTCTTCTACTGCCTCTCACATTATAATAATGCATAAAGACATATGTGGACAGATGTCATAGTTTCATCAGCAGGCAGATAGTCCCCAATACCATTTTGTCATGATTACCAGGCCACAGAGGAGTTTAGGCAGCTAATCTAGGGAGCTAGGTTTGTATTTTTTCTCTTCTTTTATAGTTACTCCATTCCAGACTAGAAGTTTGAATTTATAATTTTATTTAATTAATTAATTTTGTGTATTTATTTTTGAGACGGAGTCTCACTCTGTCGCCCAGGCTGGAGTGCAATGGCGTGATCTTGGCTCACTGCAACCTCTGCCTCCCAGGTTAAAGCGATTCTCATCCCTCAGCCTCCTGAGTAGCTGGGACTACAGGCACCCGCCATCACACCCAGCTAATTTTTAGCTGTATTTTTAGTAGAGAAGGGGTTTGAATTTAAACAGTGAGCTTTTCATGGTTATTGAGTAGGAGTAGGAGGAGGGGGGAACTGTAAAGGAATGAAAAAGGAAGAGGAAACTTCTTGAACCCCTCCTACATACCAGGAACTAATTTAGGTATATCTGCAGTTATTATGTGAGGAAAGGTGGAAGGTTGCATCAAGATTGTAGAACTCCAGAACCACCTTGACAGGTGAATGAGTATGGGCATTGTCTCTCTATCTAACAGTTGAGATCAACTTTTGTTCTTTTCTTCTCACTCATAACCTCTTCAAATAGAATAAAGAGATGCGTTTTCTCTGGGTTGGGCTCTCAGTTACTCTGGCTGTAAGTGCTCTGAACATCAGGAAATCACTCTGTACAGGGTGTCAGCTGGGCTTCTAAGACTCCTGCGTGTGGAGGAGTTAAGGAGAGTGAACATTTATCAATACATTTATTCCACAACATTTTTATTATGAATGTGTTGATTCTGCAACTCTTCATTAGACTGTAGAGGTAGAAATGCTGTCTACCACTCTAAGACTGATAGACCTAGAGCACTGTAGGAATGCCCTGGAAAAAGAAATTGGCCTGAAGATGTTGGCATTTGTGCGGAACCTAGAAAGTCAGAGTTAGAAAGCAAAGCAAAGCTTGTGGGAGACAGCACAGTACATGTATTAAGGAACAGACTCACACAGATCTAGGTCTGCATTTTGTCTTCCTATCTTTCTTACTATTGACTTTGGACAAGTTCTTTATTTTTCTCAGCTTTAATTGCATTTCTGTAAATTTAGGGAAAAGTACCTTATAGGGTTATAGTGAAGTTATAAAGGAGATAATGTAGGTAAAACACTTAGCACAGTACCTGGCTTATAACTGCTCAAATATAATGGCCATTATTATTATCTGGTCTTTAGCAGTGTTCACTTCTTGCCTCCATCAACAATCTTTTCCTTAGACTTTAAGCTTCTGCTTTTTTTTCTTTAAAGACTATTTTTTGGTTCACAGCAAAATTGAGATGAAGGTACAGAGATTTCTCATATATCCCCATCCTCACACAAACATGGCCTTTCCCCTTATTAACATCCCCGCCAGGGTGGTATGTGTGTTACAACTGGTGAACTGGTGAACCTATATATTGATGCATTGCCATCACACAAAATCCATAGTTTACATTAGGGTTCACTCTTGGTATTGTACATTCTATGGGTTTAGACAAATATATAATAACCTGTATCCACTATTACAGTATCTTACGGAGTATTTTCACTGCCCTAAAAATCTTCTGTGAAGCTTCTTTTTTTAAAAAACAGCTTTTATTGAGATATAACTCACAGACCATATAATTCACCTACTTAAAGTTTACAATTCAATGGTTTTTAATATATTCAAAGAGTCATCCAGAAGCTAACTTTAGAATATTTTCCTCTCAAAAGAAAATCCACACCCATTAGCAGCACTCTCTATTCCTCTTTCATCTCTTCCCTACATCCACTTCCAGGCAACCACAAATCTATTTTCTGTCTCTATAGATTTAACTATTCTGAACAGTTCATATAAATGTAATCATGTAATATGTGATCTTTTGTGACTACCTTCTTTCATTTAGCATGTTTTCAAAGTTCATCCATGTTGAAGCATTGTCAGTACTTTATTCCTTTGTATTGCTGAATAATATTCCATTGTATAGATAAATCACGCTTTATCCATTCACCTTTTGAAATACATCTGAGTTGTTTCCATTTTTTGCTATTACAAATAACGACACCATGAACATTTACATATGAGTTTTTGTGAGAACATATGTTTTCATTTCTTTGGGGTATATACGTAGGAGTGGAATTTCTGGATTTTATGGCAGCCCTGTTAACCTTTAGAGAAACTGGCAGATTGTGATCCAAAGAGGCATTTTGTATTTCCACAAACACCCTATGAGTGCTCCAATTTCTCCATTCTCTCCAATACTTGTTACAATCTGTCTTTTTTATTATAGCCATCCCAGTGGGTATGAAATGGTATCATATTGTGGTATTGATGTGCCTTTCCCAAATGGCTAAAGATGTTCAGTATATCTCCTTCGGAGCAATGTCTACTCAAATCCTTTGAGTATTTTGATTTTTTTATTAGACAGCGTCTTGCTCTGTTGCCCAGGCTGGAGCACAGTAGCATGATCAGAGCTCACTGCAGCTCTTAACTCCAGGGCTCAAGCCATCCTCCTGCCTCAACCTCCAAGTAGCTGGGAACACAGGCACATGGCAGCATGCCTGGCTAATTTTTTAAAATCTTTGGTACAGACAGGATCTCTCTATGTTGCCTGGGCTGGTCTTGAAATCCTGGGCTCAAGTGATCCTCCTGCCTCAGCCTCCCAAAGTGTTGGGATTACAGCAGTGAGCCACCATGCTTTGCCAAGTATTTTGAATTTTAAGAGTTTTACAAATACTCTAGCTACAAATCCCTTATCAGATATATAATTTACAAACATTTTCTCCTGCTCTGTGGGCTCTCATTTCACTTTTTTGATGGTATTGCTTATAGCACAAAAGTTTTTAAAGCTTCTTTTAAGTATAACTTATGGAAGTTTATATTTCAACAGTTATCTCCTAAATAGTACACTTTCAATGGAAGACTTGGCCTTGTTCTTCATAGACAAAAACAATGTATGTAAACTCAGTACGTAAAAAACTCAGTAATGTAAAAATCCTCTAATTGTAACCTTCCCATCACATAGCTGTTGACCTACATTGGCATCTACCCTTACCTGCTTTCACTACCCATGCTCTTGAGATAAAAAGAGCTTATTCTAGTCAAGACCAACACTCCAGCTGGATTCTTGACCTCATCCTCTCTCTATTCTCCCAGGACATTCCTCTGTCACTTAATCTCTCTGTTTCCTAGATCTTTAACATCTCTCTCAGCCTATGAGACAGTTTGCCTTGCTCCCTCCCATTTTGAAAAAAAACAAAAACAAACTTGTCTTGATCTGCATCCTCCAAATATACATCTCTAATCTTGTTCTCTACCCTGCACTTCACTTGGATGCCCTACAGATATATTTCAATTCAACATGTCCAGAATTAAATTCCCCTCCTCACCCCACATCTGTTCTACTTTCAATATTTCTGTTCGTAGATAATGGCACCATCATCCGTCACTTACCCAAATCAAACTCTCTCTCCCCTGTACACACCTTCTAGAATCAATAAATCATGTTGGCTTGATGCGTTGTACCTCTCAGGTATATCATACAGTCTGCATCTCACTATTGTACACAAATGCCTTTAGTTTAGTTTCTTAGCATCTCTCCCCTGAATTATTGTATAGACCTCTAACTTATTTTTCTACCTCCAATTCTGCCACCATTAAGGTTCATTCTCCTTAATATACCAAGAGCAATATAAACAAAACCTGGTATGTTTTAGCATTTGAATAGGAGATGGTGATTGTCCCCTTATTAGGTAATGTACATCACTGGTTATGTGACTTTTGATAACTCTCTAATTATTCCTCTTCAGTCTCTGGCTCCTCATTTGTTAAAGAAAAAAATGACAGCACTTAGTCTTAGAGACATTGTGAGAATCAAGTGGGACAATATTTGGCATACTAGGTGTACAACAAATGGGAGGCCTTACTTACATGATAGTGGGACCAGGTTATCTCCTGGGGCTCCCCTGTGTCTACAGAGAATATCAGATATGTCAGCTGCAGGAATCCGGACTTAAAGTCAGGAACTCTTTGGGAAGCTCTTGAGAACAAGGACACTGGTTTCTTTCCCTATAATATAGAATTTGTGCCGGGAGCAGTGGCTCATGCCTGTAATCCCAGCACTTTGGAAGGTCGAGGTGGGTGGATTACAAGGTCAGGAGTTCGAGACCAGCCTGGCCAATATGGTGAAACCCCGTCTCTACTAAAAATACAAAAAAATTAGCCAGGCCTGGTGGCACATGCCTGTAATCCCACCTACTCAGGAGGCTGACGCAGGAGAATTGCTTGAATCCGGGAGGTGGAGGTTGCAGTGAGCCAAGATCACGCCACTGCACTCCAGCCTGGGTGACAGAGCAAGACTCTGTCTCAAAAAAAAAAAAAAAAAAAAAAAAAAAAAAACTATGGGATTTGTAAAAAGTAGAAGAAATAGTAAAGACAAAGTACCTAACAGGGTGGCTGGTAAATAAAAAGCAGGGGATGAAAAATAGAAAATAAGCAGCAACATGCCCAAGAAGAAATAACTATGCTAAGAAACTGGTTCCTCTTTTGGTTTAAGCATTGTCCATTACTTGTTTGCCAGATTTGTCTATTCTAGATAAAAGTGTGCTTTTGTTGTCAGTGGTGCTGGTGGTGGCGAAGTTCTGTTGTTTTACAGGGAAGATAGCAGTGGAATAACAGAGTGATCCAGGACGTCTGTTTTTCAACTTCAGCAGTAGTTAGTTTCCCCGGATGTTAAACATCTGAGTTCAACAGATGAAGTTCTGTTGACCTTGAGTTTTCAGAGGTCAATTCAGCTTTCCAATCATGGTACCTCTCTTTTCTTGCTGTGTGCAGGCTGGCACTGATCCCAGTTTATCCTTTGAGATTCAGCAGAAGATCCTGATGGAGGAGGAGGATACCAAGAGAGAGGTGCCCAAGGAAGATGGAGTTGGTGATGTGCAACATTTCGGTGAGAACTTTATTGTCAGAGGTTTTCAGTACATATTTACAAGTTCTTACTCCATCATACATATTGGGAATGAGCTGGCATTTTCAAGCATATACCCAGGAGTCCAGCAATCATTGGGGAAGAGAGCCTGAGGCTGGCAATCCTTGCCCAGAACTTTGGTCACCTGCTTGTTCACAGGCCACCATATCTTACTTCACTGAAGTCATATGCTGAGGTTTTATTTAGTCCAGATGCTGAAGGATGGGAAGACCCAAGCAGCTGGTGTGGAGGTCTTTCCCAGTGACTCATCAGTCATTCAGAAATCAAAGCCTGCACAAGAAAGGGTGGGATGGGATGTATAGAGAAAGACACCAAGCCTTTAGACTCCAGCAGAGTAGCTGATATTGACATATCTGAGGAGGGAGGAGGCTCCAATACGACTACTCCCAATTCACAGGGTTTGTGGTTCTGGATGAAATCTTTGCAAAGGGTTTCCCTGGCACTCAAACAGAATAAATAGGCTTATAAAGTGTATATATTCCTCATTATTTTTTATTATGCCTCAGATGATCAAGTAACCAGAAGGCTGAGGGATAAGCTTGGTTACCTAGTTTCAGCCAATCTCATTAGTATTTCCTTCTGACCAGCTGACCAGCTCTGTACTGCAAAGTCTTCTTGTATTAAGGGAGGGCAATTCCAAACTAGATTTAATTTTTCATTTACTCATTGTGCTAAGTTCTAGACACAAGAAGTTAAAATAGAAAAACCTGTGTTAGGGCTCTCCAGAGAAACAGAACCAATAGAACACACATACACACACACACAGAGAAGGAGAGACAAAGAGAGATTTTAAGCAATTGTCTTACTCAGTTGCTCTATTGTGGGGGCTGGCTGGGAATTCTGCAATCTGTAGGGAGTGTTTATCTCGAGCAGACATGGAAAATAAAACAGAAACATTGCAATATGACGATGTGAAATACTTTGACATCTAACCAAAACCAGTCATGGTTTTGGACTTTCTGGAGAGGGTGATTTCTGAAGCAACTATTGCTAGGTGAATTGTGATTATGAGGAAAGAGATACATGAATGTGACTCATGTGAATAACTGCAGGCAGTTTACTGTGACTGGAATGCTCCCTCCTTGCAGGAAGAGGAGGAAGGAAATGACAAGCTATTAGGTGGGAAAATAACCTGGAGAAACCAAATGACATTTTTTTTTGTTTATTTGTTTTCATGCTAATCTGAGGATTCCAGATTTATTTTATCCTAAAGGCTTTGAGAAGTTATTGAAGAATTCTAAGCATTGGAGTGATGAGATTAGAGTTTCGGTAAAGACCAATTTATGTAATTATTCAACAAATATTTAATAGTGTCTGTCATGTATGAAGTTCTGAGAGACGCACTGGAGATATGACAATGAACAAGATAGAAAGATCCCGGTCCTCATACAGCTTAGAATTGTGTGCAGGAGATTAGGGGAAAAAAAGACTAATAAAAGAACTTAAAATTTTAAGTACTGTTATTGAGGCTTGATTTAGGAGCCTATTACAATTCCAATATCCTCCCATCCCATCACACCTGGCCATCACATCCTGCCATAAGTGGAAGCTTTAAGTACTGAATATTACTCAGCAACTGCCCTATACCCCATCCCCTCTCACGGCCAAATGCACAGTCTTGGATTTGATACTTCCAGACCCTCTTTCCAAAATGTGGATCTTAGCTTTTTCTTTAGGCTCTGCATCTTCCATTTCCTTGGGAGAGCCTTACTTACTGCACACCCAATGTCCCTTTAGCCCTGGGCCTAATGAGGTTCCATCTCCCCTTGACTTATTCCTGGCTCTCTCTAAAAGTGGGGAAATACCAGGTAGTAAATGAAGGCAAGGGGATGAAAAGTACTATTGACAGATATTTAAGAGGTAAAAATTATATGATTTGGCAATGTATTGGTAATAGGGGTTGAGGAGGACTTGAGGGACTGAAGAAGTTTCCCAGATAAGGGAGTTGGATGACTGGATCTAAGAGGGTGTCCTTTACTTAATTGTAGACTACAATTAAGAAGGAGGGCTGAGGGGTGCACGTGAGGGAAGGTGATAATGATGTAATGATTAGGACATGTTACGTCTGCTGTGCCCAAAGGATACCTCTGTGTAGGTAGGCAGTATGCGACCCTCACCTTCCCCCGTGTACATTCCTAAACCTTCCTTCTTTCTTGTACTGAGGATTGTGGAAGTTGGAATGAAAAACAAAGGACTGATATTTCCAGTAGGATCAAAGCATTCAACAAAGTAATTGAGAATCTATCATAAAATGCTAATAGCCCATGAGAGATAAAACTTTCCTTTGAGAACTAATTACCAGTGAATTATTCATCAAGGGTAAGGTTACCCCCCGCCACCTGCCACTAGGGATCCTTCAAAACTGCCTGTGTAAGGAGTTTTCCACCTGGATAGTCACTTTGATAACTTCTGCAGGACAAAACTAGCTTTTGCAACAGGAAAACAATAAACCACATCAGAGCTTGTCTTGATTACATTGCTCATCAATGCTCAGCAGGCTAGAGGAGTAAAAAGCATAAGTGCTTTGGTGCTTTGACCCCCCCAAACAGCACTCCAAGTGTTGAGGGATCTCAGACCTTATCTGGGATTTTTGTTGAAGAAACAGAGGAAGAGCCACAGAAAGCTCTGCCAACAGACTTGGGGTGTGGGGAGAAAAATACTGCCTTTAGACATATACAGTCATGCACTGCATAATGTTTCAATCAATGAGGGACCACATGTACAACAGTGGCCCTGCAAGATTATAATGGAGTGGGAAAATGTCTTATCATCTGGTGACAGTGGTACAGTAGCACAACACCTTACCTTTTCTGTGTTGAGATGTTTAGATACACAAATATTTACCATTATATTACAGTTGCCTACAGTATTCAGTACAGTAGCGTGCTATATAGGCTTGTAGCCTAGGAATAGGCTATGCCATTCTTATGGTTATGCCATATAGACTGGGTGTGTAACAGACTATGCCACCTAGGTTTGTGTAAGTGGACTCTATGATGTTTGCATAATGACAAAATTACCTAACAATGCATTTCTCAGAACATAGCCCTAGCCTCAAGCAATGCCCGACTGTATATGAAACTTTCCTCTTGTGAATTGATGGGTTGCCAAGCCTTTTATAAAGCTAACTTTAATATTAACATTGAAGATACAGTGAATCCATATACCCATGTTAAAGTTCTGGAGTTTGTTTCTTTTTTGTTTGTTTGTTTTTTTGATATGGTCTCACTCTATTGCCTAGGCTGGAATGCATTGATGGAATCATAGCTCACTGCAGCCTTGAATTCTTAGGCTCAAGTGATCCTCCTGCCTCAGTCTCCAGAGTAGGTAAGACTATAGGCCCAAGACACCATGCCTGGATAATTGAAAAAAATTTTTTAGAGAAGGGGTTTTGCTATGTTGTCTAGGCTGGTCTCAAACTCCTGGGCTCAAATGATCCTTCCACCTTGGCCTCCCAAAGCGCTGGGATTCCAGGCATGAGCCACTGTGCCAGGCCAAAGTTCTGAAAATTCTTATGTCAGTCTTGTAAATATAATACTAATACCGTAGGAATCAAGCTCTGGAAATTACCATTAAGAGAATGACCTTTTAAATAGAGCTTCTTTTGTTTTCCATTTGAACAGCACAGCAAGTGAATTTTGATAATCTTCTTTAGGAATATTTGTAACTCAGAAATTCTTAGTTCTTGTCATTATACAAAATAGACACTTGCACATATATTTTATAGCAGTGCAGTTCACAATTGCAAAGATGTGGAACCAACCTAAGTGCCTATCAACTAATGAGTGAATAAAGAAAATGTGGTATAGATACACCATGGAATACTATTCAGCCATTAAAAAGCATGAAATAATGTCTTTTCCAGCAACTTATATGGAGCTGGAGGCCATTATTCTTTTTTTTTTGGGACGGAGTCTCGCTCTGTCGCCCAGGCTAGAGTGCAGTGGCGCGATCTCGGCTCACTGCAAGCTCCGCCTCCCGGGTTCACGCCATTCTCCTGCCTCAGCCTCCCGAGTAGCTGGGACTACAGGCGCCCACCACCACACCCAGCTAATTTTTTGTATTTTTAGTAGAGACAGGGTTTCACCATGTTAGCCAGGATGGTCTCGATCTCCTGACCTTGTGATCCACCCACCTCGGCCTCCCCAAGTGCTAGGATTACAGGCATAAGCCACCGCGCCCAGCCGCTGGAGGCCATTATTCTAAGTGAAATAACAGGGGTGGAAAACTGAAAACCGTATGTTCTCACTTATAAGTGGGAGTTAAGCTATGGGTACACAAAGGTATACAGAGTGACATAATGGACTTTAGAAACTCAAAGGGAGAAGGTGAGGGGGGCAGGGCTAGGGATAAAAAACTGCACATTAGGTAAATGTACACTACTTGCATGATGGGTGCACTAAAATATCAAAATTCATCACTATATAATTCATTCGTGTAATAAAAAATCTACTTGTACCTAAAAAGCTGTTGAAATTTTAAAAAATTTAAAAAGAAATTCTTGGTTTTTGAGGATAGTCATAAATTCAAATGAGACTAAAATAACCATACTAAGATGAAGCAGGAGGATCACTTGACCCCAGGAGCTCAAGACCAGCCTGGGCAATGTAGCAAGATCCCATCTCTACAAAAAAATTTTAAAATCTGGGTGTGGTGGCATGCACTTGTAGTCCTAGTTACTTGGAAGGCTGAGGCACGAGGATGGCTTGAGTCCAGGTTTCAAGTTACAATGATCTATGATTACACCACTATACTCCAGCCTGGGCAAGAGAACAAGACATTGTCTTTAAAGTCAATACATAAATAAATAAAAGAACTATACTAGTCATAACATCACTATCTGTATCTCAGAAATAAATGCTTCAAACAACCATTTAGAATTTATTGAGCACTAACATAAATCTCCAGTCAGAGTTGAGTGCTATAAAATAATGTTTTTGGCCAGGCGTGGTGGCTCACGCCTGTAATCCCAGCACTTTGGGAGGCCGAGTCAGGCAGATCACGAGGTCAGGAGATGGAGACCAACCTGGCTAACACAGTGAAACCCCGTCTCTACTAAAAATACAAAAAATTAGCTGGGTGTGGTGGTGGTGACCTGTAGTCCCAGCTACTCGGGAGGCTGAGGCAGGAGAATGGCATGAACCCATGAGGCAGAGCTTGCAGTGAGCCGAGATCACGCCACTGCACTCCAGCCTGGGTGACAGAGCGAGATTCTGTCTTAAAAAAAAAAAAAAAAAAAAAAGGTTTTTACTAGTGTTCTTTGCGATTCTCCTGAGAGAAGCAATGACATTGCCCCCATCAAGTGGAAAATTAAAAATGGTCTGGCAAGTAGCTCTGAGCCCCTGCAGACACAGCCAGTTAATTGGAATGTTGTCACTGAATTTCTAGTCCATCAGTGACCCAACAGCCAAAATGGGCCTGCTCATGTGTATTTCTGTGAGCATTTTAGGATCTGTGACTACAGAGTAATCATAACTCTGAAAAAGGAAAAGGGCAGTCAGGAGTGGATGGAGAGATTTAATATCTTAATTGTGGCCCTAATGAATACGCAGTTCTCAGTTGAGCAGCCTCGACTTGAGACTGACACCTTGTTTAATACAGGAAGTAGAGTGCGGCTTTATTAAAGTCTTTAAATGTTGTGGCTGGAGCTCATATTTCTTTTTCACCCTATGCCTATATAATCATGTTGTTCCACTTCCTACATAGCCGCTGGCTCTTCCTGTTGTCCCGCAGCAAGAAGCCAGTGCAAGTTTAGAGTAAGGAAATGACATAATTAAAATGGTATTCGATGCGAAGCCTAAAATTCAAAGCCCCATCTTTCCCCTTTCCTCAAATCTGGCCCCAGCACCCTAGATCTTATCTCCTACTCCTCCCTCCCCAGCTCAGGCGGCTGTATTACTCACTCTTTCCCAAATCTGCCTTGGCTTTACTGTCCTCCTACATTGCTCATGGTCTTTCCTCTGCCTAGAAGGCCCCTCAACCTTTTTTTTTTCAATATGAAACTCACATATGTTGTCTTCCCTGTTGGACTCATAGGACACAAATACCCCTTCACCTGAACTCTTCTGTATCATTGTTTTTTAGTATATATTACATTATCATATTACAGTTATATGCTAGGCAGTATAAAACAGAGTAGGTGCTTCGTAAATTTGCCTTTAACATTCCTCATGTTCTGAATCCTGGCCCCTGCTCTCAGTTGTCAGAATTCTCCCGTGTGCTGAAGTCTGTGTATATCTGACACATCAATTTGGACATCTATCCAAATTGGGTAGATGCCCAAGGTGGCATTCTCCCTCTCTCTCTCGCTCTCTCTCTCTCCATATATATGTAAAATATATATTATATATACAATTATGTTATATGTAAAGATCATATATAATACACATATATTATATATACATAAATTAATATTATACATAGGATTATATATTATAATAATCCTTATGTATAATTATCTTTATACATAATATAATTATCTTTATGTATAACATTAAGGACAAATTGAAATCAAGGTATGGTATAACTGGAGGGATGATGAAAGTCAGATGAAAGGAAAAACAAAGAAAACCAACAGAGAGAAGAGAAGCTGAGTTCTCTTCAGTATCGAGGAATACTGCTGTTAAGGTGTTGGTTTCTTTTTTCCATGATAAGCAGATAAGATACAGAGAAACTCCTTGTTTTAAGCCCACTACGCAGGCAAAGTAGACCAATTCAGGGTCCTCAAGTGATAAGAAAAGTGAGCCAGATAACACAGCTGGGATAGGTTAATCTAAAAGACACACACACACACACACACACACACACATACACACACACCATCCTTTTCCTGCCTGATTACAATACAGACTCACAGAAAAGATTGGGGGTAGGGCAGAAGGAGAACGTTTAATGCAGAAATTAATCAGATGTTCCAAATAGATTTACATTTTTCTCATAATTAGAGAACCTACCTTGTAATTGTTTAAAGATAAACCAGCACATGGGGATAATCATTAAACTTGAGGAGACAAAAATTAGGTGTTTCCCTTTTTATGCCCCTAGGAGGTTAAAAAGTTATTTTCACTTTAGTTTTGGTTAACATTCTGGTATTAATTTGATTAATATGTTATTTATACTTTATCTATTTAAATATATATTAGAGAATGTATAGTAAAAACCAAATATTCAATAAGGTTATTGGAATAAAAATACATCAACATTTTAAAAAGGAGAGGAAAGCAAAGTCTTTATTACCGTTACACAAAAATTTAATGGTAAGCTTGACTCTGGGCTTCCTGGCAACAAGGATACAAAGAGAAACAGTGGGTTACATAGTTTCCCTTAACAACAGTTGCAGATCCAATGTGAAAATAGATGAAGATGACTTTTCTAAGAAATGAAAGTACATTCATTTTTTAGAGAGACAATTTATCTAAGTACTAAAAAGAGTGTGTAAATTGGAACTGAACTTATATAGGACAGTCAGTGTATAACTCAATGGTCAACATCATTATCAATAGTTCCAGAAAGGCAAACGTGGTTGGAAACTACTCTGCTGGGTGTTCTTTTTGTGCTGTCTGTCCTCTGTGCAAGGAATGGTACCTACATTAACACACTGGCTCATAAAATGTGAGTTCAGCCAGGTGCGGTGGCTCACACCTGTAATCCCAGCACTTTGGAAGGCCGAGGTGGGTGGATCAACTGAGGTCAAGAGTTCAAGACCAGCCTGACCAACATGGTGAAATCCCATCTCTTCTAAAAATACAAAATTAGCTAGGCATGGTGGTGCATGCCTGTAATCCCAGCTACTCCAGAGGCTGAAGCAGGAGAATCGCTTAAACCCAGTAGGCAGAGGTTGTGAGCCAAGATCGTGCCATTGCACTCCAGCCTGAGCAACAAGAGCAAGACTCCATCTCCAAAAAAAAAAAAATAGTTCTTACTTTTCAGAATAGAAGTTTGCTTCTCAGTGAAGATAAATAATGCACTCAAATTACTTGGCTATTGTATTAGTCCGTTCTCACACTCCTATAAAGAAATACCTGAGACTGGGTAACTTATAAAGGAAAGAGGTTTAATTGACTCACAGTTTCACATTGCTGGGGAGGCCTCAGGAAGCTTACAATCATGGCAAAAGGCAAAGGAGAAGCAGACACTTTCTTCACAGGGCAGCAGGACAGAATGAATGCAAGAAGGGGAAATGCCAGACACTTACAAAACCATCAGATCTCATGAGAACTCACTATCATGAGAACAGCATGGGGGAAACTGCCCCCAAGATCCAATTACCTCCACCTGGTCCCACCCTTGACACTTGGGGATTATGAGAATTACAATTCCAGGTGAGATTTGGTTTGGGACACAGAGCCAAACCATATTAGCTAGCAAAGGGGCTGAATCAGGGCTTAAAACCCAGTTCTGCCTTACTTCACAGTCAATGATTTTTCCACTGCACTTTGCAAGTAGAAACTTCTTGATTCATTAAATCATCATAATATTAAAGCGAACTTCAGCACAAACAATTGTTCCATGAGTTAAACTGCAGTAAGATTGAAATGAGTTAATAGCTACAAAGATTTGTTAGGCTATCATTGCAGAGAAAGGAGCAAATATACAGATTCAGGACATAAAAAGTTAATCAAATCCAACCGATCTTTTCTAATAAAAGAGAACAATAGCAAAAATAATTACAAATGGAATAACATAAATAATTCATAATATCACTGTATGTGTTTCAAAGTGAGCAGGTATGTACAAACCTACTCCCAAAGACCACAGAAGCTGAAAAGCCAAAGAAAGAGGCTGACAAGTCCAGTTTCTCAGAAAGAAACATTTAATAGAGACTTATGAACAGAAGCCATGTCCCCAGTGGCTGTGAAAAAAGATGGTGCATCTCCACGCTGTCACTCCCAGAGTCAAGACACATAAACTAAAGGAAAAGAATGTGTAGGAGAATTGAAGTCGACCCCTTGGGGAGAGGCAAGAATGCTCTGTGAATCTGCCCATGGGCAGGATTTATGGTCAAGGTTGTTTTGACCCAGGGGCAGGATTTAAGGTATCAGTAGATAAAGTACAAATCTTAGAGTAATTCCCAGAACTCGGGTTAATCAGAAGTCAACAGGTAATCTTCCATGGAATTAGGGTAAAAAGAAAAAAAAAAGTCAGCATGGCAGATTAGCATCCAAGATAGAGTTGCTTTAGCCTCAACACTGTGCAACACTTTAAGGTTCCCCACCTGAGAGGGTGAAGGACACAGGAAAGTAAGATCAGGGACTGTAACCACTACAGATCCTGGAGAGGCAAACAAGAAAGGTCTGCTGTTTAGTTTACAACACAATATCTCTAGTGATAAGGAATGGCAGAGCGCAGGCAGGACTCTGGTCTGTGATTAAACAGAAAACTTTATTATAAAGAACCCAGGAAATAGAAAAGGTAGAAAGACTCTCTCTTTCTTCCTTCCTTCCTTCCTTTCTTTCTTTCTCTCTCTCCCCCTCCCGCGCTTCCCTCTTTTTCCTTCCTTCCTTCCTCCCTTCTTTGCTTCCTTCCTTCTTTTCTTTCCTTTCTTTCTTCTTTCTTTCCATCACCATTACTAAAAGAAAGTCTGGTAATATAATAATAACAATAACAGTTGCACTTTATTGAGTGCTTTCTATAGATGTTGAGGTCTGCATTTGTCTTTTTTTTTTTTTTTTTTTTTTTTGGCGACAAGGTCTCACTCTGCCACCCAGGCTGGAGTGCAATGGTGCGATCATGGATCACCCAGCCTCGAATTCTCAGGTGATTCTCCCACCTCAGCCTCCTGAGTAGCTGGGACTACAGATGGTGCACCACCATGCCCGGCTAATATTTTTGTATTTTTAGTAGAGACGGGTTTTGCCATGTTGGCCAGGCTGCTCTGGAACTTCTAATCTCAAGCAATCCTGCTACCTCGGCTCCCAAGGTGTTGGGATTACAGGCATGAGCCATTGAGCCTGGACTGAATTTATCTAATTTAAGACTTGCACCTTCAGGGTGGTCTCGTCTATCTTCAGGCTGCTATGGCCTTATGAAAGCTATTGAAAACCACTCTAACTCATCAGGAATGGGAAACTTTGCTGGGTTTAGTCACTTGAAAAAGTCACATTCAATGACTACTTTTTGAGTCCCTTCCATATATAAGTCTTGGAGTATGATTCATACAAATATGAATAAAATGACTCCCTTTGCCTTCTAGGAGCTTGGCTATCCTAAGAGATAGAGATGCTAGCAGATAAAACAAGGCAGTGAAGGGAGGCCAGTGAGGATTACTTTTTGTCTAGTAATTTGGAATTATTCATTATACAGAAATATCCCCTAGTAACATTCATACTTAGAAAAGAGGTAGAAGGTAGCATTAAAGACAATGAACTCAAGAACAAGTGCTCAAATTCTGCCTCTACCAACTTATTACCTGAGTGACAACTGACTTCTCTGTGATTCCTTTTTTACTTATAAAATGGGAGTAGTAACAAACAGTAACTCTCACCGCATCAACTAATATTGTCCTATATTTGGAAGAATACCGGATACGTATACAATAGTAATTATTGCTCTCAATAAATTTAGCTATTTTTTTCTTAGACATAAATATTGGCAATCTAATTATGGCCATTCTAAATGTGCTGTGTTGGTGCACATTCTCCTTAGACCTGAAGGGAGAAAGGTTGTCTCTAAGATGTCTGTGTAGTCAAGTGTATTTCTGGCATTGCTCGAGGCAAGGAAATGTTTGCAACACAGTGCTTTGGGTCAAAGCCATCATTTATTCTTGAGCACCATTTACATGTCCGGTATCCTTGTAGGCACACTAGGGATATAGCACTGGAGAGAACAGGCAAAACTCTCTGCCTGCCTGCCTTACATTCTAGTGAGGAGAGACAGACAATAAACATAATTTAAAAAGTACATTTTACAATATAGTAGAATGTGGTGACTTTGTCAAAAAGTAAATTTAAGTAGTATGGAAAACACATTTTAAACTTTTAAGTAGAGTGGTCAGAGCAGGCCTGAGCAACACGGTGACATTGAACAGGGTCTTGAAGGAAGTGAGGGAGTGAACCATGCAGATACTTGGGAGGAGGGAATTATAGGCAGAGAGGGCAATTAGAACAAAGGCCCTGAGATAGAACGGATTTACCTAGGAATCTAGTCTACGAGGCCACTGTGGCAGGGGCTAAGTGAGTGATAAAGGGGAAGTAGGAGGCTGGGCACAGTGGCTCACACCTGTCATCCCAACACTTAGGGTGGCGGAGGCAGACAGATCGCTTGAGCCCAGGAGTTCAAGAACAGTCTGGGCAATGTGGTGAAACCCCATCTCTGCAAAAAATTCAATATTAGCTGGGCATGGTGGTCTGCACCTGTGGTCCCAGCTATTCAGGAGGCTGAAGTGGGAGGATCACTTGAGCCCAGGAGGTTAAGGCTGCAGTGAGCTATGACTGTGCCATTGCACTCCAACCTGGGTGACAAAGTGAGGCCCTGTCTCAAAAAAAAAAAAAAGAAAAGAAAAGAAAAAAAAATTCCAAGGTAATGGAAATAAAATGATTGTATGTTTATGGGGATGATCCAAAAAAGAGGAGGAAAGAGATGACGTGGGTGAGAAAAGAACATTGCTGGAGCACTTAACTGTTTAACTGTTGGATTGATCAGTGTATGTATGCTTCTGCAGGGCAAAAACTCAGGACAGGGAAAAGAATTCCTCTAAAAAACCCGGCATTCCTAACAAACATATGAAAAAAAGCTCATCATCACTAGTCATTACAGAAATGCAAATCAAAACCACAACGAGATACCATCTCACGCCAGTTAGAATGGCAATCATTAAAAAGTCAGGAAATAACAGACGCTGCAGAGAATGTGGAGAAATGGGAACGCTTTTACACTGTTGGTGGGAGTATAAGTTAGTTCAACCATTGTGGAAGACAGTGTGGCGATTCCTCAGGGATCTAGAACTAGAAATACCATTTGACCCAGCAATCCCATTACTGGGTATATACCCAAAGAATTATAAATCATTCTACTATAAAGACACATACAAACGTATGTTTATTGCAGCACTGTTCACAATAACAAAGACTTGGAACCAACCCAAGTGCCCATCAATGATAGACTGGATGAAGAAAATGTGGCACATATACACCATGGAATACCATGCAGCCATAAAAAAGAATGAATTCATGTCCTTTGCAGGGACGTGGATGATGCTGGAAACCATCATTCTCAGCAAACTAACACAGGAACAGAAAACCAAACACTGCATGTTCTCATCATAAGTGGGAGTTGAACAATGAGAACATATGGACCCAGGGAGGGGAACATCACACCCTGAGGCCTGTTGGGGGGTGGGGGACAAGGGGAGGGAGAGCATTAGGACAAATAACTAATGCATGCGGAGCTTAAAACCTAGATGAAGGGTTGATGGGTGCTGCAAACCACCATGGCACATGTATACCTGTGTAACAAACCTGCACGTTCTGCACATGTATCCCAGAACTTAAAGTATAATTAAAAAAGAAATTTAAAAAAGACATTCCGTAGGTGAGGCTCTCCCTAAAAGTCAAACTTTTACTTGCACATATGAAAAGTGTAATCATTAAATAAGCTATTTCTTCAGTGACGGTATACTGAGTTCTGCTCATGGTGCCAAGTACTTTGCATATATTATTCAGAAGCTTATTAGCTGCCCTGCAGCACCAGTATCATTTATTGCTGCACTCCAGGTGAAGAAATTGTTGCTGGGAGCTACAACAACTTGCCCAAAGCCACAATGATCATAAGTAGTTTGCGCTTCGTTGTGCTCTTCTTTGCTGGTGTGAGATTCTCGAGGGCCAATGTCCTTCATCTGCGTAACTCTAGGGACTCGCCCAGACCTTGGAAGAGGTTCACATTCCCGCGTGCCGAGATTGATTATGGGCCACCCTCGGTCTCATTCGTTGACTTCCAATAAAGCATTGGCTGGTGGACCTCTACATCAGCATTGTTTTCATTGGATATAGCAACTCAGAAAAATATTGGGGAAAATATAAAAACTTTCAAGAGATATGATTGCAAGAAAATCAGAATGAGTTTAAAACCCTCCTGACCCCAGTCCTTAGCTCAGGCCGTTCTCCAAGGATTTTGCAAACCTGCTTTCTGACGCAGCTGGTAAACTTGCCCCGGGGCGAACTGTCGGAAGGAGGTGCGGTCACCTGGAGTTTCCCAATAGATACTTCGCTGTCTGGTGAGGAAATCATCACCCTAGGACGTAAACCCTCCCGCCCTTCTTTCAGCTCTTAAAAAAAGCCTGCCACGAAAGTCCCTACTGCGTTGCTGCGAACGTAGCTTTGAGAAGCTGGCGCCCAGTGATGGGGCAAACAGCCATGCCCTTCCAGCAGCCGTGAAAGCCCCAACAGCAAACTGCCTGGGAGCGGGGCAGGTCACCAACTTCGTTGCTCGAACTCCCTGGGTGCCCGCCGCGGTGGTTACAAAGGGGGTCAAGAGTGCCGGACCCAGCCGCGCGGAGCCCACCATTGCGGCCCGAGGGGGACCCGACGGGGGCCCGACGGTGTGGCGTGGCGCAAGGAGCGCGCCTGCCTTCTCTCGCCGCCGGGAACGGGCTGCACCAATGGCCAGGTGAGGAGGCGGCGGTGGTCGCCCGGGAGGAGGGGGTGGTGCCGACTCCGTGTGCCAGGAGTGCGTCCCGGGGACGCTGCCTCCCCCGCGGCCGAGTTGGTTGCCGCCGGTTGCGCTGCGGAGGGTTGGGGGCGGAGAGGAGGCAGTGGCTGCCCGGGCCGAGGAGGGGCGCGCTGACTGCTCACCGCGAGTCAGGAGGGGCCGGCGGGCTCACGGAGGGAGACAGGGTGGGCGGGGGCAAAGGCTAGGCGCTAGGGCGGCGGCGCCAGCGTAGAGCGGCGGTTTGGAGGAAAGATGAGACGGTGAGTGGGCTCCGGGGACACAGAGTTTCTTTGCTTCTTTACAGGCTGTAGGGACAAAAGCCCGGGCTGGGGTCGGCAGTGCCCAGGCTGCGCAGCTGGGTGGGTGGGGGTGGCGAACCCCGTTGTGCATGACTCTCGGGGGGCTGGGTAGATCTCCGGTTGAGGGGATCCCGGGGAGGGAGTGTCTGGTAGGGAAGATGCTTCCAGAGTGATTGTAGAAAACAGGCAGAATGTGGGGGAACTGGGGGCAACTTTTTCCAGCAACTCTGGAATGCACATGGAGAGAGGGATGGGGATCCTTGGGATAGCTCCCTGAGAAAGAGAAGGTCCGCTGCTGGATGGTGTAGGGCGCGGGATTCAGAGAAGACTCCCTCCCCGCAAATATTTGGCTAGCTGCGCTTCTAGTTCCACTTTCTTTCAAGAGTGAACCTACGAGCTTTAACCGCCAAAAGCGGCTGATTTCGATTTGGCCTTTGACCCCCCACTGAAAGTTTACAGTGTGGCCGTCTCGGCACCCCTAGAGATAGCAGCTGGAAGGCTTGGGGAGTATTTTAACCCTCTGTTTCTCCAGCTCCCTGCGCGGCGGAGGCGCAGCTGAATCGTTTGCTGGTTCGCTTAATAACTTAGCCCTAGCAGTCATCACTTATTAAAGCGCCGAGGACCTGGCTAACTCCCGCCACCACCAGGAAATTAAAAGGCTGACAGGCTGTCCCTCCCAGGGTTGGGGTTTCCTGTTTGAAAGAGCTTGAGAAGTCAAACTGCTTCGCGGTTCCTCACTTACCTTTCTTATGTAAAAGAGGGAGCGACGCCCGCAGCTTTTTCTCTCGGTAAACTACCCGTGGCTGGAAATCCTCCGGGCGCCTGGCCCTGCCCTCTTCCCTAGAAATCTTTATCCTGCAACTCTGAAGTAGCTCTAAAGAGCTCTAGAATGCACAACTAGTCATAGCCAGGCACAGCTGGGAGTGTAACTAGACGAGGCATAAAAATGTGGAGTCTTTTTAGTGTAAATATTTGTCAGCCACATTTCCCTTCGTAATATGAACGTGTAAGTTACAGATGTAGGTTTTCAAGTATTGGACGTGTAATTTTAAGCTTCCTAGTTTGGTTTAATTTGGGCGTTCGAGATATGTCTCTGGGATTCTAACGTTTGAATTCGGCTGGGAGAGATCTAAATGAGGTCCACAGTTTCAGAAGGTTAAACTTTTGCCCTGTGAACACTTGAATTCTTGGTTCCTGGTAGGTTAGCAACAGAACTGTCGGATTTGGGATAAATAAACCGTTAGAGTTGCCCACTATTTTAACAGAATGGCTATATCTCTCTTGCCGTTGCCTTCAATTGTGTAAATATTTGTTTGAATAAAGAGCGAAGGTTCTTTGAAAAGTAACAGTTCTGTCTATTCTTGGCTCCCCTTTCATATCCTCTGCTTAGTTATTTAAAAGGATTTTCTTTGCCTCTTACATTTAATGGGGAAATTTAAACATTACATGTACTTAAATTCTGTAAAGTTACCAAACCATTTATAACTGGCAAATTATTTAATGACAAGGAAGAGTTGAGTTTGTCGTCTTAGTTGGCTAATGTAGCCTTCATCTCTTGAGACCCAGAGGTTTGCAGATCTCAGCCTGTCAGAAGTGGAAAAATGAGATGTCTGGTTAAGAGTAGTCATCATTTCAGTCAATTTGCAGGCCTCAATCTGTTTTATGCAGCTGGCAGCTGCTGTTCTTTTGGTGTTGAGATCGTCTGCCACGAGTGTCGCCTGGATCCCTGTTTGAAAAGGGGAGGAAAAGATACTTGGGAAATTGGACTGAGAGCTTGCTTACTCCTCCGTTCAATAACTGTGACCAAGCTGAAACTCGTTAGCAACCTTTCCAGAAACGTTTTATTTACCATGTGTGTTTGTTGTGTATGCAAGAGAGGAAAAAATAAGCCAAAGTGATTAACCAATCTCTGGTTTTCCCTATTTTCTTCAAAGCTCCATTTTGAGATCTATAAGCAAGGGTTGACTCTCGAGTTCATTGGAGAAGTTACCTCGGCTCACTACAACTTCTGCCTCCTTGGTTCAAGCCATTTTCCTGCCTCAGCCTCCCGAGTAGCTGGGATTACAGGCGCCTGCCACCACACCTGGCTAATTTTTCTATTTTTAGTAGTGACAGGATTTTGCCATGTTGGTCAGGCTGGTCTCAAACTCTTAACCTCAGGTGATCCACCTGCCTTGGCCTCCCAAAGTACTGGGATTACAGGCATGAGCCACCACACCCGGTCTCCTTTTAAATATTTTTAAAGGAGTAGTTAACGTTATGGCTTTATATCCTGATTTTCAACCCTTAGCAGGGAGGCAGTGCTATGGTGCTGTGGATGGCTTAGAGTGACAGTGGCTTTGTACATTTTCTAGGTGGAGTACCTGTGCCTTATGAATCTATCTGTAAAGTCTTGGTGTACCAATTGTTGATTGTGTAAATGTCACTCTTTTGAAACAAAAACACCTAAGTGATGTGCTTTATCTTAAAGTCCTGACATACATTAGAGCTGTGGTTTTCACTGGGAGAGGGGTTTTGGCCCCCAGAGGATACTGGCAACGTATTTTTGGTTGTAGCAACTGACAGGAGGAGAGTGCTACTGCCATATAGTGGGTAGAGGCCTGGGATGCGGTTAAGCACCCTGCCATGCACGGGACACAAAAACAATTATGCAGCCCCAAACCCTGCACTACAGTATTGCCTGGGGGAGTAGGTTAACAAGATTAGGCATCTTAATCTGATTTGGATCCTCAAGAAACTTGTTTAACTGTGTTAAACAAGAGACCCTTATCATAGAAGCCGTTTTGTATGCAGCAGATTCTTTTGTCCTTGCCATTTAGAGTCTTAATATACCATAGAGGTCGAGGAACTTGTGTTCATTGACAACTTTGAGATGGATTAAAGTCATGGGATTTGGGAGCATTAGAGCACAAGGGAGCCTCAGAGATCACTTAATTTCTACCCCTTCTTTTTATAGATGTAAAAAACTGAGACACTCAGAGCTTTAGGACTCATAAGGTCTCAAGCGAGCTAAGGGCGGGCAGACAAAGTTCTAGGTACAACCCAGGAGTTAAAAATTTTAAAATAGAGATTCAGGCAAATGGGAACAAAAAACAAAACACACTGGACCTGACCTTGTGTAAAAGTTTCAAAGCACCATTCCCTGTGAGAAAATAAATAAATGCTTCGATGGGGGAGGGGTGGCATTAGCCATAGAGACTGTGGGGCACGTGCCTGGGTGCCCCAGTCCCAGAAAGGGGTAATTCCATTATATGACCTGTGACACTCCACTTCTGATGCCTGTACTGTCCTTTCCATGGCAAAGTAGGCAACAGATGGTTCCACAGACATAGCAGATGTTGCTTTTGAATCCAGGTACAAAACAGAACATTTGAGATTTTCTGTTCCTCCCTGCCTTATCGGTTAAGAGTAGAGTACATGAATGGATAGGGCTGGCTTGGACAGAAGGGAGAATTACAGAGGCCTCCTGAGTATGGAAGAAAAAAAGACACCTGGCATATATGGAAATGAGCAAGTGTTGGGGAAATTGTGGGAGAAATTCATAAGCTGATGAGGGGATATCTAATATAAATTCAATTGCATAGAACTAGGATTAAGAATCAGAAGACAATTCAAGCTTAGCTATTCTTTCAGCATGTAGAACAAAATAACTATGGGGGTAAAAGGAACCTTAGAAATCCTCTTATCTGAATCTTTTCCCTCCAACCAACTAACTGGGTTAGATAGCGGCAGAATCTGCAAGCCTCCTGTTCTATTGTACTTTCTCCTGCACCCACAGTCTCTACCATTCCATGTGTTTACCTAATGGGAAAGAAAATGATAGTAAAGAAAGTTATTGTTAATTACTTGGGAGAGTTTAAAAAGCATGGTATTTGTGAATGGCTGTTTATAGAAAGGAGTTACCTTAATGAGTTTATGATTATCAGAAAAGTTGTACACCATAGCCTGATTAATTACAAACATGTATACTCTCCTGTTTACATTGCTATGGTTAGCCATTAGGCTCATGATTATAGATTCTAGTTCTGGGTGCCAAGCTGTCCTCCTGTGGTAGTTATTTTATCTAATACTCAAATCTGACAGGTTCTGGCCATATAGGAAAGTTTTTAGTATGCCTTTGGTGGGAGACATAAAACCTCTGAAAAGTGTTAAGATAGTTTCTTATCATTTTGACAACTAGCCAAAGGGTGCACCTCAAAGCCAAGTACATAGTGATATATTTAGAAATGACTCAAGAGTGATAGCCCTTTTAAGGGATCTGCCCCCCCGCAGGTACTATGCAAAAGGGGTGTAGCAGTCTTTTCATTATCATCTTTCATCTGGCCATTCTTGTTACTGTTTTTCAGATGATGGGAGAGGAGACAGGAGTAGTTTTTAAAAAAATAACTGTTGGCTAGAAATATTTATTGGGATTTGATTAAAGTAACTTGTCTTTTAAAAATAAATGAAACCAAAATTGTTAGCTCAGATTTTCAAATCCCTTCAAAGTAAACATTTAGCAAGGCAGAACTTCTCTCTATGTTCATCCAGGAATTTGAACCTTCTGGGAGTTAATTTGCTTACAGTTGTTTTCATGACGCTTAAGGATGTTTCTTAGACATTGCAGAAAAGGAGCTTTGTGCTGTATCTGCTTTAAAGGCAAGATAGTTGTCTATAGCAGCTAGTGGTCAATAAGAGAAACCCAAGTGTAAAAATCATTTTACTGTTGTGTGGGAAACTAGAGGTTGTAGGTAATTGCTATACAAAGAAACAGATTAATAAGATATAGAGTAACAGGGTTAGTCAAAAAGTTTTTGAGAGGATTTTTACAGGAGATACTTGTTTAGTGTGTTAGGTTGATTTTATTAGATGAAGTGCTTTTCCTTACTTTACAAAGTAAAAGGAAAGAAAATATTGTGTATGCCACTGTTTATCGATGGCCTTAAGCCAGGTCAGCTTTTTCTGAGACTTGCTGCTAATTCAGTGGGAATTGGTGTTGATCATCTTAGAATGTTTTGTTTGCACATTGCATGTGACTGCCCTAGATGGCAGTATGTTCATGGAACTAGCCTATGAAATAGCAAAAAAGTTAAAGATTACAAGAGTTTTCCAAGATTTCTTTCTTGACCACCCTACTGCTAAAACAAGGAAAGATAAAGGCAAAAGAAACCCAGCTCCTACATTCTTTTGACCAGTGCAGACCCAGTGTGAATAGTGCCGCACAGCCAAGAGATATTCAGAGGGGATTGAGAAGTGATGTCTGGCTGCCTCACTGCTTACGTCATTGCAGAAGTAGCTTTTCAAAAACAGCTTAAGATTTATTAAGGAAACTGCAAGCCATGGGAATGCAGACAAAACCTTTCTTATACATCATGCTCAATCAAATACCCATATTATATTACATTACCATAACTCTGACCAGGCCTTTTTCCCACTATGTTATGCTAAAACAATTTACCATGCCTTTGGAATGTCATGGGCAACAGTCCGGTGAAATCTTTTCCCAATTAGGTAGCTGCCACCTTATCACTAAAACTATTTCTGTTCTGTGGTCATTTCCATTTCCTGCATTATGTAATGAGCACTCCTGTGTTATTTAACCAGTATCTGTGGGAGTCCAGAAAGTTGGAGCAGAAAGAACATGTAGTTCACTCTCACCATGTTGAGTATGGAGAAACTCCTGTTGAAACAAAATGAAGACAGGCGAATTGACGTGCTCCAGATCTTAGTTCTGTTAGCAGAACCAGAACTAAGATGGATCTTCTGACTTGCTTCCCTGGCAGCCTATCCAGTGTTCTTTCTACTAGATTGGCCACTGTAATAAAAATAACATCCTAACGTAACCATTTCCTTTATTAGATCTTTTGGCCAGAGTTATTAAAAAAAAAGCATTGATTAAAATTAAATTAAACTTAGTCAATTGTTTATCTTGACTTGTTCAAGTTATTTCCCTTCTTTCAAGCAGTAAGTGGTCAAAAGGTAGATAGCATGGAAGGGAAAAATTAAGTGTTTTATAATACTCATTCTGCACAATCAGCTGCTAAGTAATGAAGATATGATATTATCATAATTATTATTTTTACTTTACAATATTTTAGAAACCTACCCCACCCACTCATTTTTTTTTTTTTTTTTTTTTTTTGGAGACAGAGTTGCTCTGTCACCCAGGCTGGAGTACAGTGGTGCGATCCAGCTCACTGCAACCTCGGCCTCCCAGGTTCAAGTGATTATCCTGCCTCAGCCTCCCGAGTAGCTGGGATTACAGGCATGCACCACCACACCCAGCTAATTTCTGTACTTTAATAGTGATGGGGTTTCGCCATATTGGCCAGGGTGGTCTCAGACTCCTGACCTTTGGTGATCTGCCCACCTCAGCATCACAGAGTGCTGGAATTACAGGCATGAGCCACCGAGCCCGGCCTCATGTACTCAATTTGTGATGTAAAGCGAAATGCATTACAAACATGGAAGATGTGGTTGACCTGTGTTTGTTCCACCTCTTGTGAGCCTGTTTGTACCCTGACTATTCCCAGTTCATAAATCTTGGGTTAGGGAATGGGAATTCCAGCAAGTATTTAGGTCTGGGGAATGTTACTTTGGAAAAATTAAATATTACTCTTAAGGGAGTGTCTTTTGATCAGTAGTGTGGGATGGGGCAGGATGGCGGCAAGATCGGAGAGTTTCCCTCCCATACACTCTCCTCAGCTTCCAGTTAAAGTCCACGGAGGTGGTTTCAGGGTCAAGAGAGAGCATCTTTATCTACATATGATCCCCAGGTTGATAATTCTCTTGCTTGAAATTAGCTTTGAGATCAAAAGATCAGAGGGTGCTTTTCCCTGTAGCACTCCTGTGATTAAAGAAGAGTATCTGAAGTTAGTTATCCCATGATTCTGCACTTCACTGGGTGATTACGTAGTAAAGGAAGACCCTTCTAGCTTTACGGGGGACTTGATCAGGATCCTTGGTTAGGATTCTGTGAAGAACTTGACCTAAAGAGCTCCTCCACTCTCTTCCTTAACATAAGTTTCTAAGGGGTGTGTGTGTGTGTGTGTGTGTGTGTGTGTGTGTGTGTGTGTATTTTAACCTTTTAATTGAGGCTGGAATTCTTGATATGGAGGGTTTGACAGTTTTATGAAGAAATCATTATTTGGGCACGCAGTGGTGACACTTAGCTACCCCACATAACGTTATCTTGCAAATATCTTAAATGTGATGGCCTGCTTACTTGTTATCTTGAAAATGTATTTGCTTTCAAACTTCTCCCAGTTACTTAAAAATACATGTATCAGCTTTTAGGAACTTAATTCAGTATGATAAAGAGTTAGTATTTTATACTTAAAAAAAAAATCAGCTAGGAGCCAGTGATATGACCCCAACCTTCTTTGTAAAGTCAGCTACTATAATTTTTAAGGCAGTATACACATTTTATTGATGTTGACTTGCAGAATGCACGTAGCTTTTTTAAAAGATACTTTATCATGAAAAATATTAAACTACACAAAAATTTAAATGTATACTAAAATAATAATAAAATAATAAACAAAGATCAATGTACTTATCACCCAGCTTCAACAATTATTTATATATGCTAATCTTGTTTCATTTGTAAACCTCACTTTACCCTAAAACATGGATTGTTATAAAGCAGATTCCAAACATCATCATATTTCATTCGTAAATAATTTACAATGTAACTCTAAGAGTATTTTTAAGATATATCATCATCACACTTTTAAAAAACCACAGCATTATCATCTAGTTTCCAGTCTGAAATTCTCTGATTGTCTCATATGTCTTTTTTTAATTTTAATTTTTATTTTTTTGAGATAGGGTCTTGCTCTGTCACCCAGGCTGGAGTACAGTGGCACTATCTTGGCTTACTGCAGCCTTGGTTTCCTGGGTTCAACTGATCCTCTCACCTCAACCTTCCCAGTAGCTGGGACTGCAGGCTTGTGCCGCCATGCCTGGCTAATTTTTGTATATTTTGTAGAGATGGGGTCTCACCATGTTGCCCAAGCTGGTCTCGAATCCTGGGCTCCAGTGATCTGCCTGCCTCGGCCTCCTAGAGTGCTGGAATTACAGGCCTGAGCTACTGCTCCCAGCTCATACTTTTAAAAAAAAATGACAGGATCTTGCTGCGTCACCCAGACTGGAGAGCAGTGGCATGATCATGGCTCACTGCAGCCTTGCCCTCCTGGGCTCAAGTGATCCCCCTGCCTCCACCTCTGCCTCTCCGCCTCTGCCTCCTGAGTAGCTGGAAATACAGGCATGCACCACCATGCCTGGCTAATTTTTTAAATTTCTGTAGAGATGGGGTCTTGCTGTGCTGGTCAGGCTGGTCTCAAACTCCTAGGCTCAAGCAATCCTCATGCCTCGGCCTCCTGAAGTGCTGGGATTATGAGCCTCAGCCACCTTGCCTAGCTTCATACATTGTAAAAAATAGATGGATTGTTCAAAACAGGATCCAAAACCATGTCCACACATTGCATTTAATTGGTATGCGCCCTCAGTCTCTTTAATCGAGAATACTTCTCTCTTCCTCTTGTTTTTTTTTCCCCCTTGCCATTTGCTTATTCATGAGTCTTCCTCCCACCCCTGGGGACTTTCCCATATTTTAGAATTAGGTAATTGCATTTCTGTCTTTTTTTTAAAAAAAATATTATTCTCTTCCTTGTATTTTCTGTAATCACAGACAGCACACTTTTAATTTGTGTTGAGCTGAATTTATATATATATATATGTGTGTGTATATATATTTCAATACTTATTGATATTGTCTCCTTTAAATATTGGTAAAGCTCCTTTAACACAAATGTGAGCCTAATTGAAGAAATCACACCTTGATGATTTATGTAAAAGTAAGGAATTTTGCAAGTGTGAGGAAACTAATGACACAAAAGTTTATTGAGGTTGCTTCTGCTTTCTGTCCTCCCCCAACCTGTCCTCTTCACTGGCTGAAGAGAGTTATCACAGGGAACATGCAGCTAAATTACTTGCAGAGTCTAAAGAATATTTTAAAGTTCCTACAGACTAGTCTTACTCAAGGGACTAGCACAAAACTTTTTAAAAAATCCCTATGATTGATGGCTTACCCTCTTTACTAAGAGACCTATAAGATTTCTAACAATTCCTAACGTAAAACAATGTAGACTGATTTAAAAGTAGCCTCTGCTCACAGGAGATGAAGATCCTCATTTGAAATATGGTTATTGCTGTTGATTGTGATTACTTTTAGGAACCTTCGAATACCATCTGGAATTTTTTTTTTCTTCTTCTTCTTTGACAGAGCTCAGACTTCAATACAGCTAGGGATAACAGAAGGGAATCGTAGCCTGGGGTTACACTCTTTTATTGTGACAGGAAGAAGCTGGAACTTCTTTCATATTGTGCTCCACTCCTTCCATCTGCACTTAATGTTCTCATTATCCCCCATCACTCTCCACTTCCTTCTGGGCCCCTTTTCCCTCCTGTAGCATCCTTTGAGTCTTTTGTTCTTTCCCTAATGGTCTTCCTTACTTCTTCTTTTAGGTATCTTTAGAATATGATAAAGTAAAAATTCAAAAAAAAGAAAAAAAAAAGGAAAAGAAAGAAAAAGAAAAGCAAGAAAGCAACTGTGTAATCGGTGTCCTGAGATATCAAAGCCACATTCTGGTCCCCAGCGGCCCTCACCTTTCTCTCCAGCCCTGTCACCTGGTGAATTCCGAGGATGTGTCTTGTCTGAATTCTGAAGAGTCCCCATTAGCAGTCACAAAAAGCCTTTGTGTGTTTTAGACCACTGTAGGCATGTGGACAGCATGTGTGTCTGTCTCTGTGTGTGTGTGTGTGTGTGTGTGTGTCTACACACATTAGGATTTACAGCTGCCTGTTGTAATAGGTTCAGTCTGAAAGAATAAACAAGCCTCCTTATTTTGCCATTAAAATACATTTCTTCCCATGGAACTGCTTTGTTGGATCTTTTTGATAATTGTAAACATCCTCCTTGGAGAATATCCACCTACCTACATGTTTGTAGTGGGTAATAATTATTTTGTTCAAACAGGCAGGTCTTTGAGTGACAAAGAACATGGTGCAAAGGAAGAGGAGTTGGAATCCATTTGCTGCTGTGTTTATTTGCAAAACAGAACAATAAGGAGACTATGTCTACTAACAGGCTTTTTTCTCTCTCTGCTGTGAGATATAAAATCTTGTGTGTGGAGGAAGAGTTTAAAGGAACAGAGGTTAGAAAGCCAGGATGAGAGAGTGAGAGAAGAGGAAGTTCTAAGGAGACAGGTATTGAGACAGTGGGAAGGTCCAGGGTTATGGATGGCTGCAGAAGCTGTAGGGAATAGCATTGGAAGGAGAGAGGATCTGGGGCTGTTTGCTTAGAGGGGGGTGTTTGCAGATGAGTTTGGGGATATGTGGACAGGTGAGGGTTGTTTGCAGAGATAGAGGAGGTTGAGGAGGATATAAGAATGCAAGGAAATATTTGTGAAGTAGCTAGGTCTATTTGCAGAGGGGGAGTTGAGGGGACTAAGGGTTTAACTGAGGATGGTGTTTGGAGAACAGAGGATGAGGAAAATAAGCTGCTTTTTGACTTTTGAAATGAGAATATTGCTAGGAAGTGGTTGTTTCTGGAGCTTCTAATAATTAGCTCCCTCTTCCATGTGTTTTGATGTTGGGATTAGTGGAAAAAGAGAGAAGTTTTTGTGTCCATTGTTGTCCACTATAAAGCTTGGAGTTTCAGGTTGAACTAGATTTTTTTTTTCCTTCAATCCTCTGAAAGCTTCCCCTCAGGCCCCATCTGCTGCCATTGGTCACCACAGAAATACCCCCACAGAATTCCTGTAAAGAATGGCACTGCTTCTGAAGGACTGCTCTAAGCTGATGTCTGAATTCAATTACATGTCATCAGTGCATGCTTTATTCATAACATCATCTTATTGTAAACATCAGTGCTGAAAGAGACCAGCCTGTGGACCACCAGTGTGCGGGGAGTGCTTTGAACACCAAGCATCAACCACTGTCTGCCACAAAATGCGGACTCCAAGTCAGCGTCTCTGCTCCATGGCTCTTGCAGGGCATGAGTATAGACTCAAACTTTGTTATAAAGTGGAAATTTTGACCCAAACCCTAATTTTTTTTTTGAAATGAATTTTCCTGAATTTGCTTCTGTAATCTAAATCCCTCTGCATTTTCTCAACAATATGAAACGATTTACAGTTTTCTATCACTTGCTCTTGCAGTCAGTCCCTCTTCGATTAATTCCTACTATATTGATTGGATGATCCTAAGGCAGTGTCTGTATATGACAGTGTGAAATGACAAGTAATACGTTGCATAATTTGGGAATTCTCCATACTCACTTCGTATAAATTACCTGGATAATTGCATTTATGTAGGCCAGACTTTAAGTCCCTCTTCTCTAACACAACACAGCACAATACAACAGACATTTAAATTTGTTTCTTTGCTTTTAAAACTTTGTTCTTGGCCCGGCATGGTGGCTTATGCCTGTAATCCTAGCACTTTTGGGAGGCCAAGGCAGGTGGATTACTTGAGCCCAGGAGTTTAAGACCAACCTGAGAAACATGGCAAAAACCTGTTTCTACAAAAAGTACAAAAAAAAAAAATAGCCAGGTGTGGTGGCCCATGCCTGTAGTCCCAGCTACTGGAGATGCTGAAGTGGGAGAATGGCTTGAGCCCGGGAGGCGGAGGTTGCAGTGAGGCAAGATTGTGCCACTGCACTCCAGCCTGGGTGACAGACCCTGTTAAAAAAACAAACAAACAAAAAAAACTCCAAAAAAACCTTTGTTTCTTCGGTGTGTTTTCATTATCTTGAAACTCTGATCCCTACAGTTCACAGTATCATAAATTCACTGTTGTCGATTTATAGTTTGAAGGGGATTAGCTTCATTCTGGTGCTATCTGATACAAATGGAGCTGGAGAATTTTATTTCAAAACAGTTACCAGAATTGTACCAAAGAGAAAGGAATCTCCCAAAGAACTTTTAAAAATGATCCCTAAGTTGGTTTTTCAGGTAATTTTATTTTCCAGGGAAAAAGTACTGTGACTTTCTGTGGATATCTTCCAGCGATCTCATCATGACTTCTTGGCGTTTTCTAATGAGGTGATGTAGTAGGTTTCAGGTGATAAAATAACAAGAGCACTGGGTGGATTTAATTTATGGATTGGAAAGTAAATGCAAACATTTCAACGTACATTAACTTCTTTCCTGTTTAGACTTCCCTGTGTTGCCTTTTCTCTCAGATGGGCACCAGATGCATTCGCTTCTCCCAGCCCATTCTGTGGATACATATGTAATAAGGCATGTAGCCATTAAGGCCTTTGGGACTGTTTTCTTTCCACAGTAACATAATGCAGGGATCATATAGTTTCACTGGGACCTCTTTTTTGTTTACGTAAAATATACAGGAAACCCAAAACAAACACATCAGCATAGATCAAGAAGACAGGCTGTAAACTTTGGCATCTTCTTTGCCTCCTCTCTTACACATGTTAACACAGACCTCCCTTCCCCACTTCCCTCCCTCCTGTTGTCACCTTGTCAATGCCTCTTGTGTGCTCTCCCTCACCTCTCACCTTCCTAACTCTGCTTTCTTCCTCTATACTCAGCTGCAGTCTCTGATGTGTGCAATCACGTCCCTCCTGCTCTCATTGCCTAGGGAATTAAAACCAAACTCTTACTGTGTTCTTCATCCTCCTGCCTCTTCTCTCCTTGCCCACACCCTAATCCTCATTCAAAATACACGACTGATGACTGGTCCACATTTCCTAGGAGTTCCTAATGGGATTAGGCCTGCTCACACCTAAAATGAAAAGGGCACTCTGGAAATAGGGAAGGCAAGAGCTATCAGTAGCCGTTGTTGTCACTCATGGGGTCAGAAAAGTCACCCATCTGAATTATTCTGTACCTTTTGAGTTGAATTGATTTGTAAGGTTAAGAGAAATCAAGTTGAAACAAATATACATATACATTCAGCTGTGGCACGTAAACTAAGCTTCAGGAAAATGAATGGATTCCATATTTGTACCTGATGGTAAATCTCTAAATGCAGAACCTTTTATACATTCTAAACAGGACCAATAAGCTTGAACTAAAAAGAAAAAATGGGGTATCAAACACGAATATCCCTTTAAATTTTCTCTGGAATATCCTGCCATCCCAGTCTTCTGTAACTTTCCTCTACAGATATGCATGGCCAAGAAGAAATGGTGCATGGCTGTTTCTAAGATGTGGTTTATTATTTGCAAATATCCTGCTTGTTGCTTCCCTAGAGTTTGTAAAGCCGATCTTTCAGCCAACACTACTTTGGAAAATTCTGCTGTTATATTTTGTTTGGCCAACCAATCTGCTTTGGTAATCATAGTTTCTGGTTTTTAGAAAAAGTGTATATTTGAGAGGAGGAAAAGTGGTGGCACTTCCTGGGGTAGTAGGGAATCTGTATTGTAGTTTAATACTCTATAGTTTCTTTAGCCCAAATAAAGACGGGACAGAGCTTCGTAATATTTTAGTCAGGTGGTTAAGTAGCATTTCCAACTACAAACAGGTTCGAGTATATTAATGTATTTTATCATCTAAAAAATAACATCAGTGTCTTATACTGCTGAGTCAAAAGCCAAACCTTTGAGTATTCATTTTGACATGAGGTATTAAACCCTTCAATTCTTTACTGTAGGAGTAAATATTTAAAATGCAGTTTGGGTGTAAGTGCTTAGCTTTTTATTCTGCTTAGTGACATCTGCCCTGGCTTGCTTTCTGGGTTGCTGTGTCTGCATATTATGGGAATACCCTCAACTTAGTTCTGTTTCCCATTTTGTATATATTTCTTTCAAAGCAAAGTCCTTCTTTCTAACTGGCATTAATTCTTGTCTATTCTAACATCTCAGATTTTTTTTGTAGCCACACCTAAACACTTGAAGGATTACTGTCCAAGTTAAATCACTTTTAGGGGAGGCATGCTGCTTGGACCCAGGAGGGCATATCTTACATGGTGGTGGAGACAGAAAAAGATTTAGAGAACTATAAGCGAGAAATACACGATTATTAAATATAGTTCATACCAGGAGACTTACAGTCCTAGATTTTAAAAAACGGTGTTATAGAAAATAATGATTTTTCCTATATGGATTTGCTTTTTAATTCTATCAGAGATAGGATGTTTGTTGGATGTACCAGTGGTCTGACCTAATATGGGCTTGGAAGTTTGTTTACATCCTTTAACTCACAGAATTTTAGGTGTGCAAGTGGCTTTATGCTACTTTTGAATAATACCAATCAGATTCCCTTCCCTTCAGTGGGCTCCTTCATCATTTCTTTATACTGCAACCTCCTCAAAACTACCACTCTCACTGGATTCGCCCCACTCTGTGTTCCTTTTCCTGTCAACCAAATATATTTAGGCATGCATAGCAATTATTTGTTCATAAATGTGTTTTTCCCTTTGTACTCTAAGCTATGTAAAGGCAGGAAATGATATCTCTTACCGTATGTCTCCCAATGCCTAGCTCAGAGCCTGATTTATATTAGTTACTTAATGAAGATTAGCATCCTCATAGTAACAAAGAAACCCCAAATCTCAGGGGCTGCAGACAATCTTGTGTTGACAAGGACCTTGTTCCATGTCCTCATTCAGGAGTGGGGGTTAACAAAGCCTCTGCAAGCCTGGATGAGGCTAGTTGTCCTAGCAGGGGGGTGGGAAATGGTGACTGCTGCACTGACTCATGATGCTTCAGCTTGGAACTGGCAAGTTACTTTCTCTCATATTTCATTGATCAAAGCAAGGGACATAGCCACACCTAACCTCACAGAGATGAGGAAGAGCAACCTCACTATGTTCCTGAAAGGAGAAGAACTGGAATATTAGTGAGTAACACTAATGCCTGCTAAATAAATGTCTGATAAACAGTAGGCATGGATTTAATGAGTGAAGTGCCTAAAACTACCCATTGAGATTTTTAATTTTTTTCCCTGTACAATAAACAGAACTACTCAAATATGGAAGTAAGGTAGCTACATTCTAAAAAACAAGAATATTAATATTATCTAAGCTATTATTCAGCAAACATCTAGAGACTTTTTATAACAATTCTGTTAGCTTTATTCATATCAGAGAAATATTTGATTTTGTAGTTTTTCAGATGCATAAAGAGTGAAACAGATAAATTCATATGATTAATGTTTTTGCCAGAGTCATTTAGAAGACTTGGAAAAAATGTTGCAGTCTTCAATATTTATATATTAAATTAGTCTGATCAAGACTGTTTTTTTTTGCAATGGAGTTTTGCTTGTTGCCCAGGCTGGAGTGCAATGGCACAATCTCAGCTCACCACAACCTCCGCCTCCCGGGTTCAGGTGATTCTCCTGCCTCAGCCTCCCAAGTAGCTGGGATTACAGGCATGCACCACCATGCCTGGCTAATTTTTTGTATTTTTAGTAGAGATGGAGTTTCTCCATGTTGGTCAGGCTGGTCTCGAACTCCCACTGTTAGGTGATCTGCCTGCCTGGGCCTCCCAAAGTGCTGGGATTATAGGTGTGAGGCACCACGCCTGGCAAAGGAGTTCTTTAACCTTTTTTGGAAAAGTTAATATCTGGCTTGAAAATTGGGCAAGAGCTAAGGAAAAAATCAACTTAAAATGTTTAATTGGCAAGACACAGTGGCTCACACCTGTAATCCCAGCACTTTGGGAGGCCGAGGCAGGCAGATCACCTGAAGTCAGGAGTTAGAGACCAGCTTGGCAAACATGGTGAAACCCCGTTTCTACTAAAAATACAAAAATTAGCCAGGCATGGTGGTACACACCTGTAATCCTAGCTACTGGGGAGGCTGAGGCAGGAGAATCGCTTGAACCTTGGAGGCGGAGGATGCAGTGAGTCGAGAATGTACCGTTGCATTCCAGCCTGGGCAACAGAGCAAGACTGTCTCAAAAAAAAAAAAAAAAGAAAGAAAATGTTTAATCAACTTTAAAATGAAGTGTTGCTACATATTCTAGTATTTTATGGTAAGTGAGTTTTTTTTTCCTGGTTGTCAAAATGGTCCAAATGTATTATATAAAATGTAGAAAATATGAACTAGTATGAGAGAGGTAAGTTAAGTCACTGGTAAAACTGCCATCCAAATAAAATCACTACTGATTTTTTTGGTGTGATTTCTTCCAGTCCATTGTTATTGTTATTATTGCTGTGGAAGAATAGGCATATTGAGGAGGCAAGAGCAGATACTGGCTTGTACTAGAGAGGCTACCATGGAAATGCTAAGAAATTATCAGATTCAGAATGTGTTTTAAGGACAGTGTTGATAGGATTTATTGATGGATAAAATGAGGAAGGGGGTGCTAGTGACAGAGGAGACCAATGTTGATTCCCAGGATTTTGGCTTGACCCCTACCTGTGTGTGTGGTTGGGTGTATGTACAGTTGACTCTAGAGCAACTTGGCGGTTAAGAACACTGACACCCTGCTAAGTTGAAAATCTGCATATAACTTTTTACTCCCCCAAAACTTAACTACTGTTAGTTTACCATTGACTAGAAGCCTTACTAATAACAAAGCCAATTAACACATATTTTAATACAAAATAACACATATTTTATATGTATGATATACTATATTCTTATAATAAAGTAATTTAGAGAAAAGAGGTTATTAAGATGTTCATAACGGAGAGAAAATGTATTTACTTTTTTTTAAGTTATACTTTAAGTTCTGGGGTACATGTGCAGAACGTGCAGGTTTGTTACATAGGTATACACGTGCCATGGTGGTTTGCTGCACCCATCAACCTGTCATCTACATTAAGTATTTCTCCTAATGCTATCCCGCCCCTAGCCCCCCACACCCTGACAAGCCATGGTGTGTGATATTCCCCTCCCTGTGTCCATGTGTTCTCGTTGATCAACTCCCACTTATGAGTGAGAACATGCCGTGTTTGGTTTTCTGTTCTTGTGTTAGTTTGCTGAGAATTATGGTTTCCAGCATCATCCATGTCCCTGCAAAAGACATGAACTTATCCTTTTTAAGGCTGCATAGTATTCCATGGTGTATATGTGCTACATTTTCTTTATCCAGTCTATCATTGATGGGCATTTGGGTTCGTTCCAAGTCTTTGTTATTGTGAACAGTGCTGCAATAAACATACGCTTGCATGTGTCTTTATAGTAGAATGATTTATAATCCTTTGGGTATATATCCAGTAATGGGATTGCTGGGTCAAATGGTATTTCTAGTTCTAGATCCCTGAGGAATCACCACACTGACTTCCACAATGGTTGAACTAGTTTACACTCCCACCAACAGTGTAAAAGTGTTCCTATTTCTCCACATCCTCTCCAACATCTGTTGTTTCCTGACTTTTTAATGATTGCCTTTCTAACTGGTGTGAGATGGTTTCTCATTGTTGTTTTGATTTGCATTTCTCTAATGACCAGTGATGATGAGCTTTTTTTTCATATGTTTGTTGGCTGCATGAATGTCTTCTTTTGAGAAGTGTCTGTTCATATCCTTTGCCCACTTTTTGATAGGGTTGTTTTTTTCTTGTAAATTTGTTTAAGTTCTTTGTAGATTCTGGATATTAGCCCTTTGTCAGATGAGTAGATTGCAAAAATTTCTCCCATTCTGTAGGTTGCCCGCTCACTCTGATAATAGTATCTTTTGCTGTGCAGAAGCTCTTTAGTTTAATCATATCCCATTTGTCAATTTTGACTTTTGTTGCCATTGCTTTTGGTGTTTTAGTCATGAAGTCTTTGCCCATGCCTATTTCCTGAATGGTATTGCCTAGGTTTTCTTCTAGGGTTTTTATGGTTTTAGGTCTTACGTTTAAGTCTTTAATCCATCTTGAGTTAATTTTTGTATAAGGTGTAAAGAAGGGATCCAGTTTCAGTTTTCTGTATATGGCTAGCCAGTTTTCCCAACACCATTTATTAAATAGGGAATCCTTTCCCCATTGCTTGTTTTTGTCAAGTTTGTCAAAGATCAGATGGTTGTAGATGGGTGGTGTTATTTCTGAGGTCTCTGTTCTGTTCCATTGGTCTATCTAGTACCATGCTGTTTTGGTTACTGTAGCCTTGTAGTATACATTGAAGTCAGGTAGCATGATGCCTCCAGCTTTGTTCTTTTTGCTTAGGATTGCTTTGGCTATGCAGGCTCTTTTTTGGTTCCATATGAAATTTAAAGTAGTTTTTTCCAGTTCTGTGAAGAAAGTCAATGGTAGCTTGATGGGAATAGCATTGAATCTATAAATTACTTTGGGAAGTATGGCCATTTTCACAATATTGATTATTCCTATCCGTTAGCATGGGATGTTTTTCCACTTCTTTGCGTCCTCTCTTATTTCTTTGAGCAGTGGTTTGTAGTTCTCCTTGAAGAGGTTCTTCACATCCCTTGTAAGTTGGATTCCTAGGTATTTTATTCTCTTTGTAGCAATTGTGAATGGGAGTTCACTCATGATTTGGCTCTTTGTTTGTCTGTTATTGGTGAATAGGAATGCTTGTGATTTTTGCACATTGATTCTGTATCCTGAGACTTCGCTGAAGTTGCTTATCAGCTTAAGGAGATTTTGGGCTGAGACGATGGGGTTTTCTAAATATACAATCATGTCATCTGCAAACAGAGACAATTGACTTCCTCTTTTCCTAATTGAATACCCTGTATTTCTTTCTGTTGCCTGATTGCCCTGGCCAGAACTTCCAATACTATGTTGAATAGGAGTGGTGAGAGAAGGCATCGTTGTCTTGTGCTGGTTTTCAAAGGGAATGCTTCCGGTTTTTGTCCATTCAGTATGATATTGGCTGTGGGTTTGTTATAAATAGCTCTTATTATTTTGAGATACGTTCCATCAATGCCTAGTTTATTGAGAGTTTTTAGCATGAAGGGCTGTTGAATTTTGTCAAAGGCCTTTTCTGCACCTATTGAGACAATCATGTGGTTTTTATTATTGGTTCTGATTATGTGATGGATTACATTTATTGATTTGCATATGTTGAACCAGCCTTGCATCCCAGGGATGAAGCCCACTTGATCATGGTGGATAAGCTTTTTGATGTGCTGCTGGATTCGGTTTTCCAGTATTTTATTGAAGATTTTTGCATTGATGTTCATTAGGGATATTGGCCTGAAATTTTCCTTTTTTGATGTGTCTCTGCCAGGTTTTGGTATCAGGATGATGCTGGCCTCATCAAATGAGTTAGGGAGCATTTCCTCTTTTTCTATTGTCTGGAATAGTTTCAGAAGGAATGGTACCAGCTCCTCTTTGTACCTCTGGTAACATTCAGCTGTGAATCCGTCTGGTCCTGGACTTTTTTTGGTTGGTAGGCTACTAATTGCTGCCTCAATTTCAGAACTTGTTATTGTTCTATTCAGGGTTTGACCTCTTCTTGGTTTAGTCTTAGGAGAGGGTATGTGTCCAGGAATTTGTCCATTTCTTCTAGATTTTCTAGTTTATTTGCGTAGAAGTTGGTACTCTACACATTCAGAGAAACTTCTCTAGTAATGAAGTATAGAAATGATCCCTGAAAGTATAGTCTTATATTTACTATTTATTAAGTGGAAGTGGATCATTATGAAGGTCTTCATCCTCTTCGTCTTCATGTTGAGTAGGCTGAGGAGGAGGAAGAGGAGGAGCTGGTCTTGATGTCTCCAGGGTGGCAGAGGCAGAAGTGGAGGAGGTAGAAGGGGAGGCAGGAGAGGCAGGCACACTCGTGTAACTTTACGCCTTTTTGTAAAGTGTAACTTTTTTGAAGTGTAAAGTTACACTTTACAGAAAGTAAGCTTTTTACTTTTTTTATTTCTCTAAAAATGTTTTTTTATGGGACCAATCCTTCTTCAGCCATTTGCTATAGTTCAGTGCCTGTATCATAGAAGGGTCCACGTTGTAAAAGAAGGCAAAAGCAGTCTCGAATAATCAGAACCCTTCTGCCAGATTGTGTAATGTCAGTTTGTTTTCTGGTACTGCTTCTTCTGTATCTTCTTCATCATCTGACAGTGGTTTAGAAGCACTTTTCTCTATTAAGTTGTCCTCTGTTAATTCCTCTTGTGTGGTGTATTAGCTGTTGAATTTCCTCAAGACCCATATCTTGAAACCCTTTACCCACTGCCTTTTTTTTTTTTTTTTTTTTTGGCCATATCCACAGTCTCTTTGGTGATTTTCTTGGCTGGCTGTGTTGTAAATTTTTTGAAGTCATTTACAACATCTGGACACAGTTTTCTCCAGCGGATATGTATTATTTTAGGCTCCATGGCTTTCATGGCCTTTTCTATAACAATGATGGTGTTGTCAATAGGGTAATACTTCCAGGCTTTTATGCTTTTCTCCCTATCAGCGTTCTCTACCATAGCATTGACAGTGCTTTCCATAGGGTACCATAATGAGCCTGAAAGGTCGTTAGGACCCCCTGATCTAAAGGCAGAATTAGAGATATGTTTGGGGGCAAGTAGACCACTCTGATGCCTTTGGTGTTGGACTCATGGAGTTCTGAGTGGCCAGAGGCATTGTCTAATGTCAAAAGAACTTTAAAAGGCAGTTTCTTACTGGCAAAGTACTTCCTGACTCCAGGGACAAAGCATCAGTGGAACCAATCCAGGAAAAGAGCTCTCATTGTCCAAGCCTTCTTGTGGTACAACTAAAAAACTAGTATTTATGTTTTCCTTTGAAGGCTCAGGGTTAGCGGCTTTATAGAGGACAGTCCCGGTCATAACCATGACTGCATATGCACAAAGTGGTAGAGTAAGTCTGTCCTTTGCTGCCTTAAATCCTTGCTTCTCTTCCTTACTAGTGAATGTCCTTTGTGGCATTTTTTTTTTTTCAAGATCGGGCAAATTTTTTCTGCGTTAAAAACCTGTTCATCCAAGTGCTTGGGAGTTGATTAAAAAATATATAAATAAATAAAAACAATGAAACTACCCTGTTCAGGCAGACATCCTTTCTCCTCAGGGAATTTATATGGTGTCTGGGAACTTATCTGCTGCCTCTTGGTTAGCAGAAGCTGCTTTTCCTGTTATCTTGCTATTTTTTCGGCCAAATCTGTTTCTAAAATATCAAACCATCCTTTGCTGGCATTAAATTATCCAGCTTTAGATTCCTTACCTCCTTTTGCTTTAAGTTGTCATGTAATGATTTTGCCTTTTCTTGAATCTTATTAGAGTCTATAGGTATGCCTTTTTTATAGCAATCCTGTGCCCACTTAAAATGTGCATTTTCACTATGAGACTCAAAGTTATCTCACAAAAAGTATAAAATTTTCATACCTGCTGGCATAGCTGCAGTGACAACTTCACAATTTTCCTTTTCTTTTCTTATAGTGGTCCTTGTGCTGGATTCATTTATTTTGAAATGGCAGGCAACTGTAGCTGCAGGCCTCAATCTCTGGTACATATCAGACAATTCAATTTTTTCTTGCAATGTTGTGACTTGTCTCTGCTTCCTGGCAGCACTTCCAGCATCACTAGTCGCACTTCGTATGGGTCCCATGGTGTTATTCAGGGTTTATAGTATTACATCAAATGTTTTAAAAATACTTAAGAACCATGAGATATAACTTATTACTGCAATATTAAATTTATGGGAGAGATGAACTGCTCATGCAGAGGTGATTAGCATCACATGGCATTTTCAGTGAATACCTGCAACACTTGAGTTCACTGCAGTAGCAACAGGGGGTGTCCACAAAATTATTACAGTAGTATAGTATGTACTACAGTTAATTTTATGCAACCATGATATAATATCATATTTTTATGTTTGTTTATATTTCTCTGTACTGAGAATGGCATCATGTGTAGTCTGTGTTACTTTTCATAAGACATCTGTATATATTTTATGGTTGTAAATGATGAAATAGACTAGTAGCCACAAATATTTTATGCTCATCACATACCTCACTTTTCTTTTTTTTTTTTTTCAGTATTTCTAGGCTACACAGTTAGTGTTTTCAAATTATTGCAAATCTCCAAAAAATTTTCCAGTATATTTATTGAAAAAAATGTTGCATGGGTAAGGGTACCCATGTAGTTCAATCCTGTGTTGTTCAAGAGTCAACTGAATAAGAAAATGACACTCCTTGTATTATATACAGAAATATACCTGTGTGTGTATAATCCATGTGTATGGGTGGGTGTTGTAAAAAAGCTGCCCTGATTATATATATGTTTTTTAAAACTAACAACATTTTATGAATGTACTTTTTATGCTATAAAATGTACTTCAAAATATGATTTTAAATGATTGTACAATATTCTCTCATGATGTATTATAGCTTATTTAATTTTTTCCCTATTATTTGGCATTTATGGTATTTTCCCATTCTAATAAATAACACTGAAATGTCCTCAGGATCCATCTATTTCCTTGTTTTTTCACTTCCAAAATATTTAACTTGAGAGAATTGTCCAAGGCTTGCTGGAATTTCAGTATGGCAAGCCAACGAGAGGTGATGTTAGTTCAGAATAGAGGAGTCTCAGTTTCAGTCCTCTAAGCGGGCATGGTAAGATATTTCTCAATCCAGGCTGGTGTTGCTTTTAAAACCAGAATTGATAGCAGTAGACACATGCTGAGAAGAGTATTTGTCTTGGAGGCAGAAAGGGCACTGTCCTGGAGGAAATGAAAGCCTTACCAAGAGCTAGATGGCAGGACTAGATCCCAGCTGGGAGCCAAATATAATGAAGAAACTTCATTTTTTTCTTGAGGTACATTTAAAAAGATAAATTATGTTTGTATCTATCTGGGCAGGGCTTTGGGTTAGAGGAGAAGGAGCCCAAGGCACCTTTATGGACAGTTGGGTACCTGGCCCATCACCAGGATTTATGCAGCCAGACTGTTTCTTGGCCTTCTGGATAAAGAAGCAGCTCTTTACTAGGCTGCCTGAATTTGCTCACAAAGTGTGTGAAGCTAAGCAACAGGGTGAAGGTCCTTAATCCATGGCTGAGAGGGAGTGAGGAAGGCTTTGATTAAAATGGAAAGCTTATGTTCATCAAGTTTTTCACCTATAGGACAACAAGAGCTAGAGGGGTGGAAGATAAAAATACTAGACATAACCTCTTCCTTAAACTTGTGGCCTAGTTACAGAGACAACCACATTATGAAACCATTACTAACCATATGTGATACTGTTTATATATAGACCAGAGATGTCATAATTAGTGTCTGATGTGCCTAAGGGTTGGAGGACAGTTATAGTGGTTCATGAGTTCAGTGACAATGTTTAAACTGTATTTTCCCTTTGCTGATAATCTAAGAAAATTTTTTTTTATCAGGTAGAATTATAAGCCTTCCCATTTGCAGTAATAGTTTGTAATTCAAAGACATTTTCATTGGCTAAAACTTTAGTGTTTTAAGTTAACATTGTGCAAACCAGGGTTCAAAACATATTTTCTTAAAAATTTTAATGGTGGAAGATAGAATCCTGATCTGTCCCTGGAAGAGTGACTAGGTCCTGATAGTTGTTTCTGCTAGAGGAGAGAATTTGCAAGGATGAGCATAGTGCATTTGGGGTACTAGAAAATTTAAAGGATATAACAGTTTCAGGTTTTTAAATATACCATCCCGACCATGTGTCAATAATTGGTGGAATACCCTTTTCTTTGTTATTACCTACCTCTGATGACTAAAGGAGCTTTAAGTCTTTTTGTTGAGAAGGTAACTCCCAGAGTCCTTGTTTAAAGAACCATCTTCTAACCCTCATGTTATTGATCAGTGTCTAACGTAAACTTTTTTTTCTCTGCCCAAATGTGAATTTTGTTTCCTCAGGACTTTATTTCTGAACAGTTAATGATTCTAGCAGAGACAGCTATAGGAAAGTCCATTGCATTATGCCTTTGGGCATTAGCTAGTCACTAGGGAAGCAGGTGTTCCTCGAAGGGCCAGAACATTAAGGACAAATTGTCTTTTTTAATGTACCAGCCTAATCCTGCACCTTTACTTGGTTAGGGATTTGTTTCGCTCAAATGTCATTGCTGTCCTTTTATTTCTCTTTTGTACATAAGTTATCTCAGGTCAATGATCTTTATTCTCCTTTAATTTGCTGTATGGTTTTAACAGGTTTTTTAGTAAAACTGAGTTTGTGTTTGTTAGTTGCATTAGGTCAGACTGCAAGATTGTTTGTTCAGATGTAGGCCTAACAAGGGATTGTTCTTTTAAAATCTTCTTTAAGGCAAAATTTTCTGTTTTATTTCTTTACAGATTCCAGCAAGATTATGGAAGAGCATAGCTACATACAAAAGGAGCTAGATTTACAAAATGGTAGCTTAGAGGAAGACTCTGTGGTGCATTCTGTTGAGAACGATTCCCAAAACATGATGGAGAGCCTCAGCCCAAAGAAATACTCTTCCAGTCTGAGATTTAAAGCCAATGGAGACTATTCTGGCTCCTATTTAACCCTCTCACAACCTGTGCCTGCAAAGAGAAGCCCTTCTCCTTTGGGAACCAGTGTCAGAAGCAGCCCCTCCTTAGCCAAAATCCAGGGAAGCAAGCAGTTCTCTTATGATGGAACTGACAAAAATATTCCTATGAAACCTCCAACTCCTTTACTCAACACTACATCCTCCCTCAGTGGATATCCACTTGGAAGAGCAGACTTTGATCATTATACTGGCCGGGACAGTGAAAGGGCCTTGAGGCTCTCAGAGAAGCCTCCCTATTCCAAATATAGCTCAAGGCATAAATCGCATGACAATGTCTACTCTCTTGGAGGGCTGGAAGGTCGGAAGGCATCTGGCTCGCTCCTGGCCATGTGGAATGGAAGTTCCCTGAGTGATGCTGGCCCGCCTCCTATCAGCAGATCGGGAGCCGCAAGCATGCCTTCAAGCCCAAAGCAAGCCAGGAAAATGAGCATTCAGGACAGCCTGGCGCTTCAACCCAAGTTAACTAGACACAAGGAGCTTGCATCTGAAAACATCAATTTGAGAACTAGGAAGTACTCCAGCAGCAGCCTGAGTCACATGGGAGCCTACAGCCGATCACTTCCCAGGTTGTACAGAGCCACAGAGAACCAGCTGACACCTCTCAGCTTGCCTCCAAGAAACTCTCTGGGCAATTCCAAACGAACAAAACTTGGGGAAAAGGATCTACCTCATAGCGTAATAGACAATGACAATTACCTTAATTTTTCTTCTTTGAGCTCAGGGGCTTTACCCTATAAAACCTCTGCTTCTGAAGGCAATCCTTATGTAAGTTCTACCCTCAGTGTCCCTGCCAGTCCACGAGTGGCTCGGAAGATGCTTCTGGCCTCCACCTCCTCCTGTGCCTCTGATGACTTTGATCAGGCTTCATATGTGGGGACAAACCCGAGTCATTCACTTCTTGCTGGAGAGTCAGACAGAGTTTTTGCGACCAGGAGGAACTTCTCTTGTGGATCTGTGGAATTTGATGAGGCAGATTTGGAAAGCCTCAGACAGGCCTCAGGAACCCCCCAGCCTGCCCTTCGGGAACGGAAAAGCAGTATTAGCTCCATTTCAGGACGTGATGACCTGATGGATTATCACCGGCGGCAGAGGGAGGAAAGACTCAGGGAGCAGGAAATGGAGCGATTGGTAATCTTCATCTCAACAGTGATTGACCTCACTGTTTCATTAACCAGCATCTACAGGGCAGCCTTGGAGATGGACTCCAGGATATGTGGGAATATAGGATATTCATGTTCACTAGCCACAGCTGCTATCTTTCTCTTCTCTCCTGCTATCCTTCTTCTTCCCATATCACTATTAATAGGCTTGTTTGGCTATCTTGAAGGCCTCCAGGAATTAATGTTAATTTAGTTGCTCTGCGGACTTCTCACAAGTATAAATTCTTTAAAAACATAACAGAGGAGTTGGGAATTTTATGAAATTTCTGAGTCTTACAAACTTCTCTTTAAGACTATGAGGAAATGCTGACTTGTATTATTTATATCATTAAATTTGCTTGTGTATGGTTATGAGAAGTAGTCAGTGAAATCATGACTCACCAAGAATTAGGTAGTAAATTTGTCTTTATAGCAAGTTGTCTAGAAAGTTGGAGTTGCCTCAGTGGTGCTCAGCTTTTCTCCACACTGTTCATACACAACCTTACTATCTTTAGCTCTGATTCTTATCACGTACAGTGATTCCAAACTACACATACTCACAAGATCTATTGAGTTGTCTTTTTCCATTTAAAATGAATTTATACTTATTGTTGAAATATTGAAAATAAGACGGGGAAACATCCCTTGAGAGTCTCACCAATGAATGAGAACAAACAACTGCATTTTTCCTTTCTCTTTTAAGCACAGGTTTTTCTCTTAGAATGAATATCTGTGAGAGATTACTTTGATTCATTTTTGATTCATGATTTCCTTAACAAGAGAAGCTGCAGGATAGTAAAGCTGATTTACAGCAACACAGTAGGATTATCAGTGTTTTAGTCGCTAAAATATTCTAGAATATGATTTTTGAATCACAAAACTGGTTGATACCCTATAGGACAATAAAATTGTAACCCAGGCTTGTCCAACCTGTGGCCTGTGGGCCGCACAAGGCCCACAATGGCTTTGAATGCCACCCAATACAAACTCAAAGTTTCTTAAAACATTATGAGATTTTTTTTGCCTTTTTTTTTTTTAAGCTCATCAGCTATCGTTAGTGTATTTTATGTGTGGCCCAAGACAATTCTTCTCCAGTGTGGCCCAAGATTGGACACCCCTGTTGTAACCTTTGGATTATAATGGACAGAAACCATTTGCATCCATCCAGAAGGAAATACGTTTGACATTTTAGAGCAGTAATCATTTGCATCACTCATAGTTTTTGATAAGTTGATGTCTGTTCTTACAGAGTTTTCAAATACCCTAACTGACAATAGTGAATGAAAACAAATGTGCATACCCTTAGAGAATTTAGACAGTCTTTGAGTGGGTCAGTTATACAGTACTCAGTATGACTTTCCTCTTTATTACCATAAATAATCTCTGCAGACTGTTCATGGTCACAAAATGGCATTGTGTTTGGGCTTGCTTCATTGACAGAAATTCAGAAGATGTTTTAATTAGCATACAAAAGTCTTGTATATGGACAGCAAATAGAATGCTATACCATGCAGAGCAACTATTATTTATAAAGCCAGAATATTAACTTCTATCCGATAACTTATCAAGAAATCTGGGAGAGCATTTTTAATGGCTTCCATTACTCCGGACATCTTCCTTAAATGCTTCTATTTGCTCTTCTGTTCCAAGGATAGGGAACCAAATTCAAGAAATTCATCTCTGCTAGGTTTCATGTTCAGCATCTCTAAGTGTTGGTGAATTTCTCTTTCCTCCAGATTTTCCAAATCTGGTATGGTTCTTGGCAATCCAGGAAGTGACCTTCTGTACTGCCTGTAAGGTTGGGCCTGTTAAGTCATAAACAGTTTTGACTTCTTGGGAGAGCTTTGTGGATATTGCTCTAAATATGAAGTTATATATTTTTTCTTTAATAGTGGGCGTATCGTATTTGTTGAAATGAGGCTTATTTTTAAATTTGACACTCTAGACTTGATCTTGGTTGCATGGTCTA